>NC_000002.12:230822951-231125981 GCF_000001405.40 Homo sapiens | reverse complement strand
AATACTGAATAAAATCTGAAGTGCTCAGCAGAGCTAAAATGAACTAAGTATTTTCCAATAACATTCAACATGAGCAAAGGAATACAAATTTGAAACAAGAAAAGGGCACAAATGTCATCACTGATTTATAAGTAATTAATTTTAAAATATGCATCTATAATGATCTTTTAAAAGGAAACCTTGAGAATGCTGAGGTTCTAATACTAAGCTAGTCTTATGGTTACAGAAAACTTAAATAGCATAACTATTAAGATTTAAACACCAATTTTCTGAAATAAGGCAAAAACGTATTTTCATTACTTGTATTTTCTCCAACGTAAAGTCTATGGGGAAAAAAAGCTGTGAACCACTCCTAAACCCAGAGATCATCTGTTTAAAAATAAGCAGTAAAAAAGTTTCTGCTAAAACCTATGTATACATGTAGAATTCAGGCCTTTCTGTGCTCTTCTATATAAGGTTGCAACCAGAGCAAATTAATGGTGTTCCACAGCAAAGGCACAAAAGCTAGATAAGAATCTTGTTTCACTGCTAGAAATCAGAACTGTAGAAATCACTATAGGCTTTTAAAACGGCAGAATCTTCAAAGAATGAAACCTCTAAAATAGCTAGATTATATCTTATTTTTTCTCAAATGTGAAAAACAGCTCAGGCTTAACCCCAAACAAAACTATCTGAAGCTAAAATGATCAAGTTTATTACAGTCCCCCCAAATATTAAAGAGAGCTCTTAAAAATATAACTTGAATAAGGGCCATGAACTGGTTCAACATGCTTAACAGTGGTTTTATGAATTACAATGAATGCTGCTACTCTCTAAAAATGAATGTATCAAAGAGGAAATAACCTCCTTGGCATGCTTGCAGCTATACAACGTATTTGTTTCACTGCTTTCAACCGCCTGTGCTGGAGGCTCAGAATAAGTCAATGGGAGGAGGATTTCAGTCACAGCAGCAAGCAAGTCTAGTGAACAGATAAGATGACATGCTCAGCAAAATAACAACGAAACCAGAGGTAAGCATTTAATAAACACATATGGAATTAATCTAAAGGTTTTTTTTTTTAATCTTCAAGAATTCTGCTATCATAATCTTTCATTTCTATTCAGCGGTTTAAAAATCAAAATGAAAAATTTACTAATGCTAAAGGAGAGTTTTTAAAAACGTGATTTGTACATTTGATGAACAAATAAATGGTCTAATCTTCCTTTTGGTTTCCCTTTCTTCTCAAGGCAACTGGGAAGGTTAAAAAAATAAACACTACTTAAAACAAAAAAAGAACTGGTTTGAATTTGGCAAATTTAGTGATTAAATTTAGAACACAATTGTTGCAAAGACATACCATGAGAGATGAAATTACTAAACACAATTATTTGGATCCTAGTAATACCTTTTTTTTTCCTTCTCTCAAACTAAAGGAAATCTAAAATGACATTTATATCAGTACTCACAAACCTGATAAGACAAAGCTAATTACATATAAGGATCCCTAGCTGGTAAAACATTTATTTAGACCCTTGTTGGGCTTTGAGTGTTTCTAGGTGGGTGGCCAGCGCATACTAAAAGTTCTATTCTGAACTATTGTGTTTCGACTTTTCTATTCTTCTGTAAGTAAAGGTAAAAAGACATTCAAGGGTCAGGAAACACCTAACTTTTTATTATAACCATTGAAAAAATTAATGTGTCTTCTGTTTCATTAACTGAGCAACATCAGAAATACAGTATATTTGGAGAATTGGCTGCATTGTCACAAATGCACAACAGACTTACTAAGAAGGGAAGGGCTATGAAGTTCAAGTGTTTTTACCACTTTCAGAAATGAATAAAATAATGCAGTCTATGTATTTTGTATCTAGGGGGAACTCTCTGGCATGCAAGTTCAAACACGACTCTACAACTACGGCAGAAAAAGAGAGAGAGAGAAACTAAAAATATATATATATCCTATTTTTTTCACAGCTATCAGTTTCTTTCACTGAGCTTTCCTAAATTTAAGCCTCTAGAAAATAATAAATACTTGGATATCTTACCTACAAACATGGACAGATGTGTGTATGCGCTCATTTTAGAGAACTTGAATTTTTTTTTTTAAAGGAAGGTGTCAACTTTGGCTTTTGAGTGTTTGGCATGGTTACAATGCCTTAAAAAAACAGATGAGCAGCTTAGCTACTAACCATGCTGACCACTGTTCGGAACGGGATTGAATCACAGAAAAACAGCAAATGGCTCTCTCTTACAGAGTGTCTGAACTTCAAAGCACAATTCCTGAGCACATTTTGCAGAGCACCTTTGTTCACGTTATCTCTTCTAACTGGTCTGGATTACAGACAGAATCAATACCAGAGGAAATGAAACAGATTGTTGAGGAACAGGGAAATAAACTGCACTGGGCAGCTCTTCTGATACTCATGGTGATAATACCCACAATTGGTGGAAATACCCTTGTTATTCTGGCTGTTTCACTGGAGAAGAAGCTGCAGTATGCTACTAATTACTTTCTAATGTCCTTGGCGGTGGCTGATTTGCTGGTTGGATTGTTTGTGATGCCAATTGCCCTCTTGACAATAATGTTTGGTAAGTATTTCACTTTGTTTGTGCCATCAAACCACAGAACTATGATATACTATTAGAGAATGGACACTCATTTAATCTTTACTTTTCTTGAAATAAAAGATGAACTTGGACTATTTAAAGATACGGCAAGTAAACAGTCCCTTGTTTTATATCATTCTCTATGGTTGATCAGCAGTTTTAAAGAGCAAAAAATATTTTTTGTAAACTATTTTTCTCCCTCCTAAGCTATCTAATAAAATCATTTAAAAAGTCATTCAAGTTAGTGATATTTATAGATTCTGAATATATTATCTATAAATTATAGTAAATAGGCCTATACTTTAACTTTTCTACACTGATACTTTTTTTCCTCAAAGCAATAACTAGGACACTTCCGGGACAGATATGCGCTGGGTTAACGATAAGGTCTTTGAATTACTAAATCCCAATTTAAATCACTAAACCCCAGTTTAAAATTGGAACTGTCCAAAAATTCTTATTATAGCTCTTAATAGTTTGTATATTATAAACTTGAACACAATTCCTACATATGTGTCATGTTAAGAAAAATTATGTTTAGTTGCTGAAGGAAATGGTTTGGCTCAGAGTGTCCAAAGAGATGATCTATCGATTCAATTTTTTTATGATATATGGGCATCTGTGTTCCTGATAGGCCTCTAAGTTGGTAAGTGGATTAAAACCTAGTTATTGCGATAATAAAAGGTATAGTTTGACACTGAAATCTTAGTTTGCTATAATAAAAAAAAGATATAAGTAGTTCCAGATTTCTGCATATCATCTCTAGTTATAAAATTTGGATAAACACAAATAATTCTGCTGATGAATTATGAGGGCTCCTAGACCCTTGGAATCAGCATTAAAAGGATATTTAACTTATTCAATGCTTGGTATAAACTGATATTCCATTCATAAACTGCCTAAGCAAAATGATTACTTGTGGCAGATATAGTTTCTTAGAATTATATTTACTTATATGAAGATAAAAATATTTTAAGTTACAGAAGTAAAATTTATTAAACTAGAATCCATATTAGAAGGTAAAAAACCCCTGCTATTCCAACTATTATACCCAGGTTTTACACATTACAATTTTATAAGTAATAACAGAAAGATATCTAAAACTATTATCAGATAGTAACAGGTTTACACCTTCCATTTTAAATCAACATTTACCTGGGCTTTAAAATAAATCAAGAAAATTATGTGGCAGGACAAGCAGTAATGAGTAAAGTTCTACTGCTTTAATTAGACTTTCTAATAATTAACAGTCTTTCTATCTCCCTGTTTTATAAATTTGTAATCTTTTAAATAATCTAATGCTGCATGAAACCATGAAAAATAATTAAGAAATCTTACTATAATAGAGAACATAACCCTAATTCTGAATAAAGCTTAAAAGAAAGTATTATGTAGAAATATATATGCATATTTGATAAATACTGTACAGGCATATGATTCTAGCTCTCATCTCCATGTGCATAATAGTAGCTTAAGATGTAAAATCATACTCTTCAAACTGTGCTTTGCTAGGCACACAGAAAATGTCAAAATGCTTATTTCAGACTACCATAAAATTTAATACGTCATTCAATACATGATATTGAAAGAATTATGCAGAAGTGAATTTTAGCTTTAAAATCTTTGAGTCCATAAATATCAAACATCTATTATATGCAAAGTACCATGGTAGATACTTAAATTATCAGCTAAATAGTTAAGGAATCTTAAAAGGCAAAGTACCATAGAATTAAAGTGAGCTAACAAACAAAATACAAAAACAGGTAACAAAGATTTACCTGTTTAATAGATTCCATGTATTCTATAGAAAAATAGGTATCCAGCAGCTGAAAACTTTAAGTGTATATTTAAAATGCTGGTACCCAACATATCCTTAGCAATACAAGTTAGCAGAAAACCCAACATATGTTAACATAAAATATGTGAAATGTCTTCATATTTATGTCTTAAATAATTGATAGACATTTTAATATTATTTCATTCTTCCAAATGTTTATTAACTTTAAATTTATTTTTATTTATTTATTTTAATAGAGATGGAGTCTGGCAATGTTGCCTGGGCTGGCCTCAAACTCCTGGGTTCAAGTGATCCTCTGCCTTCAGCCTCTTAAGTAGCTAGGATTACAGGCACATTCCACCATGCCTGGCTCATGTTTGTTAATTTCTAATTACAAAATAAAATATTTTATAGCCCCAAACACTTTTACTATCAGAAATAAGTTGTATAGTGGGGTTTGTAGATTTTTAAAAAATGAACAAATCTGTGAACTACTATCTAATACATTATTGCATTATTTAAAGCATAATTCAATTTCTATGAAAAAATGTAGGAAAAAAACACATGTTGCCCTCTAACAAACTTCAAAGGATGAATTCATAAATTGGGAACTGCATGTATTACAAATGGAAACCTGACTTCAAATACCAAGATATTTTTATAACCTTTTGCAAGTTAATAAACACAAAGATTTTTCTAAACTAATGCATTTATAAGAACTTCTGATAACTTTAAAAGGCAGAATTAGACTTTACACTCTTATTGTAGTGTTAATCTTTAGGACTTCTAACGTTTGTACAAACAAGCGTTCTTGGTTCTATGATAAAAGATTAACTATCACTATGAGCAATAATTTTAGCTATCGCAGGGGAATTCAATGAAAGTAACACAAAAACTATACTAGCTCGTAGTCTAATAAAATGAAATTTTAAAAATAAGAGCAGTAAAATATAAAAGTGGACCTTCTGTCCTTATACTGAGAGATATTTTATTCAACCACTGATCTGTATAATATTTAACAATATACGGTTTGAATTCATATTTTCCCAAGATTATGACAACTCAGGCACAACATTGTCTTTCAAATGAGTTGTGCTAGGTCAATTTTTCTGCCACTTCTTCCTATCTGGGAGCACTGGACTTGATCTTTACAGTTGTAGTTTTTTATTGTCTTGTCCATAATTCCTAAAATCCATGATCACAAATCAACAGCTTATAACACAAGGCTTGAAAATACCTACGTTAGAAATACTTGAGCAAGAAAACAACACCTTATGCTGATATAAAAAAGACAGGATGTTCACCATTTAAGAGCTTCTCTGAATCTTTGTTTCATTTTATAAGTGATTTAAAAAGTAACAGGGGAGGCTGGGCACGGTGGCTCATGCCTGTAACCCCAGCACTTTAGGAGGCTGAAACGGATGGATCACCTGAGGTCAGGAGTTCGAGACCAGCCTGGCCAAGATGGCGAAACCCTGTCCCTACTAAAAATACAAAAATTAGCTGGGCATGGTGGTACGCGCCTGTAGTCCCAGCTACTCGGGAGACTGAGGCAGGAGAATAGCTTGAACCCGGAAGACAGAGTTGCAGTGAGCCGAGATGGTGCCACTGCACTCCAGCCTGGGTGACGGGGTGAGGCTCTGTCTCAGGGAAAAAAAAAAAAAAAAGTAACACGGGAAGATATGGCATCTGGCCATCCATTGGGTGTTATTGGTTTATTTATAAGTTTTTTTTTTTTTTTTTTTTTTGAGACGGAGTCTCGTTCTGTTGCCCAGACTGCAGGGCAGTGGCATGATCTCAGTTCACTGCAACCTCCACCCACAGGTTCAAACGATTCTCCTGCCTCAGCCTCCCGAGTAGCTGGGACTACAGGCGCAGGCCACCACACCTGGCTAAGTTTTGTATTTTTAGTAGAGATGGGGTTTTGCCACTTTGGCCAGGCTGGTCTTGAACTCCTGACCTCAGGTGATCCACCTGCCTCGGCCTCCCAAAGTGTTGGGATTACAGACATGAGCCACCAAACCTGGCTATAACTTAAGTTTCAATTGATGCCTCATGATCTATAAGTTCAAACAGTATCCGTGGTATAGCTGAAAGAGTATATAAAATGGCTGAAAGATGGCTGTTTGAAGCAAGACATCCCAGGGTCTGAATCCTGGTTCTCCCGTGTTGGATCAGGCAAGTCACTTATTATTTCAGAGTTCAATCACTTATTATTTCAGAGCTCAATCACCTTGTCAAGCAGGGCCCAGCATCTTATAAGCACTAATAGTAACTGGTAGAGTACTGCATGCAAATTAAATATGATTTAGTTGAGATGCAAGTCTAATCAGAGATGAAACAAATGTATAGCAGTAAGAGAAAAATGGCAGTTATTCATTTATGCAGTAAAATGTTAGCCTACCCAATTCTGAAATGGAGGAGAAAAGCAATGAATTAAAGGCACTTCTTTTTGTAAAGTGGAAATTTTAAAAACCAGGAAAAAATTCTGTAAGCATTAAAATGCTTAAAACATTTAAAACACTATCATATTAGACACTGAACCCCAGGATAACTCATATGCTCAAATGTAGTGAAAAAAGTAAAAAACAAAACAGAAACTTTTAAACAATAATTTGAACTGAACTATGTCTTTCTTTTCTGGAAGATAAAGACAGAAGCATTAGAATTTCTGAGATAAATGTATATTTGAAAATTATGTTCTTTTTGGACATAAGAAGTATTTATGATTTGTCCTGCTGCAATAAGTTCATGAACTGAGTACCTCTGTAAACTATAGGAACAGCCCACTTGGAATGCCTTTAAAAATAGTCTTTTACATCCTCCAAAGGGAAACATTTTATGTCCCAGATTTATGGACTGATGCTAATTATTTTCCGGACAAATAGTGTAACCTGACTTCCCAAACTAAAAAGCTGCCCAAAGGTTAAGCAGGTTTCAGATAAAATAAGTCTGCCTCATCAAGATACGGGGTTTCTAGTAAAACTCCTCAGGTTTTTGTACTAATTCAAAAGAAAGCAAAAACAAACAAAAAAATACCCAAACCAACAAAAAACCCAGGCATGCAATGCATACAGGTTATTTTCCTGTACCGTATATAAAATAAACAGCAGTTAAAATTCAACGTTAGTAAAAAACATACTTTTATGACAAATTCAATTGAAAGTTAAACAGAGTTAACTGTTCTCAGCCCATCCTCCCTCACCCCCGGAAAGTACAGCTTAAAGTTTTAAGCTGAATCAGATGCATGCACTTTTGCTACAGCAGGTAGAAAGACAAACACTCTTATTTCATACTGATGATTTGGCTTGTTTCTATGTAGGAGTGTTTTCATGGTTGAGTTAGTTGGCTAGTTTCTGTTAAACAATAGTAATAAGCACTAACATTTATTGAGTGTTTTCTTTATGCCAGGAACTGTTCTAAACACTTCACATGTATTTAATCATCATCCATATAAACTCTATTAAAGAAATCCTATAAAACAGGTACTATTATCCCCACTTTACAGAGGACAGAGAAGCAGAGGGATAAGTAATCTGTTCAAGATTACAAAGTAAGTGGCAGAGACATGATTTAAACCCAGGAGGACTGATTCTAGAATTCACACTCTTAACCTTTATTATTCCGCTTTCTCAAATGTCAATGAGAAATCTGACCAGCCAAAACTGTCATATTTGGCATACAGAACCAACATTTATACCTTAAATAACCCCATGTAACTGTTCAGAGGATCACAGAATTTTTTCCCCCCTAGGGACAAGTTAGAACTCAGTATTCTTTTCAGTTAAAGTTATATTTCATATTAAGTGGAAAAGAATACTTGTGCGTCAACCTATACTTGTACAAATCCTTCAGATGACTGCAAGATCTCTTTTCTGTGGAAGGTATTAGACCTAGGCCCATACCTATGAAGTTGTTGAACCTTGTCTGGGAGACAAATAAAAATTTATATAACTGAATGACAACTCCTACCATCCCTCATGCATGGCAGAATTTAAAGCAGTCTTCATTTTAAACAATAAAATATTTGTGCTACTGATATTCTTTAGATAATTAAACAATTGTCTATAAGACAAGACCCATCTAGGACTTGTTTTGTTGCTTTAATATTCAGTCTGTAATTATTTCAGGCATTGACAGAAATGCTATTATTCTTTCTTAATTTTAATGAAAGAGTCTAATTTAGAGCCCCAGAATAACAGTAATTTAGTTGAAGAACCTAGTAACTTGTTTCCCTCAGACTGACCCTTAGATACACATTTCTTTCTTTCCATTTAAGTATGTAACTGTTTCACTTCATTATTTCAAATTTTCAATGTCTTAAGTCTTTGTGGAAGTATATTGGACAGAATACATTATAACAAATAATGTAATTAGAAATTCTTAAAACCAAAACTCCTAAAATAAACGTTTTGAAATAAAGTATTTCACCATACCAACTTAACCTTTAATTTAGTTATTCTAAACAGAAATAAACTTTTCTGACTTTGAGCTAAATTAATACTAACTAAAAAATGATTTTAGAATGAAAGTCTCTAGACTAGGAAAAGCCCCTTTATAAAACAAGTGTGTCTAGAACTGTTTTTAATTTCTATAAATTCTTAGATTACCCAAATATATTAGGCATTTAAAAAAGCCTCTTTTTCTTTTTTGTGTTGTATATAAGGTTTCTATTAATTTAATGCAGTTATCTTTTTCTTTTATATTAGTTTCATTAAAACTATCCACCAGTGTTTCACGAAACTTGAAATGAGAAAGGCTTGGAATTGTAAAGATTCATCTCTCTTATAAATTTCAGTCTCATTCTTTCTTAAAGAAAATTCTGTATCACATCTCAATATTTCTGTTAACAATAAAGCACTAACTGTAATAAGAAAATTCTAGTGAATTTTAAGTGGGAATGAGTTTATAAATTCTGTTTAAAGTGAGGCTAACAGGGCTTCATAGGGTTACTTAAATCAGCACTAAAAAACTTTCCTTCTTAGCCCACAATTAGGAGTATGTGGATCAGATGGTCAAATTCCAAAGACACGTACTTTTTATATGAATTTTCTTATGGCTTCCTGCTTATGGCAACTAGATTTATGACTAGAATTTTCCAAACCTTAATCTTCAGAAGTATAATCCATAACTAGAATAGCTAAATAGACAGGTTTAAATAGTTGGCAAACTATTTTAAAAGATGTTACAGAGAGAGTAAGGACTTCAAGGAAGGAAATCTAAGATATAACACAATAATTACCTGCCTTTTAAATCCTTAACTGCAATCAATATCTCTGATTATAGCTCTAGACGAGTATTTTCCTACCACCCTACTTACAGTCCTAAATCTAGAACTTCAGCTCAAGATGTACCCTCATTTTTAGTAGTTTCCACTGCAAACTCTAAAATGATTCTTTTCACTATACTTAGACTGTTAGTTCGCTTTGAAGCTGCCTGTGTCCAAGGTCCTTTTCCACTAAATGACAAAAAATCTGAATGCTATGGCTAAGAGTGAGAAAATCCAATTGATTAGATTTTCTCCAAACACCAGTTTCTCTGACTTAATTTATTCTGAGAGGCCTCCCATTAGTTCCTTTCCATGAGACATTCCAAGTGCCTATAACCAACCCTACAACAGGAAACTTAGGTGCATCTTTTAAGACTCAGACACAAACCTTACCAGAAAGTCTTCCAAAGCACTGCTTCTCAAATGTTAATTTGCATACGAATCACCTGGAAACCTTATTTAACTGCAGAGTCTGATACAGTAGGTCTGAGATGAGACCCAAGAGCCTGCATATCTAAGTACCCAGGTGATGCCGATCCTCACTCTCCATCTTAAGAGCAAACTCTGAGTGGCAGTTCTAAATAACACTTTCAGATAACATTTACATTTCAATAAATAAATGCCTCCCCTCCTTACCTCTATATTCAGACTTAATTATACCTGAATTTACTCATCTGCAAGATCAATGGTAATCTCTAAGGTTCCTTCCAGCTCAATAAATCTAAAATTTACCACCTCTATCCCTTCCTACCCCCAATTCAACAAGCAGGCAAAGTTTATTTACAGTAATACACTGAAAAGTATGAATGACCCTTTCCACTTGATGCTTTAATCCCTTTTTAAGAAGCTGCTGAACATAGAACTAAGTCCCAATCATTTATTCTTTCTGAGTAAAAGTTTGTGCTGATTTTGTTATTTTGTTCCTAGGAAGAAATATTTTAATATTCTTATTCAGAATGCCACATACCAACTCTGGAAACAGAAGGCACCAAAAAGTAGATGTGTCAGCCTTGCTACCTTCTGGATACTTTGTCAAGTGCCCAGATATTTTTCACTGAAATCCTACCTGACTTTAAAAAAATCTCCTACTTGATGCTTGAAAATAACAGCCAAATCTATCTAAAAACTCTGCCCCTAAATTATGCTTTTTTTTTTTTTGGTCTGAGATTTTAATCTCTCTCCACCCCCAGGCTCCTTAAATTTTAAACAGTTAACAATAGAAGAGTCTCTTGTTGTTCTGTAATCCTGAGATGATTATTCTGGTTTTCCTTCAATTATGACAATCACTTTATACCTGTCAAAGTCAGATATACCTGCAATAGCCAGAAGAAAAGTAGATTACATTTTATCAGTGGACATATAACAATCAAATCCTAAAAGAGACTTAGATAATCTCACATGCATGACATCTGTTCTCTACAGGAGTTAAACTGGATTCTAATGGAAATATTCTAGGGGGAATTCTAAAATTTTAGTTGTTTTGAAACTGTAAACATGTTAAGTGGTGGGTGTAATATATAATGCATAATATATTAAATTCACATATGTATGAACATCTGTGTAAGTAAATTTATTAGAAAACTATGCAGAATATTCAATATCACATCCACACCTAAAATTTTTTTAAGGTTAATATTTCTAAAGTGCTTAAGACTATATGAAGTATGCAGTGTTTTATAAGAGTTTGTTAAATAAATTAAGTACTACGTCTAACCCTGAGATTTTCTTTTCAAATCAAAAGTCTGTACTAATTATTTTATCTCCAGTTTTTGGAGTGAATGATGAAATATAGAAGGGGAAACAATCTACTTTTCTTCCGGATAATCTGAAGCCATTCCTTTTGCAATCTTTATTTGAGAACTATTTCTGTCAAAAAAATCACTCCACTATTTCACCAAACTAGAGTATGCTATAAACAAGGATCTTGCTGCTAGTTATTGCTAGAAGTGAGCCCAAAACCCAGGTGTCACAGAGACTCCCATTCTAATACGCTTTTTGTCATACTGTTTCCTCTACATGGTAAAATGTTTTCTTTTTATACAACAGCTACTTAAAAATAAATTTTATTTAAATACCAAGGTTAAGTTCCAGTCACAATACTACATAAATTTTAAAAAGATCACAAATGGAATCGACAAAAGAGCAAAGGTCATAATAATGCTAAAAAGTTAAACTGCTGCTGACTTAGAAAAAAGGCACAATTATTATGCAAAATAGAAAATGTATTTAAAAGTTACCATCCACAGAAATATTGAATTTAATGTTGTCTCCATTATCTGAAGTTAAACATTATGTTGTTAAAGTTATAAAATTTCAGATGAGTAACAAAAAAGACAAAAGATGTATCACCTGAAAAACTGTAGACTGAAAGTTGCCATTTTATAGAATAAAATGTTTGTCTTGTTTTTGTTTCTTTCAGAGGCTATGTGGCCCCTCCCACTTGTTCTATGTCCTGCCTGGTTATTTCTTGACGTTCTCTTTTCAACCGCATCCATCATGCATCTCTGTGCCATTTCAGTGGATCGTTACATAGCCATCAAAAAGCCAATCCAGGCCAATCAATATAACTCACGGGCTACAGCATTCATCAAGATTACAGTGGTGTGGTTAATTTCAATAGGTATGTAGAGAATGCCAGAGTGTGGGTGGTATACAAAATCTTTGGTTCCACTTGGCTAGGAGAATACCAGGTCTGGTAGGCAATGAAACTCAGCATGAGAGGTCAAGCCAGCCTACTGATACATTAACATAAGCTCCTTATGTCACTGCATTTATCATACGCCTTCTAAAACATACTGTTGGTAAAAAGTGTGACAAGTAACAAAACTCATGTCCTCAGAAAGAACCATCTGCACAGTGTTTATTGAGATTTCTTTCTGCTTAGATTTCTATATGCAGAAAGGTTAAGTTTGAGAACAGTCTTCATATTTCCCAACAGATAATTATGGTCTAGCTAGCATTTGGAATCCTGTAATTACATTAAAATAACAAGAAATGCACCTTAAATCACATTTTAAAAGATTAATAAGAGAAAAAACAAAAATAACAACTCAAACATTTTGTGGGCAGGTATCAAAGAACACAAATTCATCTTGGAAGCCAACATTTCTGTACATATGTGTACAGATTAAAGGCAGTTAAGTGTCTGCTTCAGTGGGTTTTTTTGGTTTGTTTTTTCTTTTTTGGAGACAGGGTCTTGCTCTGTCACCCAGGCTAGAGTGCAATGGCACAATCATGGTTCACTGCTGCCTCGACTTCCCGGGCTCAAGCGATCCTCCCACCTCAGCCTCCCAGGTAGCTGGGACTACAGACACACCCCCCATGCCTGGCTAATTTTTGTATTTTTGGTAGAGGTGGGGTTTTGTCATGTTGCCCAGGCTGGTCTCAAACTCTTGAGCTCTGGCGATCCCCCTGCCCCAGCCTCCCAAAGTGCTGGGATTACAGGCGTGAGTCACTGCACTTAAGTGTTTTGAGTATGTTTAATTCAAAGTTTTAAGAGAGATGCAAAGAAAACATACCGATGTTCAGAAATTATGTATAAAAGAAATCCTTTTTCTTCTAAATCGTCTTACGGCCCTGTACTCATCTATAATACTCAAAGCTATACTTCTTATCATGAAGTATGCGTAAATCATTCAAAACTCTTATATGTTAGTATCAGAAAAACAAATAGATTTGCAAAAATTACAATGGTTTGACCAGCAGATTCTCTTCTTCCTTGTAAAAATATTTCAAAGAGGCAAAAAATTAAGAGACCTGGAATACTTAAATTACTCCTCCCTAATCTGAGTAGGGGCACTGGGGCAAAAACAGCAAGAAAGCAAAACAATGAGATTGACCTTCATATTCCTGAAATGATGATATAAGGGCTTGATCTCTTTGAAAAAGTTTGGAGGTAAAAGCAAGCTGTGTTACTCCTCTGGTATGGGAAGAAAACAGGGTCAAGAAAAAGTCTATTCAGAATGAAGAGATTTAAAAACAGTGAGAAAAGGCTAGATGAGGGGGCAGATGCCGACAGAGCAGAACCAGCCCCCCAAAAGCAGCTACAGAAAGGGAATGGGAGACAATGGGTGAAAATTAAAATTTGAAGTGCAGAGGAGGAAAACTATAATAAAGTCATTTATGCCAGATGACTCACATTTGGTAAGCTCACTGCAATGAGGGAGAGGGCAAGGGAGAGTGTGAGGTATGTGTATATTGGGGTGGGGTGGGAGAGTTGGACAGAGAAAGGGAAAAAAAGTTGAAGAAATGGATCCTTAAGAATAATTAAAATATTTGAAACTGTGAAATGTGATCAAGCTAATAAGGTAAGCAGCCTGCTGGTATAAATGGCATCTAGATTAAGGCTGGATACCATCAATTTATAAATTGACCACATTTTTATTGAGTGTTTATAATGTGCTAGGTACTAAGAATACACAGATGATCAAGAAAAAGAATCTTTGCATTCAAGAAAGGCGGACATATAAACAAATTACACTAACACAAAGTGATGAGTGATGCAGGAGAAAAAAGATTAAAAGGAAGACTCATGATATATAGATTTAGAAATCCACTTCTTCCTTTTGTAGGTAAGAAAAAAGAAACCTAGAGGTTTTAATCAGTTGGCTTAAGAACTCTTACAGCTTTTCAGCACCAAGGCCAAAATCAACGCTCTTTCACTTCATTGCACTTTGTCTTGTAGAACCGATCACAAATTAATAACTTTGAAAAAATGAAAATGCAGATGACAATAAGCTCAGTTCTGAAATTCTACAAAATGCTGAAGAGAGCTCACTCTCTTCTTTTGGATTTACAGTTATTCTAGGTAATACCTGGCAACAGAAAGTATAATAATATAACAGGGTAAGGGCATAAAAAGTACCAGTGAAAACTTTTACAGTTATTGACCAACAAGCTGGATAGGAAAGTAGTGTGAGTCCTGATATTAACAGAATGTAAAAACTGAGATGAATGAAGTCTCATTAATAGAATGAGTTAATAGAATGTGAAAACTGAGATGAATGAATGAACTAGAGATAAAAATAACAGGAAACAGAAGTTCTCTAGGAGTGAGGGGTAGCAGGACAAGGAAGGGAAGTATTAGAGTTCATAATCTTAGGGATTGTTCTAAGTAGACTTGTAGATGGCTTTAGTGCAAATAATAATAATTAGAGTCAAAGAGTTCAAGAAATATAAAATTAAGGTCTTAGAAGGGTCACGAATGGGATGAAGTAGAAAATGCTGGCACTGGAACAGTGGAGAGAAGACTATAGCAGGTACTGAAGCCATTGATGAAGATGAACAAATGTCATGGAGGTTAACAGAAAAGCAAGATGGAGAAGAAAGTATTAAGTAGATAAAATAAACTTCAAAAGGCAAGTGTTTTGGGGGAGAAATAAACAGTGGAATGGTGATCTGAAAGTAACAGGGTAAAGCAGGGGTCAGCAAACTTTTTCTATAAAGGGTAAGACAGCAAATATTTTGGGCTTGCAGGGCGTATATGGTTTCTGTCACAGCTCCTCCATTCTGCTGCAGTAGAACAAAAGCAGCCACAGACAATATGTTACTAACAAATGGGAGTGGCAGTATGCCAATAAAACTTTTACAAAAATAGAATGTGGGCCAATGGTCCTCAAACTGTAGTATAATGACCCCTGGTGTAGAACAAGTATACAGAATCCTCTTTCTGGTGGTGTACATGAGGAAAAGTAGAGAAAGTAATGACCTCTGTTAGAAAGGGTTTGAGGAACATATTCTTGTCAATGGCTCTTTAGCTACCATAAAAAGGGTGTGTAGATGAGGGGTGCTCTTGGATTCACAAAACAACACAAGGATTCCAGAGGTTTCTAAAGATCAATTAATTCAGACATTTAAAAAATATCTGCTGTTTCAAAGGAAAAAGATTCAGGTTAACCCCTGTATTATTTGTCTTTCTAATAAGCTACTTCACTAAGAAACATCATATTTAAATACTTCATGGTATTTAAAGATCAGAAAACTAACATGAGGTATATTTCTTTCCCAGGTCATAAAAGAACTTTTTTTTTGAGACAGAGTCTTACTTTGTCGCTGAGCGTGGAGGGCAGTGGTGTGATCTCGGCTCACTGCAACCTCGGCCTCCTGGGTTCAAGTGATTCTCCCACCTTAGCCTCCTGAGTAGCTGGGAGTACAGGCGCGTGCCACCATGCCTGGCTAATTTTCATATTTTTAGTAGAGATGGGGTTTCGCCATGTTGGCCAGGCTTGTCTCAAACTCCTGACCTCAAGTAATCCACCCCCACTTGGCCTCCCAAAGTGCTGGAATTACAGGCATGAGCGCCACTGTGCCCAGGCTTCTACAGAAGAAGAAAGATTAAGAACTCATAATCTTTCAACATCATGATTCACACACACTCAAATTTTAAGTAGCACTTTTTAATGAACTTTAGTTTTCCCTAAGAAGTTAGATGGAAAGGATTAAAAGACATTCACACATATCAAAAGGAAAAACTGTTAAATGAAACTGTAACCTCAAAGACAAAACTGAGTAAAGATATTGAATAAATGTACTCTGAAGTGCCTCTAGATCAACTACACTGGATAATAAGAAAAAAGCAGGTTCTCTTCTGAATTTCTCTTCCTTAATCTGAGATAGCTTAAAAAACAAAAATAGATTATGAGAAATGTAGAATAAATGAAGACATTCTCCACTGTATCATGGATATACTATAGCTTTAGGGGAGCTTTCATTATAAATCTGAAATTACTAACCAATCTCCGTTTAAAAACAGATTTGCTCACTTAGGTTCTGTTTGTCAAATCTTCACTGATGAATGCTTCGACAAATCCTGCATTGTGGGTCCCAGGAATTATAATGCACCAACAAGCATAAAGTTATAAGGATACAATCCAAAAGGATCTAATCGAAGAGTTACAGGTCATAAAATGACTCAATTTATCTTGTTTTCCTCTTCCTTAGGCATTGCCATTCCAGTCCCTATTAAAGGGATAGAGACTGATGTGGACAACCCAAACAATATCACTTGTGTGCTGACAAAGGAACGTTTTGGCGATTTCATGCTCTTTGGCTCACTGGCTGCCTTCTTCACACCTCTTGCAATTATGATTGTCACCTACTTTCTCACTATCCATGCTTTACAGAAGAAGGCTTACTTAGTCAAAAACAAGCCACCTCAACGCCTAACATGGTTGACTGTGTCTACAGTTTTCCAAAGGGATGAAACACCTTGCTCGTCACCGGAAAAGGTGGCAATGCTGGATGGTTCTCGAAAGGACAAGGCTCTGCCCAACTCAGGTGATGAAACACTTATGCGAAGAACATCCACAATTGGGAAAAAGTCAGTGCAGACCATTTCCAACGAACAGAGAGCCTCAAAGGTCCTAGGGATTGTGTTTTTCCTCTTTTTGCTTATGTGGTGTCCCTTCTTTATTACAAATATAACTTTAGTTTTATGTGATTCCTGTAACCAAACTACTCTCCAAATGCTCCTGGAGATATTTGTGTGGATAGGCTATGTTTCCTCAGGAGTGAATCCTTTGGTCTACACCCTCTTCAATAAGACATTTCGGGATGCATTTGGCCGATATATCACCTGCAATTACCGGGCCACAAAGTCAGTAAAAACTCTCAGAAAACGCTCCAGTAAGATCTACTTCCGGAATCCAATGGCAGAGAACTCTAAGTTTTTCAAGAAACATGGAATTCGAAATGGGATTAACCCTGCCATGTACCAGAGTCCAATGAGGCTCCGAAGTTCAACCATTCAGTCTTCATCAATCATTCTACTAGATACGCTTCTCCTCACTGAAAATGAAGGTGACAAAACTGAAGAGCAAGTTAGTTATGTATAGCAGAACTGGCAGTTGTCATCAAACATAATGATGAGTAAGATGATGAATGAGATGTAAATGTGCCAAGAATATATTATATAAAGAATTTTATGTCATATATCAAATCATCTCTTTAACCTAAGATGTAAGTATTAAGAATATCTAATTTTCCTAATTTGGACAAGATTATTCCATGAGGAAAATAATTTTATATAGCTACAAATGAAAACAATCCAGCACTCTGGTTAAATTTTAAGGTATTCGAATGAAATAAAGTCAAATCAATAAATTTCAGGCTTTAAAAAGAACCACTGTCATCATAAAATTTATTTGGTTTCTAATTATATGCAAAGTTGTGCTAAGAATGAAATAAAACAAAACAAACATTAGCCTTGCCTTCCAGGTCTTAAAAGCATAAGGCATGATACAGAACAAAAGGAACACAGAGCTAAAAATAAGTGCACAAAACAGTGATCACATCTGGAGGTGAGTTAAGATTGCCATTTATAGTCTGATTTAGTTGAATGCAGTCATAATTTTCCTCTGATCAGGAAACTGTTTTGATGGAAGGGATAGGGAGGATAGTAGCTGGATATCACACAAAATAACAAGAACTTGGAACTAGACCTGTTTGTTAAATGACTGATATTGAGCTTCTACTCAGCACAGGTAGGTCTATTGGAGAAGGAGGAAAAAGCAAATAAAATCGCTCTTGGGTACCTGAACCACATTAGGTTTCTTAGAGATATTAATTAACGTGCACAAGCATGGGATCTTAATCAGGGATACAAACTTTAAGTGAGATCATGCCTGCCTATGTATGCTTGTCCAGTGACTCAAGTGAACTTCCAGCACAAAATTTTTTATTCATCCTTTCAGTATATTATTTTGCACTGTTAGATCTCAGAATGAGTCCAACCTGTGCCACTTACCAGACAGCTGATTAAATTTAGGAAAAATACTTAATTTCTTCAAGCCCCAGTATTCTCATCTGCATTTTATACAATTCTTATGAGGATGAGTACATAGAAGGCACTAAGTAAATGGTAGACAATTCAATCTACTTTTGATATATATTTTAATGCTCCTGTTATAAGTGCAAATTTAGACTAAGGGGGTCTGCAGTGAAGATAACTCATACCTTAGCTTTTCCTTTTCAGGTTCACCCATATTTGTCCCTCGACCTATGACTCTATTGCTGTCCTTCTGCAGGCAACTCAGTTTAGGATAATTGCCTTAAGAAATGTATTGGCTACGGAGAATCTCAGTGTATAAGTGAACAAGGCATATATTTTCACAGTGGCAGAATCCTTTGCTAGAATGCGGCTCTAATACATAAATCCTGATCTGTTATGATTCCTTACTGGCTATATATAATCTGCTGGGAAGAGTATATCATACACATTTAATTCCTAAATCATCAAAGCTTTAGGTATGTTTCCCTACTACTAGTCTAAGATTTTTCAGCAGCATTAGGGATGGTTATCTCACATAAGAGGCAAAATAATTTACATTCCTTAAAAAAAAATCATTCTCTATTTTGGTTTTTGGTTCTGGTCTCTAATATGATGGATTTGGCATATGTTAAGATTTATATTCTTGCCAAGGTATGTTGAGATTAAGTTTTCAGTTATCACTATGACAGTATTCCAAATTCTGTATTTTATGCATCTGAAGGCATACATAATTGTTTCAGGAAATCTATACACCAGAGTTGGCAGGCAATCACATTGCCAAAACTCTACCCATAGATAACAATCTAGATCAAAAGAACTATCTTCTCACATGCTTTGTACTGCCTCCAAATTTGTGTGCTTAAATATACGCACACCTACAGAATTAGCCACAACACCTATAAACTGTTTCATGTCAAACCCTTAAGAAAAATTTCCTTGCTTACAATTTTTTTTTTCTTTTTTTGAGACAGATTCTCACTCTGTTACCCAGGCTGGAGTGCAGTGGCGCAATCTTGGCTCACTGCAACCTCCGCCTCCTGACTTCAAGTGATTCTCATGCCTCAGCCTCCTGAGTAGCTGGCATTACAGGTGCCCGCCCCCACACCTGGCTAACTTTTGTATTTTCAGTACAGATGGGGTTTCGCTGTGTTGGTCAGCCTGGTCTCCACTCCTGGCCCCAAGCTATCTGCCTGCCTTGGCCTCCCAAAGTGCTGGGATTACAGGTGTGAGTCACCATGTCTAGCTCTTGCTTACAATTAACCCAGAGATCTTTCTATAGTTAATGAGAGACCTTTCTACTATTTCCAGAATATTCTAGAAAGTGAAACATAACTCCACTATTGACTATTTCTGAAAAGTACAACCAAGCCACAAACTCTTACCACTTCGATGCAGAACTGGTATTTCCATTTTATGAATACTTTAAAGAGATGTATAATTTGAAAGCAAATCTCAGCAGTTAAACACCCTTACGTAACAAAAGAACTCCAGTTAATAGTCTTATCTTAGAAGAAAAGGAACAGATTATAACTATTTAGAATAATTTTGAAAAAAAAAAAAAAACCTTTTTATTCCATGTTACTGCCAATTAATGGAGAGAAGAAAACAAAGATGTAGAAAAAAAAAATGAAAATGACAAAAAGTAAGGAAAAGTCAAGCACCCAGACAGAAACACAAAGATACTGGGGCAAAAACAGAGAACAGTATACAGAGAATATGTATCAAATTGATATAGAATTGTGAATGGAGATGTAAAGATGATCATGAAGTTAGTGTTAGTGTTAGTGGTAACTGGTTCACTATGAGGGTTTCTTCAAATTATGAGGATCAATGATGATGTAACATTTTTATATTCAAGGAATCACTTTGTGTGGTCTAAAAAACAGTTGCACAAAGAATCTGTTGTTCATCTTGCAAGATCCGTATCTAAAAGCTTATGAATTTATACACTGAGAAACATTTAATGCCATATTATAACAGCCTAAGTCATAGCACCCTGCAAGGGACCACCAAGACTGTCTGATTTTAAGAAATGTCCATATCAGATTATCAATTTGTTCATTATAGAAACTTAATATCAACAGATATACAAAGACCAATTCTTTTGACTTTCTTCATTTTCCTTTCCAGTGTCAAGTTAAAATAATTCAGATTCTACTCACTTCCAAATGAGTTTTCAGAAGTCAATGACATGAACAGTACTGCATAAGTTGTTATAATAATAAAATCTGCCTTTGAAAGTACTAACAATGGGCCCAACAATCACTTATTTATTAGATGTTCCACTAGAGAACATTTATTTAGATAAAAATTAATGTACTATGTTCATTTCAATTAAGCAAGAATAGTTATCAAATTAATTTTTTACTTTTATTTACAAGCATTATGAACAAATAACAATCTACAAATATCAGAAGGAAGAAATAAAATACTGTAACACCCTGGACTATCCTAAGAATAAAGGAGATAATATACATAAGAATTTTACACAAAGACAATTTTATCTTAGTTGTTGAACTACAAATATGTGTTTACTAACATGTTTTTAGTATTCATATCCAATAAGTATACTTGAAAAGAAGTTTTTAAAAATTATGAAGAAATAAACTCTTAAAACATGGTATAAGACCAAATGTCCACAAATTCATTTTAAAAGGGAAATCTAAAGGGGGGAAAAAAGATGGAGAGCATGCTACGACAGTAAATGATGTCACTTCAGAAAACATGTACCAGTCTTAGGATATAGGACAGACACTTCTCAAATATTAAAGTTAATAAGGAAAATTAAGAATAAAGCTGTTTTATCACAGCCACTCAAAAAGATGGTGCTCTGACTGAAAGCAAGGTGGAGAAAGCACTGGTCTATCATGAAGCCTGTTTAGAATCTCAGTATTTAGCTTTATGACAGTGGGGAAATTTATTAAACATTTTGGAATTCAATTTCCTTATCTTTAAAAAAAATGTGAATACTGGTTTCTTCTACTTTAAAAAATTCTCACTCTAGGGAAATGGCAGTAAACTAAAACTTAGAGAACATAGAGAGGATTTTTAACTCCAGCTCTTTAAACAGGTCAATTATATTTAATTTTCATTTATAAAATAAATTTTAGACAAAATTTTTCCAGTTCCCACTTCTTAAAGATTCGTTTTATGAAAAGAGAACCAAGAATGGTCCCTTAGAAGTAGCAAGCACATAAATAACTTATTTGACTATACTATGTAGTGGAAAACTCAGCAAAACCTAAGCAGCTCACGGGAGACATCTGCTGCTGAAACTGGGAACTTAACCTGTGTTAGCTACAGGAAATAAAAGGGCAGACATGAATTTTGTTAACTAGAGAGCAAAGCACCATCAGATTAAAAATGGAAGAAAAACAGTTTTAAATGACCGTCAACTTCCTATGTGGCAGAATATAAACACCAAGCCACTGATTTATATTGTTATAAAATATAAAGTCACTGACAATACAAAACATTAACTGACAGGAAACAAAACAACTTAAGAGTCAAACATGAGTAGGATGCTTTACACAACCCAAGAGATACTAAGGGTATACCTGGAAGAATATACTTTCCATACTAAAATTATCTAGTTCTCTGATAATTCACACAAAGAACCCACTCTGGATGGCCATGACAGACCATTTTCTCATTTTTTAATTGTGTCTAATCTCTACAGCAAGAATAGGGAAAGGTTAGGGTCACAGCTTGGCTACATGATATGCTAAGATAACAGGAAGGAAATAGAAGTAATTAAATTTTATTTTGCTTCCATCTTTTCTCTCAAGGAGAATAATTTTTAGACAGAAAGACTGATCAAACACAAAACAGATAAAGAGTCTAGTTGCCTTAGATGAGTTCCAGTCACAAAGCTAAATGAATCACCTCCTAGAAATAGAACAAATTTGTGTATGTAATTATGAAACCAAATTTTGGAAGAAAAACAGAAAACTGCAAAGTACAAAAAGAATGTAAATGATGAAGTATTCCAATATTTTAAAAGAGAAAAGAAGAGATAGGGTTCAAGAAGTTCAAAGTGTGGAGTCTGTGGCAGATCTTTTGACAAAATGCAGAATAGCTTAATACACATAGGTTTTGCCAGATCTCAGAAGAGGCCTCGAAGAACACTGGACACTTCTATGAAAAGTGTAACTTAAGAAACAATCAGGCCCAATAAGTCACATAACCCGTTTAGAGGTGCCAGACTAGTAGACTTGGGTAAATATTATGTCATAAGGATTTTGTGAAAATTGTCTAGAGTCTTTATGAAAAAGTTGGCAAAATGAGAGTTAGAGGATAACACAGTGAAGACCAGTATTTGATTAACAATCATATTCAAGAAAACTGGTGTAAGAAGAAATACCATGCTATATGGGTCTGTGTTTTGTTCTGTTTTATTCAACATTTCCATCCACGATAGGAAAAAAATATTTTACAGTTTGTAGATGGATGACTTCCTATCTGGGATATTATGGAGAAGACTCTGTACCTAGTTCATAATGGATGTTCAAGAAATTATGTGTTGGATTTGCATACAATTTTTATAACAAAGATTCACTCCCAGGGAACCTGGGGTAGAAAATCTCTTCTAAAGTTTAAAAGGACATAAGACGTATGACTCATCTAACATGCACTTTAGCAACTTACTGTGTAATTTCATAACAAATAAGCTATAACAAATATAATAAATAAGCTATAACAAATATAACAAATATAACAAATAAGCTATAACAGGCAGTATCCATATAACAGTGAGCCTTGAACAATATGGGCTTGAACTGTGTGGGCCCACTAATATGCAATTTTTTTTTCACTAAAAATTACACTGAGTGTACCTACTTCTTCTGCCTCCCCTTCTACCTCCTCCACCTCTTCCACCACTGAGACAGCAAGACCAACCTCTCCTCTTCCTCCTCCACCAACCCAATGTGAGGACAATGGGGTAAAGACCTTTCTGATGATCCGCTTGCACTTCATAGTGAAGACGAGTGTTTTCTCTTCCTTATGATTTTCTTAATAACATTTTCTTTTCTCTAGCTTACCTTACTGTAAGAATATAGTATATAATACATATAACATAAAAATTATATGTTAATTGACTATGTATGTTATCCATAAGGCTTCTGATCAATAATAGGCTATGAGTAGCTAAGTTTTGGGGGAGTCAAAAGTTATACGTGAATTTTCGACAGTGTAAGAGTTGTGGGGTCAGTGATGCTAACTCCCGTATTGTTCAAGGGTCAACTGTATTTTAACTTTATTCTTTAATAAAATACCTCAAGGTATTGTGGGTTTGGTTCTAGACTACTACAATAAAGAGAGTATAGCAGTAAAGTGAGTCACACGAACTTTTTGGTTTCCCAGGGCATATAAAAGTTATGTTTACACTATACTATAGCCTATTAAGTGTGCAACATCATTATGTCCAAAAAAATGTATATACCTCAGTTAAAAAACATAGCCAGACCCAATGGGTGGCTCATGCCTGTAATCCCAGCACTTTGGGAGGTGGAAACAGGAGGATCTCCTAAGGCCAGAGGTCAAGATGAGCCTGGGCAACACAGTGAGACACTGTCTTTGCAAAACAAACAAACCAAAATTAGCCAGGCATGGTGGTGAGTGCCTGTAGTCTCTGCTATTCTACAGTTTTGCCTCAACCCAAGCTCCATAAGCTCAGGTTTGCCTCTGAGCAATGATCACACCACTGCACTCCAGCCTGGGCAGCAGAGGAAGACCCTCTGTATTTAAAAAACAAACAACCCAACAACCTTTATAGCTAAAAAGTGCCACCGACCATCTGAGCCCTCAGTGCATATTCATCTTTATGCTGGTAGAATGTCTTCTCCTGATGTTGGTGGCTTCTGACTGATCAGGGTGGTGGTTGCTGAAAGCTGGGGTGGGTGTGGCAATTTCTTTAAACAAGACAATGAAGTCTGCCACATTAGCTTTTCCTTTCACAAAAGATTTCTCTGTAGCATAAGATGCTGTTTGATGCTATTCTACCCACAACAGAATTTCTTTCAAAAGTGTAGTCAATCCTCTCTTAACTCTGCTGCTACTCTATCAACTAACTTTACTAAATATTCCCAATTCTTTGTTGTAATTTCAACTATGTTTCTTTTCATTAATTTTTTTCTACAGCCTAATCTTGGAAGTGATTGTAGGAGACCGGTCAGGGTGGTGGGAAAAGTTATAAAAATTATAGGGAAAGATGCAAACCTTTCTGGAAGGCCGGGAGGTTTTGCAAAAGCTTCAAAAGAGGATTTAGCTAAAGGCAGTTAAATTCTCTTAAGAGCAAGGGTTAGATAACAAGGGAATGTAAAGGAACTTATCTAGATAAATTTGTTTATTCCTGTCTCCAGACACTAACCTTTGATCACTCGTGTGCAGGACTGCTCTCTACTTGGGGGTGAACAATGTTAATTACCCACAAATTGTGTTTGCTCCAAGCCTTTCTCATTAAATCTGTGCTAAACAAATGCAAGCATCTCTGGTTTATCGGGGTGGCTAACTCTCTTCAGCCCCTAGTGCCGGCAACCCCCTAGCCTGCTCTTTCACTGGATATCCATGTCTGAGAACTTCTTTCATCCATTGCTTGGCCAGAATCTGCAGGACAGACTCGGCAGGTGGTGCCCCCGCGTGAGGAACGCTGCAACAGATTGCGAGGGAACCCTCGAAAATGAAGGTGAAGAAACTGCGCAGTCAGTAAGTCATTGGTGCCCACTGTGGATTTCCAAGTTCGAGGGGATTGTTCAGGCTAGGGTTTCATCATGGGACAACAGTTATCAGCTCAATGGCAACAGTATATAAAAGTATTGAAACAGCTGCTTAAAGCTAGCGGAGCCTTGGTTTTGCAGGCTCAATTAAGGGACCTAATGCAAACTGTTGTGTTAGATATGAGTTCTAAATTTCTTTCCAAATAATTAATATGTCAGTATGTTCAATTCTTTGCCTTCTACTTTTAAACTTAACTTCCTCATAAAGGAACCTTTTTTGATTACCTACTCCACCCTAACTCATTCCAATTACCTGCTCCATGCTGACTCATTCCAATGACCTGCTCCACCCTAACTCATTCTGATCACCTGGTCCACCCTAACTCATTCCAATTACCTGCTACCTGCTCTGCCCTGACTCCTGCCAAAGCACTCACCCCATCATTCTCTTTAAATTAGCCAATCAGAATTAGTTTAGCCTGTGCGTCTAACCCTTGCCAACAGGGGAATGACACAGCAGCAGGGGCCATGTGCGTCAGGGATAAGAACCCCTTCCCCTCCCTTGTCCAAGTGTGTGTTCACCATTGCACCATCTTTAAGGGCACACTCTTCTATAGAAGTAACTTGCCTTGCTGAGAATTAAAAAAAAATTTTATATTTGAGTGGTATTCCTTTTGTAGCATCGAAACTTTATATGTAACAATTTGGGGGCTCGCCCATGATTGCATTCCCCTCCCGGGATGGTCTCTGGTTCTCTCTCGTGAGGAGGCTTGCCCTGCCCCCTTGTGGTGGCCTCAGGGGTGAGAAATCAAGACCCACCCAGTGCGAGGAATAACCCGAGCTCTCAGCAACGCAGAAAAAAATAAAAAATAAAAAACTGGCCAGCAACCTAGCTTAAAGGATCTTCACATACTGCAGCGATGACTCTGTGCACAGACCAAGGAAGGAGAAGCCGTGGGAGCCGGTAAAGTATTTCCTTGGTGGTCAGGACCAAGGTAAGAAAGCCGCAAGGGGGAGGGGGGCAGTGAACTACTCCTTGGTCGGGGTGGCTTAGAGGTTAAAAAGAGGCGAGCCATCCCCATTTCGGGGGATTGAACCTCACACAAACCTCCAGTAGCAGAAAAGGCAGAGATTTCCAGTGGGGAAACTGAGCCTCACACCCCAAAAGGCAAGACATTTCCAGTGGGGAAATTGAGCCTCACCCCAAAAGGTGAGAAATTTCCAGTAAGGGAAATTGAACCTTGAACCTTACCCCAAAACCATCAAGATGGGAAATACCCCAAGCAAGACAGGGAGCAAGGGAGATAAAGATGGTAACAAAGACATCCCCCTGGATATCTCCCTAGGTCTCATGCTAAAACACTGGAAGGATAACGAAAGGACTAAACTTAGGAAAAAGCAACAAATGATAACAATATTGCTGTTTTATTTGGACTCAGGGACCCACCTTCAAACCCTCAATCTTCTGACCAAACTTTGGGTCGAATGAGGATGTAACGTGTCAGCTTCTAATCCGATATGTTAATGGTAAAAGTCCAGTGTCTCAGGAAGAACTAGGCTATGCCCTTTATTGGAGGCAAAGACCTGCCCTCCTTTTTCCTTTAAAAACAAATAGGGAAGAACCCAATCTGGTACCTCAAAATGAAAAGTCAGAGGAGCCAGCTCTCATGCCTAAAAATTCCAGCGCATGGGATCCCTTAGACTATCTAACCCCGTTCAGTGTCCCCAATCTTTCCGCTCAGACAGCCACTGCTGCCTCAGATCCCATTCCAAATTCCCTCTCTACTCAACGTTATCCTTCCTCGTTATAACCCTGACTCTTAGGAATTACCATCCCATCAGCCTGTTCCCTCCCAACCTAAATACCCCTCTCTAAAAGGACTCCAGTGTGAAGTAGAACAATGTAAAAAAGATATTCAGAATTTCCCATTTCCCTCTGTACCTAAGAGATCAGCCCCGACTTTCTTTCCTTTGAAAGAGGTACCACAAGGAAGGGGGGGCCATTGGCTTTGTAAATGCTCCCCTAACCAGTTCAGAAATCCAGAATTTTAAAAAGGTGCTTAAACTGCTACTGGATGACCTTTACGGAATGGCAGACCAAATTGACCAATTCTTAGGACCTCAGTTGTATACTTGGGTCGAGTTAATGTCCATCTTGGGCATCCTCTTTTCAGAGGAAGAAAGAGAAGCTCTACTCCCGCTGGTCCCTCCCCTAGAGGAAGTGGAAGGAGAGGGGAGAACAGCAGCATAAGTGGCTGGCAGAGGCAGGGAAAGAACAGCAGAGAGGGGAGAGAGAGAGAGAGAGAGAGAAGAGAAAGGGGAAAGAGAGGCAGAGAGAGAAAGAGAAGAAGAGACAGAAAAAGAGGGAGTCAGAGAGATAGAGACAGAGAGAGAGAGAAAGAGACAGAGAGAGAGAGAAAGAGACAGAGAGACAAAGAGGGAGTCAGAGACAGAGAAAGAGAGAGAACAGAAACTCAAAGAGAGAGAGAGATAGAAGTAGTAAAGAGAAAACAGTGTACCCTATTCCTTTAAAAGCCAGGATAAATTAAAAACCTATAATTGATAATTGAAGGTCTTCTCCGTGACCCTATAACACTCCAATACCACCTTGTTGTCAGTGTAAACAAGGGTGTAGCCAGAAAGCACTGAAGCCACTTACAACCTGTAGCTTTCCTATCAAAAATCCTTAACCCAGTAACCCGTGGATGGCCCAAATGCATTTAATCTGTAGTGGCAACTGCTTTGCTAGCAGAAGAAAGCAGTCCGGCACCCTGCGGGTCAGCCCCCGAGGGCCATCCAGCTTCCGTCTCCCAACACTAAGTTCAATTCATGTCTCTCACGACAGGGAGGAAACTTAGCATTCCTTGGAGACCTGAAGGGATGCAGTGAGCTTAAGAATTTTCAACAGGTTATCAATCAGTCAGCCCTTGTTCATCCCCAAGCAGATGTGTGGTGGTATTGTGGTGGACCTTTGCTGGACACTCTGCCAAATAACTGGAGTGCACTTGTGCTTTAGTCCAATTGGCTATCCCTTTCACCCTGGCATTTCATCAACCAGAGGAAGGAAAAATAAGACACTGTAAAGCAAGAGAAGCCCCCTATGGGTCTTTCGACTCTCACGTCTATTTAGACACAATTAGAGTCCCACAGGGAATACTAGATCAATTTAAAACCCAAAATCAAATAGCTGCAGGATTTGAGTCAATATTTTGGTGGGTGACAATAAAAATGTAGACTGTATAAACTACATCTATTACAACCAGCAGCGATTTATTAACTACACTAGAGATGCTGTTAAAGGAATAGCTGAACAATTAGGGGCTACTAGTCAGATGGCTTGGGAAAATAAGATAGCCTTAGGCTATCTTATTTATTAGCAGAAAGAGCAGGAGTTTGTGTCATGATTAAAACTCAATGTTGCACCTTTATCCCAAACAACACTGTTCCTAATGGAAGTATAACAAAGGCACTGCAAGGTCTGACTGCTCTATCCAATGAGTTAGCCAGCAACTCAAGGGTAAATGACCCCTTTACAGGATGGCTAGAAAAGTAGTTCAGTAAATGGAAAGGAATAATAGCCTCAATTCTTATTTCCCTCACTGCCGTAATAGGTAATTATTCTTGTTGGGTGCTGTGTCATACCATGCATCTGTAAGTTGATGCAGAGGCTCATAAAAACAGCACTTACTAAAACCTCCACCAACTATCCTCCATCTTATCCAGAGAAGCTTCTTCTTTTGGAAAATCAAGCAAAACAACTAAGCCAAGACTTGTAAAAAAGTTTGAAAAGAAAGCTGTAAGGAAATACAAGGGGAGGGATTGTTAGATATGAGTTCTAAATTTGTTTTCAAAGAATATGTCAGTATGTTCAATTCTTTGCCTTCTACTTTTAAACTTAACTTCCTCATAAAGCAACCTTTTTCGATTTCCTACTCCACCCTGACTCATTCCGATCATCTGCTCCACCCTAACTCATTCCAATTACCTGCTACCTGCTCTGCCCTGACTCCCGCCAAAGCGCTCACCCCGTCATTCTCTTTAAGTTAGCCAATCAGAATTAGTTTAGCCTGTGCGGTCTAACCCTAGCCAATAGGGAAATGACACAGCAGCAGGGGCCACGTGCATCAGGGATAAGAACGCTTTCCCCTCCCTTGTCCAAGTGTGCGCTCACCACTGCTCCATCTGTAAGGGCGCACCCTTCTATAGAAGTAACTTGCCTTGCTGAGAATTAAAAAGAAAATTTTATATTCAAGTGCTATTTCTTTTGTGGCACCGAAACTTTATATGTAACAGTTGTTTCCCATAACCCGTGGTTCCCCGAAGAAGGTACATTAGACATAGAGCTCTGGAAACCAGTTGGGAGAAATCTTAAACAACATCATGCAGAAGGGCAATGGGTCCCAGTAACATCTCTAATGTTATGGGCCTTAGTCAGGGCTGCTTTGGTCCTGCTATACACAGAAGTGCCTAAAAAGGGTAGGGAAGAGGAACCATCACCTACCTTACCGACTCCATCTCCCTCAGCCCCGCCATTAACAGAAAAAAATAACAAAAAGGAAATGGAGGTTTTGCCTGAGTCCCCTCCTCCAATAAATTGGAAAAAAGACAAGGGATATCCTACAGCTATGGGATTCTGTCTTAGGCAAGCAGCATTAGAAGGGGAGCTCTTAGCCTGCCTGGTAATGCAAGATCAACAAGGCAATCAGGTACATGAACCCATTTATTTTAAAGCTTATAAAGAGATAAGAAAAAGCATTAGAAAGAACGGAGCCGCTAGCCCATTTACAAGAGGTTTGAGGTCACTCTGCAGACCTCTTTCTAATAATGGCCACTGTTATTATTCCTCCCCTACCCTTAACATGGCTCTCTCAAGATCCAACTTGGGTAGAACAGTGGCCTTTAAAGGGAAAGAAATTACAAAGAGCCCATGAATTAGTTGAGGAGCAATTAAAAGCTGGCCATATAGAATTGTCAAACAGCCCTCGGAATTCACCCATTTTCGTCATTCCCAAAAGGTCTGGCAAATGGAGACTTCTGCATGACTTACAGGCTATTAATGCTAATTTGCAACCCATGGGGCCTCAACAGGGCCTCCCTTCCCCCGCAGCGATTCCTCAAGATTGGCCTTTAGCCGTTATTGACTTAAAAGACCGCTTTTATACTATTCCCCTTGCAGAACAGGACAGAGAAAAATTTGCATTTACCATACCAGCTATCAATAATGAAAGGTCAGCTAGCTGATTTCATTGGAAAGTGTTTCCTCAAGGGATGCTAAATAGTCCTACCATGTGTCAGTATCATGTCAATCAAGCTTTGCTCCCCAGTAGAAAAGAAGTTCCTACTTGCAAGATTATTCATTTTATGGATGATATTTACTAGCAGCCCCAACAAAGGCATTTAAGTTTATATGCCTCTGTCATAAAGAATACACAGCTAAGAGGTTTAAACATAGCACCTAAAAATGTGCAAATGTCCTCTCCTTGGAAATATCTTGGATACATGCTAATTTCCTGGTCAATAAGACTTCAAAAGGTTAAATTAAATACTAGCAACTTATACACCTTAAATGATTATCAAAAATTATTGGGCAATATTAATTGGCTTCGTCCCACCTTGGGCATGACTACTGATAAGCTGCAAAACCTGTTTTCCATCCTAAAGGGCAATACAGCCCCAGACTCTCCCAGGTATTTAACTCCTGCAGCAAAAAGGGGAATTGAGGAAATAGAGCAAGCTATTTCTCAGAGGCAACTAAATCGCATAGACCCAAATTATTCAGTTCAATTGTTTGTTTTTCCTACTAAACACTCCCGACAGGGTTAATAGGACAAATGGCCCCAGGGCTACGCTTCCTGGAATGGATTTTTTGCTCACATACCTGGACTAAAACACTATCTCCCTATATCCAGCTAGTTAATAAAGTCAACTATACAAGCTGCAGACAATGCAATCAGTCACTAGGTTATGACCCTGATGTCATAGAATTCCTTCAAGTAAAAAGCAATTCAAAGCAGTATTGCCCTTATCTCTAGACCTGCAAATAGCACTTTCTGATTATACAGGCCATATAGAGCATGCCCTTCCTGCTGACAAACTTAATTCAGTTCTTATCTCATACTTCTGTAGTTGTGCCTATAAAAGTAGTTCACTCCCCCATACCCAACGCTTTAATGCTTTTTACTGACGGTTCTGGTAAAAATGGAAAAGTGGCAATTTGGTAGAAACCACATAATTCCCTTACTCATTCTGGATTTACTAGCACTCAGACAGCTAAGGCTGGAGCCTTAATACTGGCACTGGAAACTTTTTCTGCTCAGCCCATCAATATTGTTAGTGACCCTGCTTACTCTGTTTATTTATTGCAGAACCTTGAAACAGCCCTCAAGTCCATTCTCGAGCCCACCCTGTGTGCACTTTTTCTTTGACTTCAGCAATTGCTGGATCAACGTACACATCCTATTTCTAATCACACATATTGGAGCCCACAGCTCACTGCCTGGCCCATTGGCTTATGGCAATGAACAAGCAGATATGCAAGTTATGACGTCACTGCTTGACCAAGCCACCCAATTGCATCAATTTTTCCACCAAAATTGGAGTAATTTAACTAAACAATTTAAACTCACCCAAAGGCTAGCTAAAGAAATTATCCTGCAATGCCCAGATTGCCAGCTCACAGGCACCTCCCCTCCTTCAACACGTGTTAACCCTAGAGGACGGCACCGCCCCTCCAACAGGTGTTAACCCTAGAGGACTAGAACCTAATCAGTTATGGCAAACAGATGTTACTCACATCCTAAATTTAGAAAACAAAGATATGTACATGTATCCATTGATGCCAATTCTCAGTTAATTAGTGCACATACTTTTCCTGGAGAGTCCACCCAATATATTATTAAACATCTACTCTTAACTTTTGCATTTATAGGGCGGCCCACAAAAATTAAAACTGATAATGGTCTGGCTTATGCCAGCTCACAATTTCAACAATTTTGTCACACGTGGAACATCCAACATTCCACAGGCATCTCGTATAACCCCCAAGGACAGTAGAACATACCCATTCCACTCTTAAAAATATGCTCAAAAAAACAAAAAAGGGGGAATATGGGTAAGAACCTGGCAACACTACTGGCACAAGCCTTATTTACCCTTAATTTTTAAAATTTAGATGATAAATTTCAGCCATAGAAAAGCACTTTGCTAAAACCTCTCAAGACATAAAACCTGCAGTTTAATGGAAAAATGTAAATAGTAATGTATGGTGTGGTCCAAATGATTTGCTTACATGGGAAAGAGGATATGCTTGTGTTCACACCCCCTCAGGTCCTCTCTGGATTCTAGCACGATACATCAAATCATACCATGGTGTGGCTAGGACCCAACCTGGTACCAGAAATGAAGGAAATGTCCCTGCAGGACCAGCAGCCCCGGACGACGCGGCTTCCTAGGATGACACAAGCCCCGGACTTTACCTGGGGGATGCTGAAGAAGACAACTCAGGAGGCTGAGCGAATCCTGCTCCAGACACAGACACCATTCACTCCACATAATTTGTTCCTTGCTATGCCTTCTGTTGTACACTGCAACTCTCATAGGGTATTAACCCTTCTTAATCTCTCACTCTGCCTGCAACCTGCACCTGCTACTCTCTATTGGGCTCATCTCTTAGATCTGCTTTTCTTTTGCCCTGTTACTTGAGCAGACACCCGCTTCCCAACCTCTAATAACATAATTGCTTGGCTTAGATCTGCTTTTCTTTTGCCCTGTTACTTGGGCAGACACCCCCTTCCCAACCTCTAATAACATAACTGCTTGGCTAGGAGGGATTGACTTACCCCCAGTGGGGTCCCTCATTAATGGCACACATTGGATTAAGATGCCAGGTAACACTATATATCACTCCACTATCCTCCCACTGTGCATTAGTTATAAAAGTTCCAATCCTTACTGTGTACCTGCCCAAACTCAAGTATGGCTATATCATGGCAAAGGAAATGCCTTAACATTCTTGGTTGCAGATAGCCTCAAACCGGGCAATGCAACCAACGCCACTTTCCCCAACATTCCTTCCTGTGCTAAAGAACATAGCCAGGAAAGTAATGGATTCCACTTTGGCTGGGAGGTCTGTCATGGAGGACAAGCCCGTAGACTCCATTTAGGCTATTATAACATCTTAGACTAGAGCCCCCACTGACACTTGCAGAGCAACCATACTGATGTCCTCATCCATCGTGGCATCAATCACAGTTTTGCAGCCACGTCTCATTCCCGTACAATTTGGGCCGATGGAGGGACGGGATATCCCAGATCCCAAGGAGAGTCCATGCCACCCCAAGACACTTTATGGTGCCTGGGACATCTTAGCATCTCCCTTTACACCTGGTATGGGACATACCATAATTCCAGTAACAACTATACTGTGACCTTTATTCATAATCACACAGATCAGTGCCTGATTTGCACTACCCATCCATATGTTTTCCTTATGGGAACCAATATTTCCATTACACCCCAAAACTCCACGTTTGTGACCCGAGTGCAGGGACAGGTTTGGTTTGCCTCATGCGTCACTAATTATATCTAATTTAAATATTACTAGTATCATGGTATTAAGGAGACAATCTGAAGCATTCCCACCAATTTGACACGTGATTGGCAAGGTTCCTCTGCTCTTGCCACCTGAGAACATGCCCCGTCCCAGGTCAGACCCAAAAGATTCATAGGCACACTTATAAAACCTTTATAGTCTCAGCCATAGTCATCTTAGCAACTGCTAGTATTGCTGTGGCCTCTATTACTGAATCTGTAAAAACAGCTACCTTTGTAGGTAACTTGGCCAAAAATGTGTCTAATGAACTTCTCTTAGAGCAGGGTACAGATCAAAAGATTCTTGCACGCCTGCAAGCCCCTGAGGCTGCCTTAGAATATACAGGGGAGCAGCAAGATGCGCTGGCATTCCGACAGCACTTAAACTGTGACTGGGAGCATAAGTGTATCTGTGTCACCTCCCTACCTTGGAATCAACCAATACATAGTTGGGATGAGGTGAAACAACACCCCTGGGGAACCTTATATGATAATTTAACAGCAGACTTAAGACAACTTAAAACTAAAATTCTAGAATCCCTAAACACCGTAGATCTACACGCCCAACAAACAGCCATATGGAAGGATGTGAGATAACATCTCTCCTGGATAGACCCCCACTCCTGGGGGTCAATTCTTGTTGGAAAAGAATGTTACTGATTATACTCATGTTTGTCTTATGCTATTTACTAATTCTAGGATGCAAAGCTGGAAAACGAGTTATAACCACTATGCCTAACAAATCTGCTGCTGCACACATCTGTACTCTTCAATTAACAAAACCTGATGTAAAAAGCAGAAAAGGAAGGAGGAGATGTAGGAGATCAGTCAGGGTGGTGGGAAAAGTTATAAAAATTATAGGGAAAGATGCAAACCTTATTGGAAGGCCGGGAGGTTTTGCAAAAGCTTCAAGAGGATTTAGCTGAAGGCAGTTAAATTCTCTTAAGAGCAAGGGTTACATAACAAGGGAATGTAAAGGAACTTATCTAGATAAACTTGTTTACTCTTGTCTCCAGAAACTAATCTGTGATCATTCGTGTGCAGGACTGCTCTCTATTTGGTGGGTCGACAATGTTAATTACCCACAAATTGTGTTTGCTCCAAGCCTTTCTCATTAAATCTGTACTAAATAAACACGAGCATCTCTGGCTTATAGAGGCGGCTAACTCTCTTCGGCCCTAGTGCCAGCAGCCCCCTAGCCCACTCCTTCACTGGATATCCATGTCTGAGAACTTCTTTCATCTATCACTCGGCCAGGGTCTGCAGGTCAGACCCAAAAAGTGATTACTTCTTTTTTATTTTTTCCTACACCTAACATTTCAACAATGTCGACAGCATCTTCAGGAGTAGATTCCAAATGAAGAAACTACTTTCTTTGCTCATCCCAAGAAACAACTCCTCAGCCATTGATGTTTTATCAGTCACATCTTCAGACTCCATTTCTAGTTCTAGTTCTCTTGTTATTTTCACCAATTCTGCAATTCCTTCTTCCACTAAAGCCTTGAACCCCTCAAAGTTATCCATGAGGGATGGAATCAACTTCTTCTAGACTGCTGCTAATGTTGATATTTTGACTTCCTCCTGTGAATCATGAATGTTCTTATGGCATCTGGAATGGTGACTGCTTTCCAGAAGGTATTCAATTTACTTTGCCCAGAGCCATCAGAGGAATCACGTTTTATGGCAGCTAGTCTTTTTTATTTATTATTTATTTTTTTGAGATGGAGTCTTGCTTTGTCGCCCAGGATGGAGTGCAATGGTGTGATCTCAGCTCACTGCAACCTCCGCCTCCCAGGTTCAAGTGATTTTCCTGCCTCAGCCTCCTGAGTAGCTGGGATTACAGGCACCTGCCACCATGTCCAGCTAATTTTTGTATTTTTAGTAGAGACAAGGTTTCACCGCAGACAGGGTTTCACCATGTCAGCCAGGCTGGTCTCAAACTCCTGATCTTGGGTGATCTGCCGCGTTGGCTTCCCAAAGTGCTGGGATTACAGGCGTGAGCCACCACGCCCAGCCTATGGCAGCTATAGTCTTAAGAAATGACTTAAATAATACGACTTGAAAGTAAAAAATTACTCCTCGATCCACAGGCTGCAGAATGGTTATTGTGTTAGCAGGCATAAAAATAACATTAATCTCCTTGTACAACTCCATCAGAACCCATGGGGGACCAAGTGCATTGTCTATGAGCAGTAATATTTTGAAAAGAATCTTTTTTCTGACCAGTAATTCTCAACAGTGGGCTTCAAATATTTAGCATACCACATAAACAGATGTGCTGTGTGATGGTTAATACTGAGTGTCAACTTGACTGGATTGAAGGATGAAAAGTATTGATCCTGGGTATGTCTGTGAGGGCGCTGCCAAAGGAGATTAACATTGGAGTCAGTGGGCTGGGGAAGGCAGATCCACCCTTAATCTGAGTGGGCATAATCTAATCAGCTCTCAGGGAATATAAAGCAGGCAGAAAAACGTGAAAAGGAGAGACTGGATTAGCCTCCAGCCTACATCCTTCTCCTGTGCTGGATGCTTCCTGCCTTCAAACATTGGACTCCAAGTTCTTCAGTTTTGAGACTCAAACTGGCTCTCCTTGCTCCTTAAGCTTGCAGACAGCCTATTGTGGGACCTTGTGATTGTTTAAGTTAATACTTAATAAACTCCCATATATATATATATATATATCCTATTAATTCTGTCCCTCTAGGGAACCCTGACTAATACATGCTGTCATCCAGGCTTTGTTGTTTCATTTCTAGAACACGTAGAACAGCTTTAGCATAATTCTTAAGGGCCCCAGCATTTTCAGAATGATACAAGAGCATTGGCTTCAACTTAAAGTCACCCACTGCATTAGCTTCTGACAAGAACAGCCTGTCCTCTGAAGCTGTGAAACCAGGAATTGACTTCTCCTCTCTAGGCTATGAAAGTCCTAGATGGCATCTTCTTCAAATAGAAGGCTATTCTGTCTACATGGAAAATCTGTTGTTTAGGATAGCCACCTTCATCAATGATCTTAGCTAGATCTTCTGGGTAACTTGCTGCAGCTTCTGCATCAGCACTTGTTGCCTCTCCTTGCACCTCCATGTTATGGAGACAGCTTCTTTCCCCAAACTTCATGAACCAAGCTCTCTGCTAGCTTCAAGCTTTTCTTCTGCAGCTTCCTCACCTCTCTCAGCCTTTCCAGAACTGAAGAGTTAACGTCTTGCTCTGTATTGGGCTTTGGCTTAAGGGAAGGTTGTGGCTGCTTTGATCTTCTCTCCGGAGCACTACAACTTTTTCCTTATCAGCAATAAGGCTGTTGCACTTCCTTATCATTTGCGTGTCCACTGGAGTAGCACTGTTAATTTTCTCCAAGAACTTTTTCTTTGCATTCACAACTTGGCTATCTGTGATGCAAGAGGCCTACCTTTGGTCTATCTTGGCTTTCGACATGTCTTCCTCACTAAGCTTTATCATTTCTAGTTTTTGATTTAAAGTGAGAAATGTGGGACTCTCTCTTTCACTTAAGCACTCAGAGGCCATGTAGGGTTATTAACTGGCCTAATTTCAATATTATTGTGTCTCAGGGAATAGGGAGTCCCAAGAAGAGGGAGAGAGATGGAGGAATGATCGGTGTGTGGAGCAGTCAGAACACACATTTATTGATTGAGTTTGCTGTTTTACATGGGTGTGGTTCGTGGTGTCCCAAAACAACTACGATGGTAACATCAAAAATCACTGATGACAGATTACCATAACAGATAAAATAACGAAAAAGTCTGGAATATTGTGAGGATTACCAAAATGTGACACAGAGAAATGAAATGAGCACACATTGTTAGAAAAATGGTTTTGGTAGACTTGCTTGATGCAGGCTTGTCACAAACCTTCAATTTTTAAACAAATGCAGTATCTGCAAAGCTTAATAAAGCAAAGTGCAGTAAAACAAGGTATGCTTGTATCTTAGCTAAGAGAAACACTGATGTCTGAGATTGAATCTAAGTAGACAGTAATGAATTACTGGAAGAACTACTATTACATCTATTAATACTACCACCAACTCCACAACTACAACTACTACAATTACCATTATTAATACACACTTAGTTCTTACTAGTACCAGACACCACTCTAAGGGCATTGCATATATATATTAATTCACTTGTCAAAAACATCTTCTCAGATGGGTATTATGATTATACTCATTTTAAAGACAAGGAAACTGAGGCGCAAAGAGGTTGAGCAACTTGCTGAAAGTCATTCAGCTAGTAAGAAGCTGAGTCAGGAGTCAACCCAGGCAGATGGGTTTAGAGTGTGACTTCTTTTTTTTTTTTTGAGAGGGAGTCTCACTCTGTCACCCCAGGCTGGAGTGCAGTGGCGCGATCTCGGCTCACTGCAACTTCTGCCTCCCAGATTCAAGCGATTCTCCTGCCTCAGCCTCCCGAGTAGCTGAGATTACAGGTGCGTGCCACCACACGTGGCTAATTTTTTGTATTTTTAGTAGAGACAGGGTTTCACCGTGTTAGTCAGGGTGATCTCGAACTCCTGACTTCGTGATCCGCCTTCCTCGGCCTCCCAAAGTGCTGGGATTACAGGCATGAGCTACCGCGCCCAGCCAAGAGTATGACTTCTTAAACACAACTATATCATACTGCCAAGGACATCTCCATGACTATAAGTAAAAGATAATCTTTAAAAATTTTCACTCTGGCATTTAAACAAAACCTATTACCTTTCACTTTCATTAAAGCCCTTCAAAAACTTTACAAACCTGTGTAAGAGATAATATCCATTTGAACTACCAATATACAAGAAGAGGAGTACTGGATGTGTTATTTGGATTTAAAAAGTTAAATGAATAAGCAGAATGCTACCAAAAAATGAACAGAAATAACTACTTCTAAAAGAGGTTCTCAGAATCCCATGATATGCTTTGTTCTTTTTCAGATGAACAGTACTAATCTCGCTATTAAATGGTCCTCACTCTGAACCCAGATATACTCCTCAGGTATTTAGTTTTTGTTTAGTGACTAAACTGTTTGGTAGTTTCGGTAGTGACTACTACATTTCCAAAAAAAATGAAATATAAATAGAATAAGAAGTTTGAAGTTATTACCTGAATAGAATGAACCCAAGTGATTCTACTGCTGCCCTCCTGACATCATCATTAACATCACTTACCTAGGGGGAAAAGTTTAAGATTATATTATACTATGTAGTCTACCACTAGACCAAACTGACATGAGAGGTCAGCATCATTCAACAGTGAGTGTATACCTCACTACTGATAGGTATATCAAAACATTATGTTGCACACCTCTAAACATATACAATAAATGAATACATTCAAAAAATAGACACATGTATTTTTATTTTTATTTTTATAGAGACAGGGTCTCCCTATGTTGCCCAGTCTGGTCTCAAACTTCTGGGGCTCAGGAGATCCTCCCACCTTGGCCTCACAAAGTGCTGGGATTACAGGCATAAGCCACTGCACCTGGCCACATGTATTTTTGAAGAATAAATTTCTGTCCCCAGTTTAGAAAAAGTTATTGAAAAATTTCAATTCAGGGGCTTAGAAGTCTTCACAGCTTGACAAAGTTTAAGATTCAGGGTTACTTTTCTCTCTCTTTTTCTTTTTAAGACAGAGTCTCACTCTGTCACCCAGGCTGGAGTGCAGTGGCACAATCTTGGCTCACTGCAACCTCTGCCTCCCGGGTTCAAGTGTTTCTCCTGCTGCAGGCTCCCAAGTAGCTGGGACTACAGGCGTGTGCCACCATGCCCAGCTAATTTTTCTATTTTTTGTGGAGATGGGGTTTCACCACGTTGGACATGCTAGTCTTAAACTCCTGACCAGAGGTGATCTGCCCACCACTGCCTCCCAAAGTGCTGGGATTACTGGTGTACGCCACCATGCCCGGCCCCAGGGCTACTTCTTAAGACCATTTCAACTGGCCAGACACAGTGGCTCACACCTGTAATCCTAGCACTTTTGAGAGGCCAAAACAGGAGGATTGCTTGAGCCCAGGAGTTCGAGATCTGCCTAGGCAACACAGCGAGACCCTGTCTACACAAAAAGTTAAAAAATTAGGCAGGCACGGTGGTGTGTGCCTGTAGTTCTAGCTACATGGGAAGCTGAGGTAGGAGGAGGATCACTTGAGCCCAGTAGTTTGAGGCTGCAATGAGCTGTGATTGTGCTACTGCGCTCCAGCCTGGATGATAGAGCGAAACCCTGTCTCAAAGTCGCTAAAAAAAAAAAAAGAAAAAGACTATTTCAGCTGCATTATGGCTTTTGCAAAATATGAACATTTAGAACATACTGCACTGCTAAAAAAATTATTTATTAATTATTAATAAATACTGTGGAAAATATTATCTCTGGGAAAAAGGAGTTAACAATAGTTCTAAGTCTTTCTGCATAGAAAGGTACCCTTGGTTTACCTTTTCCCAGCACCACGATGATAAAAACCTATTAAGACACGTGGAATGTCCACTGTGTGACCAGGCAATATTACTTATTGCTGATAACTACATTTGGATTAGGAGAACTATGAGTGGAAAGCCTTTTGGAAAACATGTGCATTGGCTTTCCTGTGCAGTGCATCTCTTGTAATAGATCATGTTCCTTAGGGGTCCCGGGGTGTGGGGGTGGGGGATTGTTTGCTTGTTTTTTAGAGATAGGGTCTTGCCCTGTCGCACAGGCTAGAGTGCGGTGGCATAATTATAGCTCACTGTCCACTTCACTTTCCAGAGTAGCTGGGATTACAGGCATGAGCCACTGCACCCATTAGGGGTATGTGGAAGCTAACTCTACCGGCTGTAAAAAGAAATAAATGGTTCCTGTTCTTCACTGAATTTCTCTATCCTAGGGTGGCCACACATACTCACAAGGTCTTATCCCTTACAAATGAGGGTGCTCCTTGCAGTAGGATTTTAGAAGTTGCACCTGAATGGCTTTAAGGACTTCCATTTATATGGGACTGTTATCCCATCCCATATCCTTCTGAAAAGCTAAGTGAATCTAGTGCTAGGTTATGGCCTGTTGGGTCCAGTAAATGAGAATCACAACCTAAGACCACTGGTGGTGGTCATGCGCTGTGGATGCTGGAGTCACCTAGACACTTATTGTCCATCTGCAAGCTTTTCCGTCCACCCCATTCCCAAGAAAGGTCAGAGTACTTACAGCAACATGTAGCAGGCGTCGAATTGCTTTGTTGTTACCAGAGCCACAATAAGCCATGGCTACAGTATACATTCCAGACCTTCGAAGAATTGGGTCCTAAGAAAAATAATTTAACATTAATCATCAACTTATTTCAAACAGTTAACTTCTACAGTCTAATAGGCATAGTGGCATCCACCAAGTAAGCTGGTCTCAGATAGGAAATGATGAGCTCAATAACTCTTTTGTGGTTGGTAGTTTTTGAAATAAATGGGGCAATAAAACACATAAATACAGAAGGAGGTAGCTGCTCTTAATTCCCAATACGCTATGCAATATGCCTGCCCTGCTTCATACTTTTTAGGAAGTATAAAGTCAAGTCAACAGCAACAGCCACTCCTATGGCAGTCCACTTCCTTTTAACAATCAAGCAAGGAAGTTGGCTTCTAATTCTACATTTTTACCTTATTTAAATTCCTGGGTACTGAGTGCTGAGTGGAAGAAAGATGGAGCCTGGTAACTGAACAAATTAATTAATAATTTTATCAATAAACTATAGCAGTGGTTCTTATTGATTATAGAGGACAGTATTACCTGCCACTAACTACCCACCATATACAACACCATTATAAAAACTAAACAAAAGGCAATGGAAAAAAAACCTCACCCAAATAAACAAGTATAGAGATTGGTACTGTTTTCTGATAAAAGAATAATGAAGTAAACTTTGTATCTTATTAAATGACTATCAAATCATTCCAAAAATATATATATATATATTTTTGAGATGGAGTCTTGCTCTGTCACCCAGGCTGGAGTGCAGTGGTTCAATCCCTGCTCACTATAACCTCTGTCTCCCAGGCTCAAGCAATTCTCATGCCTCAGGCTCCCAAGTAGCTGGGATTACAGGTGTCCGCCACCAAGCCTGGCTAATTTTTTTTCTACGTTTAGCAGAGACAGGGTTTCACCATGTTGGCCAGGCTAGTTTTGAACTCCTGACCTCAAGTGATCCACCTGCCTCGGCCTCCCAAAATGCTAGGATTACAGGCGTGAGCCACCACGCCTGGCCCAAAAATTATTATTTCTAAAAGAAATCAACTCGTGAATTCCTAAAGAACTATGCTGAATCTGCTTATGAGTATCACCGATCTGAAGCTATAGCAAAATTTAAAATCCTCAAATTACTCCCATGTACCTTTTCTAATCAGTGCTTTTATTTCTTAAATTCTATTAGGCTTCATATACATTGCCAGAAGTTTTATGAATAAGTGTACCTACATGTTCTGATGGGAACAGAGTTAATTTCCAGTGAAGTTAAGTGTTTTTTACATGCTGGAGATAAATGGACAGTGAGGGACGTATGTGATCTCACCTTGTCACGACAGAGAGATTCAATGAGAGCATCAGCCTCTTCCATCCTCCCATACATTACTAAAGCTATGCCAACTGCAAGACCACGCAGAATCTTCTCATGTTGAGTTTCTTGTGCATAACCAACCATGTCCTCAATAGCCTGAGCATTTTTAGAGCCCAACATAACCAAACCTAGGGCCAGGCCAGCTGCTTCCCCTGGCAAGTAACGAGTAAAATGTTAACAGAGAGTTATGTTTTTAAAGTCAGTAAAACATCCAACTGAAAGTAGCACTCTTTTTGCATAAACTATCAAAAAAATCATTAGCTTCTGATAGCATTTTTTTAAACCACCTGGTAAAAAGGATACTTTATGTGGAAGCACATTCATACATTTAGGGTTCGCACATTCATATTTAGGGTTGTTTTCCTTTTAAACTTTGACAGAATGTACCATCAAATCCTACAGTGATTTCAAAGGAGACATTTAGATAACATTTTTTCTATATTATCGCCAAGCAGTATGGAGTAAGCAGATCACCCTAATAAATTCCTGTTTGCAAAAGTCAGTTATGAAAGTGGACACACAGGATATACCATTTTAGAAAGCCTATATATCACAAAACTTGTTTTAAAAGATAACTTTGACAAATGGAGCAAAATTCACTTCCTCTTCAACTAGAGAAATCCATCGGAATTTTAAGAGGCTACAAAATATAGGTAGAAACTAATGTAATTACATTTACATTAATTAATACTTAAGCTTGTTAGCTTTAGAAAGAAATGCTTACCTGTTACTGCATCATCCTGATAAAGGTTTGTTTTTAGCAAATCATAAACATCTTGACGTGCAGTTCCCATGGCTGCCAAACCAAGGCCCAGACTGCCACCGTGTCTAACGATCTAAGGAAAAAACATAGATTCCATTGATTTGGTACACTGTACTTAACATACAAGTTTTTATTCTAATTTCAAAATACAGTTTCACATTAAATATGCAGAGGTTGGCTCAGTAAGAATGATCAAAGGATGTGATAATCAAAAGGTCAGTGATAAACTCAGCAATTGCAGTTTTTGTTTCAGACGTAGTTTCGCTCTTGTCGCCCAGGCTGGAGTGCAATGGCGTGATCTGGGCTCACTGCAAACTCCACCTCCTGGGTTCAAGTGATTCTCCTGCCTTAGCCTCTCAAGTAGCTGGGATTACAGGTGGCTGCCACCACGCCTGCCTAATTTTTGTATTTTTAGTAGAGATGGGGTTTCATCATGTTGGCCAGGCTGGTCTGTAACTTCCTGACCTCAGGTGATCCACCCACCTTGGCCTCCCAAAGTTCTGGGATTATAGGTGTGAGCCACCGTGTCCAGCCCAGCAATTTCATTTTTAATAGAATGATATTTGCTGATGCCAAAAAATAGTGAGCTGAGGCTGGACTGGTGGCTCATGCTTGTAATCCCGGCACTTTAGGAGGCTGAGGTGGGAAGATCACTTGAGCCCAGAAGTTTGAGACCAGCCTGGGCAACATAGGGAGACTCGGTCTGTACAAAAAAATAAACATAAATTAGCTGGGCGTGGTGGTGCATGCCTGTGATCCCAGCTACTCGGGAGGCTGAGGTGGGAGAACGGCCTGAGCCCAGGAAGCTGAAGCTGCAGTGAGCCATCATTGTGCCACTGCACTCCAGCCTGGGTAGCACAGCAAGAAACTGTCTCAAAAAATAATGATAATAAATTAAAAATAGTGAGTTGTGAAATGAACGTGAGAAAACAAAGTGGGCAGAGAGGACAACTCTCTTTCAGTAGGTTTACATGAGAAGGGGAGGAAAAAGACTGAACAACTAAGAGGGAGATGTCAAGAAAAGAATTTTGTTTAGGATAGATGAGAGTATGTTCATGGGTTGAGGGAAAGGAGGCAGTACAGAGTGAGAGGCTAAAGACAGAGGAGAAAAAGGTATCTAATGGAACATGGTTGTGAAGAAAGTGGTTGAAAATGAGGTCAGAGTACCTCTGAAATATACACATTTGAAAGAGGAAACTTTAGTGGTCATCTGTCATTTCTGAATGCACAGCATGCTTCTATTAGTGACAGCATCCCAACATTCCTTTGGTAATACTCCTCCCCACTGGTTAGAGTCCTGGTGGGACTGTCATTTAAGAATCTCCCACCTTCCCCTAGCCAAAGTGTGACCCAAGCCAGAGCAATACAATGCTCCTTCTTTGCGATTTTCATCTTTAAGTGGAATAACCCAATGGCCAAAAATGTTTCAAGTTCATTCATCCTGAAGGTAGGGTCCTGAAAAGGCTATTTCATTAGTTCCTGTTATCTAGCATCTGTGGTGTTGCTCTGGCTCTTTAACCTTTGTGAGAACTAGTTCATCAGCCTTTCTATTAATTATATAAGCTATTTCCAATAAACTTCTTATTCAAGTTAGTTAGAAATGGTTTTTAATGCTGTCTATTGCTGTTTTTGTTTTGTTTTGTTTTGTTTTTTTGTAACCATAAACCCTATCTGATAAGAAAGTTTTTACCTGAGACCAGGGGAAATAAGGTAAAAATGTGTGTACCTGCACACACGATTTGTGGCTAAGGGGCTTATTAATTGAGACATCATCCTATTGGCTTCAATCTTTTTTTTTTTTTTTTTTTTTTAGACAGAGTTTCTGTCTTGTCGCCCAGGCTGGAGTGCAGTGGCACCATCTTGGCCTCACTGCAACCTCTGCCTCCCGGGTTCAAGTGATTCTCCTGCCTCAGCCTCCAGAGTAGCTGGGATTACAGGTGCCCACCACCATGCCCGGCTAATTTTTTGTATTTTTAGTAGAGATGGGGTTTCACCATGTTGGCCAGGCTGGTCTCAAACTCCTCACTTCAGGTGATCCACCCGCCTCGGCCTTCCAAAGTGCTGGAATTACAGGCGTGAGCCACCGTGCCCAGCCCTGGCTTCAATCTTTTCACTTATGCATGAGGGCAAGGTTTTCTGGCTCACTTAACTACTCTCCTGATGGCCCTCACTCCAATATAGAAGTTAGTGTAAAATTACATTTTAAGGTTCCTTAAAATAAGAACAGGGCTACTTAGTAAGCTTTTCCAAAAGATTTACATTTTAAACAATTATCAAAGATCAAAACAAGCAAGGATTCTAACTTCTGAGAGACTGCAACTTCTTTAGGCCTTAATTTCCAGTAAAATGTTAGGGCCTAGACTAGATGATAACTAAGGTCACTTGTAGTTGTAACATTTTAAGATGAAAGTGTGGGAAAACAACATGTTTTACAAATACACGCAGGGTTTAAAGGAGTGAGAAACACAATTTTAGCTTATCAAGAAGGAAATGAAATTACCTAAAAAAAAAAAATCCAAGATGACAGTTGTTTTGGGTATTCGCAAATTCTACAAAATCTCCAGTCACTAAAATAATGTGGCAAATATGTTATCCTGGATTCTTGAGTTTTGGAAATTTAGTTTTCCATTTTAATACTTACATCATTGCTGGCGTTCTTAAGCTGATTAAGCAGATAGTCAATTATATCACCACCATGATTGGCATGAATAAGACCTAGTGCATAGAGACCTCCACCTTCCTGATAGGCTGATCCTGGAGAAGTATCCTTGGGAAGGTATGTTGCCATTAACTGTAATGCTTCTTTTTCATGACCCTGTAAAGGTAAGTCATAACAAAGACATCAAAAAGAGAAAGTAAGAAGAAAAAAGACAATGTTTTCTATGATTACTGCCTTTTCCCCAGAATGTTCACTTGCTAAGAGAGAAGGAGGTAGTGGGGCTCTCTCTCATATAATTGTATAACTCAAACAAGAGGACAAGCCTTTAAAGAGACCCAGTTACACTCTGGTTAGAAAAAAAAAAAATCACAAATGCTTCAATTTTTTCCCTTTGTTTTATAACATTTGCCCAAATCCATCTCAGACTATGCAAATAACATTTCAATTTATCCTTTCAATGGCTTACACAGTCTTTATAGAAACAAATTTCCACTTTTTATTAAAAACAAACACACATATAAATACTTCAGTATCTTATTTACTTTAGCCTTCTCCACAAAATGACTTATCTGACTTAACAAAGTGTACTTGTTAATGAATTATAATAAACTGTTATTTTTTCTTAACCCCAGAAAAATTACTTCTTTTCTGATGCCTGTATACACTGACCAATATATATTACCTTATGAATTACACCCAAACTGGCTGTAGCAGTAAATTTTGCCCAGTTAGTGGCTCTGGCTAACCATTCCAAATTATCTCTGTAAAAAAAGATGATGTATTTTAATTAGTGTTAAAACAAATGAATTCCTTAAAGCTTTTTAACTCTAAGGTTAAAAGCATTAAAATTTTACCTTGAACCCTTCCAAATTACTTTGTGGATCTCAAGTTACTACTGATTCTATTTTAACTCTTAAGTTGTTCTTAGTATTTTAAGGATTTTTAAAATGCACGATACGTAATTCTACTATAAATAAAAACAAAATTATATAAAATTTTAGAGCTTAATATATTTCCTTCAAGAGCCTATAATCAAGCCAAGTAATAAAAGGAATTAATTTTACCTTAAAACAAGTAGAAATACACAACAAAAAATACATAAAATAGCAAAAATATAATTTAGAATTAAGGACTGGTTAACAAGGAAAGTCCTCAACATCTCTACAACAATGTTAACACAGTGTCTGTTAAAAAGGATTTTAGGCCGGGTGCGGTGGCTCACGTCTGTAATCCTGGCACTTTGGGAGGCCGAGGTGGGCAGATCACCTGAAGTCAGGAGTTCAAGACCAGCCTGGCCAACATGGCAAAAGCCTGTCTCTACTAAAAATATAAAAATTAGCCAGGCATAGTGGCGTGCGCCTGTAATCCCAGCTACTTGGGAGGCTGAGGCAGGAGAATCGCCTGAACCCAGGAGATGGAAGTTGCAGTGAGCCGAGATCGCATCACTGCCCTCCGGCCTGGGCCACAGAGTAAGACTGCACAAAAAAAAAAAAAAAAAAAAAAAAGAAAAAGATTTTGAACCAAAGTGAAAATCAACAAGCATATTTACCTAAGAAACTGGTCACTGGTTGTCCCACAGTGCATAAAAGAGTTTGCTATAACGGTTGCAGTATGACATACAGAATTCCGTACTGCATCCTGCAACAACAAATACAGAATTGTTTCATCACTGGCAAAGTATTCATATATGCACACCCTCACACACACAGTCAGAGGTCCTATTTTGTGGTAAAAGCATGAACAAACTGAACTGAGATTTAAAATATGGATCTTGGGTATTTCTTTTATAAAGACTAAATAGCTAGTTTATACAAACAAGCAAGTCAAAGTTTTATTTGCAGTTTTAACAGAGCTCAACAACAGATTTTAAGTGGGGAATTTGGACAGCAGATTTTCTATTCTTTGGTTTAATTAAACTTGCTTTTTCTCTTCTCCATCTTGCCCAAGGTCTCCAAGGTGTTGAGATAACCTGAGGAGCAGTGCTGCACCTCTGACAGTTACCAGATAATTTTGTTTATTTTTGGTTTTTGAGACAGAGTGTTGCTTGGTTGCCCAGGCTGGAGTGCAGTGGTACGATCTCGGCTCACTGCAGCCTCCACCTCCTGGGTTCAAGCGATTCTCCTGCCTCAGTCTCGCGAGTAGCTGGGATTACAGGTATGTACCACCATGCCCGGCTAATTTTTGTATTTTAAGTAGAGACGGGGTTTCACCATGTTGGCCAAGCTGGTCTTGAACTCCTGACCTCAGGTGATCCGCCTGCCTCGGCCTCCCAGAGTGCTGGGATTATAGGCGTAAGCCATCGTGCCTGGTCAAATTTTGTTTATTTTTAATGAGACTATATTACAAAGACTAGCTTTAAATTGTCATGAATGGAGACTATATGATTCTCCATATTTTTTGCCATTTGCAAAAATTGTATTAAAAGTTTCAAAGAGCATTATTACACATGCTTTAATCAAACAACTGTTTAATCATTCAATAATATATGGCTATAAAAAAATGACTTTGCGAAGGGGTACTGGATAAATAAGAGAGCGAGAAGGAAGATTTTTCATGTTATATATCTTTTTATATTAAAATATTTTGAATCAAATATATTACTTGCTAAAAAATTAAAATCAGTATTAATAACTGTTAAGAGCAATATCTCAACAAACACTGCAACAAGGTAAGAATCGCTGCTCTCAAGGAGATCATAGTTCAATGGGAAATACAGACACAAAACCTATATTCTTTTTTTTTTGTAATAAAAGAAAAACACAGATTTATTGAAATGAAAGTACACTCCACAGAGTTTGGAGCAGGCTGAAGCAAGCGGCTCAAGAGCCTATCTTAATATTCTGATTGTGCTATTTGTCTAACTGCTCCATGTATACATTAAAAATGAAAAATGAGTTAACTAAGCTCCCCAATAAGAGATAAGCATAAAAACAAGAGCTCAATCATTGCTCATTTTCTTCCTTTCCAACAACTCCAAGAGGATAATTGATTGCTATTTTTTCAAAACTTAAATACTTTTTCCTTAATTGGAAATAAAATAAAGAAAGTATCCAACAAGAAATAAATATAATTACTTATATGCAACAAAGAACTAAATATTTTTTAAAATCCTCTATTATTGATGAATTTCTTACCTTTGTGTTTTTTAGAATCATGAGGTCTGTATTATTGTTTCGTATTAAGAACTGCAGATGTAACTCAATAGCCATTTCACCACTTAAAATTTTAATCATTTTCAAAGTCTGGTCCTTAGGCTCTGGACTCTGCCAAAACAAACAAAAAAAAAATGAAAACTCATAAACAGTATTACTATAATCCAGTAACCCAATTTTATTTCATCAGTCCTAAACCAGTGAAATTCAGTCCATTTTAAGAGAAAGGATAATTTATTTCTTTCTTTATTAGATGCTACTGAGATATGATACTAGCTTGATGGAAGAATACAATTCATCCCCAGCTAGCTTTCGATGTAAAATATTTAAATATTTTTTAAAAACTGGGAAAGAATAATTACTGATAACACGCAGGAAAATTACTTTTTATTAAATGAGTCAATTTATATTTTAATTGAGAAACTTCCTACTTGAAACTGAGAAAACTGAAAATACCTTTAATCAACATATATATATGATTTTTTTTTTTTGAGGCAGAGTTTCTCTCTGTTGCCCCAGCTGGGGTGCAGTGGTGCAATCTTGGCTCACTGCAACCTCCACTTCCCAAGCTCAAGCAATTCTCCCGAGTACCTGGGATTAAAGGCGTGTGCCACCACGCTCAGCTAATTTTTGTATTTTTAGTAGAGACGGGGTTTTGCCATGTTGGCCAGGCTAGTTTCGAACTCCTGACCTCAGGTGATCCACCCACCTTGGCCTCCCAAAGTGCTGGGATTACATGCATGAACCACAGTGCCCAGCCTTGATCTTATAAACTACCATGCCACCAACACAACTTTCCAACCAGGTGAAGAACAGCTGAAGTTTACACACCTGAGCATCAGGAACCAAAAGTCCAACAGACCACTGTTGTAATATTTACCCTACCCTTCCAATACGCTGCAAACATTAAAAACAACAAAAACAATTAGCCTCCCTCCCATATATGTTGCCATTTGCTAGAGACCATACCTTTTTTTCACCCTGTGATAGGTAATTTGAAGTTATTTCAGACAGAAATAACTTCTGCCTGAAGTAAGGATCTAAGGATTTGATTTCTTCTAAATGTTTTCTTCGGATCAATTTTTAAAACTTTAATCTTTACAGAAAATTCATTTTTATAAAATGACTTTGGTATCAAACTTAACAGTAAACTTTAATAAAAGCATGTATAGAATATATACTTGAAAGAATTTACAATATCCTGTGGAAATATTTATTAAGTAACAATCTCAACTTCAAAAAGCACACTCGCTGGGCATGGTGGCTTGGCTCGGTGGCTCATGCCTGTAATCCCAGCACTCTGGGAGGCCAAGGCAAACGGATTGCTTGAGCTCAGGAGTTCATGACCAGCCTGGGCAACACAGCGAACCCTGTCTCTACAAAAAATACAAAACTTAGCCAGGCGTGGTGGTACATGCCTGCAATCCCAGCCATTTACTTGGGAGGCTAAGGTGGGAGGAAAGCTTGAGCCTGGGAGGCAGAGGTTGTAGTGAGCCGAGACCGCGCCACTGCGTTCTAGCCTGGGTGACAGATCAGGACCCTGTCTCAAAGGAAAAAAAAAAAGCACACTCACGGCTTCTGGTGTCTTTCCTACAAATGCACTGCTTGTCTTTTCTTCTGTTTCCATCGAGTCACTGAAATGAAAAGAACCAATAATTTTTTCTGAAGAGAAGTACAATTTGTTTATACCACAGATCTGAACCATGTCCAAATTGAATATTTTGCAAGAAAATAATGTTTACTAAAGTATTACCATTAAGAAATAAAAAATTCTACACATCTCTAAGATGGAGGCAATCCAGTTATTAAATTTCCTCCAAATAATAAAAACAAAGCAACTAGGTTAGCAAAACCATGGACAACAAATACAACAAGAACAGGCGACAAAATATCTCCTTCATTCACAAAACACAGTCAGGTAAAGCAAAATCACCACCAGCTACAAAATGGGCTTGAAAAGAAGGGGCTGGGACCCCAACTACTCTTAAATCTAATCAGCCAACAGTCCCTTGTAGGTCAAAGCACCATATTGAGGAAAAAGTGCTGGGCAGAGAATCCAAATTAAAAAGGCAGGGACAAAGATAAAGAAGGTACCAATAAGCCTGGGCAACAAAATGAGACCCTTGTCTCCACAAAAAAATTTAAATAATGAACTAGGTATAGTGGTGCGTGCCTGTAGTCCCAGCTACTCCGGAGGCTGAAGTGGGAAGATTGCTTGAGCCTAGGAGTTTGAGGTTGCAGTGAGCTATGATCGCACCACTGCACCCTAGCCTGGGCAATGGAGAAAGGAAACAGAGTCAGGAGATCCCAAAACAAAAGCCATTATTTTGTATAGTACTACATAAATGCAACAGAAGAGGAAATACTGGAGGGCAGTAAAATTGGAAAAACTATCCTAAACAAGCCTCCTTTGGAAAAGTTTAGAAAAACTAATTTCAGTAAAAATAAGCTACAGAAAAGCATCAAAGTAAAATCTCATAAAATATTAGAAAAAAGTTATTTCAAAACAAGAGAAATTAGGAAAATTACATAAAATATACAAGACTATTACATATTAGAAGTACAAAAACTCAGAAATTAACATGATAGAACTAGAGAAAATCAGAAATAAAAGAGAAAAAATAATAATTTCAGAAATGAAGATTAACTCAGAAGGAACTTGTAACCACCACACATAAGCCTTAAGAAAAGGAGAAGGCAAGAAGAAAGAAAACTTGTTAAATCAAAAATAAATAAATAGGCCGGGTATGGTGGCTCACACCCGTAATCCCAGAAGTTTGGGAGGCTGAGGCAAGCGGATCACCTGAGGTCAGGAGTTCGAGACCAGCCTGGCCAATATGGTGAAACTCCGTCTCTACTAACAATATAAAAATTAGCCGGGCATGATAGCCTGCGCCTGTAGCCCCAGCTACTCAGGAGGCTGAGGCAGGAGAATTGCTTGAACCCAGGAAGGTGGAGGATGCAGTGAGCTGAGATCGTGCCACTGTACTACAGACTAGGTGACAAGACTGAGACTCTGTCTCGAAAATAAATAAAAAATTCTATCCCCCTAAGATTGAAAAAAATTAAAGATTTTTTTCACTGCCTCTTATCACTTCTGTAAGTATTGGGAATTCTAGCCAATATAGAAAAAAAAGAGAGGGAAAAGGTATAAAGATTACAAAAGAAGGAGTAAAATGCTCTCTAACTGCAGATGACCAAGATGCCAATAAACAGAATTCTGTAAAAGGATCTACTTTAAAAAATTTACTTAAAAAAATCATTTATAAAGCTATAAATGATTTTATCAAGGTCATAGGATTCAATGTTAGTATATAAAAATCAATTATATTTCTATATACTACCAACAAAAAAAATAGAAATTTAAAAATACCACTTCACAACAGCATCAAAAAACAAATTATACTTAGGGATATAAGAACATTAATTTAAGAAAAGATGTGTAAAACCTCTGCACTGAATCTACAAAACACTACTGAGAAAAAAATAAAAAACCTAAGTAAATGAAAAAGATCACCATATTCCTGGATTACAAGATTCAATATTATCGGGATTTCAATGTGCCCCAAATTGAAGATATTCAATACAATCCCAATCAGAACACCCACAGACTTATATAATGCAAAAAATCTACAATAGCCCAAAGAATCTTGAAAAAGAAAAAAGAATCAAAATTGTAGGTCTTACAATACCTGACTGCAAGACTTAGCATAGTTTTAGTAATAAGGAAAGAGGTAGTGATATAAAGAAAAATATAGGCATACCTTTGTTTTACTGCCCTTCAAGGAAGTCTATTGGAGCCACTTCTCCAATAGTATGTGATCACTTTGTCCTTGTGTTACATTTTAGTTATCCTTGCAATATTTAAAACTTTTTAATTATCGTTATATCTGTTATGGTAATCTGTCATCAGTGATCTTTGATGTTACCATTGTAGTTGTTTTGGGACACCACGAACCACACCCATATAAAACAGCAAACTCAATCAATAAATGTGTGTGTTCTGACTGCTCCACACACCGGTCATTCCCCCATCTCTCTCCTTCTCCTTGGGACTCCCTATTCCCTGAGACACAACAATATTGAAATTAGGCCAATTAATAACCCTACAATGGCCTCTGAGTGCTTAAGTGAAAGAGAGAGTCCCACATTTCTCAGACACAGATATCCAGTGAAAGAGCGGGCTAGGGGGCTGCCGGCATATACAGGCACAACTAAGACACACAAATGTTTTTAGTAAGTGATCTAAACGTGTAAAATACAGAAAAATAAAATTTTAATACCATATCAATTTGTACAGAATGCAAATTTCTAATACTATAGAAATTTGTGTATTTAGTTCTAATAAAAGCATAAAAAGCTGAGAATGTTCTTTACTTTCTAAATATCTAACCCAGATATATCTAACCCAAATATCTAAAAGGTAGCCCCAACCTATCCCCACCTGTTTTTTTAAATTTACTTGATTAAATAGTACACATGTTGTCTGGTAGGCCCTCCCTACGAGATAATCACTTCTATTTCTTTCCAGAAGGGTCAATTTCTTCGGTTTTCCTTACTACACCCAGCACAGTACAAAACAGAGCAACAGCCTAATAAGACTTTACAATCTATGAAAGCTAGTGGCAAAATTTATTCTTAGAATATGCTTCCTATAAATATTCTACCTGTCCCCAAAATGAAATAAAGATTATTCAATTAGTTTTGATGCAGAAAAAGGTACTTATACCTGTCTTTCTCTGATCCCGGAACAGTACCCGTATTAGTGGATCCAGGCACAGAAGCAATAGGGGTGCCAACAGTTCGAAGATTCTGGATTACAGATGACAAAAACTGCTGGCTAGCACTTTCATACAAATCAAAACAAATCTGATATGCCATCAGGAGGTTGTCTTCCTTTACCAGTTTCTCTAAGATATCACTCACAGCCTGAGGATCATCTAAGAAAATTAAGCACTGAAATGGAGATAAAGAACAATTATTCAATAATTAAAAACTTCATCTACAAGGTACTTAAGGAGACAAAATCAACATTATAGAAAACCTTAAAATATAAGCACAGGCAAACTAGGGCAGACTATCCAGTCTAGCACTCTATTTCTAAACCCAGCACTAGATGAAATTTTTCTAAACATGGCATCTGTCTTCCATAAAAAAATTCATACAAATTATATTTATAACTCTTAATGCTGTGCCTGGTAATCAGCAGTATTCAACATTGGTTGTTGAATGAATCTTGGCTTCTTTAAATCTTATCCATAAGTTATACCTAAGTGCTCCTTAATTTGTTATTTTCTCCCTTACCATATATTATGGAAGTTACTCATTCATTTAACATACATTGTGTTGTGTTGGGCCAGGACAAGAGACATTAAAATTACCATTTTGAAGCATTTCTCTTACTACTCTTATGATCTGCCATTGTTTTAACAAAATTATCCAACAAAGTTAGAATTTTTCTTTTAAAAACTCAATTTAAATTTTCTTGTTCCCTTAGGCAGCAAGTAACTCAACTTCAAAATAAACACATTAATCAAAGTTATTATAAATTAAGAACACGAAATAACACAAACAAAATAAGTGGTCAACAATAGGGGAATGATTAAGTAGGGCAAAGTACATACACTGAATGATTACAACAATCAAGTAAGAGGACTCTATGAAGAATTAGAACATGGAAAAATGTTAAAGACTGTATACAATTAACACTGTTTATCCACAGAGAAAAGAACTTGGTAGCTGGAGCCAAGTAATAGGAAGACTTCATTGTATACCCCATCATTCTTTTTGAATTTTAAATCACATGAACATATTATCTGCTCAAAAATATATTATTTTAAAAATGAGCAATAAAGTTTTTAAAAATAATAAAAAGATAAGGAATAAAACAGCTGAAAGAAATAAAATTGCCTCTAAGGAATAAAACTGAAATACAGACAGGAAGAGGGCAGGGAACTACTATTTTTCATGTCAGTTTTAAAAAAAACTATGAAAAATATTTACAAACAACAAAACTCCGAAAACCTATGTAGAGAAAACTGAAAGGAAATACACTATTAAATACTAAATTGACTTTGGGTGATGTAAAAAATCAAGTTAGAATAGTAAGTTGACTTTGGGTGATTTAAACATGGATATTTTTTCTTCTAGTATTTTGTTTCAAACTTGCTTTAAAAGGGATTGTAAAAAACAGTGTTTTAATCTAAATTTTCAAAGTCTAGAGGATTAAAATACACAGGAGCACATTTTAATGAAGAAACAATAAAATGTGCAATAAAATGCTATGCCCTGAGCAGAATACAAAAAATGTATACAACATAGCAATTGTTAAAAAGTAAACCCATGCACACCTCCAGTCAATAAAATACAATACAGTCATTAAAAGAATGCAGTAGATCCACATGTGTGAATAAGTAGGGAAAAACATCTATGTCTTACCTTTGGGAAAAAGCCCAAATGATGGGAAAGAGAAGCCTTACTTTTCATTTTATATATTTTCTGTACCATCTGAATTTTTTTTTATGTGCAAGCAAATTTATATATAGAAAGAGATAAAGAAAAGATACCCAAATGTTTTGGTGTGTATGGGTAATGAAACCATATATAATTTATACACTTTGAATTCTCTTTAGAATGATATAGTATAGCATAGGCACTGTTTTAATCTTCTAGCTTTTTAAAAAACCTTCGTTATTTCTAAAAATTTCCTTAAATTATTGGATTTTCAAAATGAAAAAAGAATACAAAGAAAGAATGTGTTACAACAAAATAGCTTTTTAGTGTTGTGAGATTTAGTTTCTTATTAATAAAAAGGAATATAAAGCACATACCTTATTTTCACAGGGCTGCTGTGAAGATCAGCTGAGATACATGTATAAAGCCATTATAGTAATATAAAGTAATAAAATGTGAAGTGGTATAGCATAGCACAGTACAGCGTGGAGCAATGTAATGAAACATAATTTAATGTCATTACCTGACAAACATTGATGAAATCAGGTTTCTCCAAGTTCATGTAGATTTTAACTAGAACTCTTAGTACTTTATTCCGAAACTGTTTATTCTGCATTAAAGACATGCAGAGCTTAAGGCTATAAGCTAACATTCCTGGGACATCATTCTGAAAGAGATAGTTTAAAGATATAACGTTATCTGGTTATTGCAGCATTATATTTATTTAGAAATTGAATTATTTTAATCTTGCTTCTTTAGCCAATCTAGGAAGCCAATTATTTAGACCTCTTAAGCAATACAAACTCAAGAATTTTAAACCATTTTAGATGAAAATCTTAAAAGAATTACATATTTCCACATCATCATAAAAAATGGATTAAAAATAATATTTAGTGGTACTCAGAATCACTATTACATGAACATAGTATACTATAATAAAGTGATGCTGTTAATTATTATAAAAGATATACAACTGTCCATACACTAAGTAGCTATGTTTTCCAAATGTGTCTGCTGAAGTCTTTCTGCTTCTTATCTTGCTACTAGACTCCCTCATGACTTACTGCCTACACTCACTTGCTGGCCAGGAAACACAACACAGCTCTCAGTGACTCAAGCATTGAGTACTGCCACATCTGTCTGGTGCTCTCCCTACAAGAAAACTTTGATCCAGGCTCTATGTGTTTACTTGGTGATTCTCAAAAGTATCCCCAATATTTGAGACTTCACCCTGTAAAAGGCCTTCAACATAAATTAGCACACTGAAAGCTACAGGAGTGTTTCTCAAAAAGTGAGTTGTGACTTTCCACTGCGTAATAAAATCAATTTAATGAAGTGTGACTAGCAAATTAAAAAAATAAAAAATACAATTTAAAAATAACAGAGTTATATCACAAGTAGTAAGAGTAGGTATTAGTTTCATAAAGCTTAAATTACATCTATATGTATATGTGCACTGGGATACAAAGAAAGATGCATTTGTTACTCTGCTTTTTTTTTTTTAAAACATTTTTCATTCTTTTACTTTATATATTTATTTGTTTGACTGCTTGTTCTCCTTCTAGATTCCCCAATGAAGTGTTTGCTTTGGGCAGGAACTTTGTTGGTCTTGTTTGCTACTATAGTAGGTGCTCCTTTATCTGAGAGGACTATGTTCCAGCACCCCCAGCAGATGCCTGAAACCACAAACAGTACCAAACTCTATATAAATTATGCACAAATTTCTGTTTTCTTCTTCACAATTTTATGGATGGAAGATTCATTCTTATGTACATCTCAGCGCAGCCTCAGCACAATTTTTTTTCTTTCCTTATTAAGTTGGGAATTTTCACTTTTTCAATTAAAGGAAGCAGTTTAAGGCTTCTCTTTAGCATATCTAAATTGCCAACATCACTATTTTTGTACTTTGAGGCCATTACTGAGTAGAATAAGGGTTATCTGAACACAAGCACTGTGATATTGCGACAGTCAATCTGATAAGCAAGGTGGCCACTAAAGTGACTAATAGGCAGTGTACACAGCATAGATCTACTAGGATGATTCACATCCCATGCGGGATGGAAAGAGATGGTGAGAGATTTCGTTGTGCTAGTCAGAATGGTGCACAATTTAAGACATGAATTGTTTATTTCCGGAATTTTCTATTTAATATTTTCAGTCTGTAGTTGACTGCAGGTAACTGAAACCACAGAGAGCAAAACCATGGATGAATGGGGACAATGCACATCTCCAATGCCTAGAACAGTATCTGGCAAACAGTAAGCACTGAAAAAATATTTGTTGAATAAATGAAAGCCAAAAATGTAATCTTACACACACGAAGACAAGGATGGGCTAAAACTGCACAAAAATGAAATTGAGAGGGAAACAAGGGCCATTATATCACATTAGGCCATTCATTCATTCACTCATTTAAACAAATCGTATTATCGACGCTAAACACTGTGTTAGGTTTTGGGGATACAGTGGTGAAAAAGGCACAAATACCTGTCCCGATATAGCTTATGATCTAGTGGGAAAGACAGCTATTAACTATCTACTAATACAATTATCAAGGGATAAACACCATGAAAAAATGTACAGGGCTCCATAAGATTAACAACAGAACTGGACCTAGTCTTTGCTTAGGGGCTGAGGAAGGCATGGGTATTGGGATCAAAGTTCTGCAAACAAGGGATAGTTGAGCTAAGTTTTGGATTGTGAGGAGAAATAAAGCAGGCAAAGAAAGGAATGGAGGGCAGGTGTGGTGGCTCATGCCTATAATCCCAGCACTTTGGGCGGCTGAGACGGGTGGATCACTTGAGGTCAGGAGTTTGAGACCAGCTTGGTCAACATGATGAAACCCCAACTCTACTAAAAATACAAAAATTAGCTGGGTGTGGTGGCACACGCCTGTAATCCCAGCTATTCAGGAAGCTGAGATGGGAGGATTGCTTGAACCCCGGAGGCAGAGGTTTCAGTGAGCCAAGATTGCGCCACCGCACTCCAGCCTGGTTGACAGAGCGAGACTCCATCTCAAAAAAAAAAGAAAGAAAAAAGAAATGTAAAAAATATTTTTGGAAGGGGGAACGAGGCAGGGTTCATCTAGATGAGAAGATACCAAAATGGCTAGTGTACAGAGAGCTAGCTCATGGAAAGAAATAGCTGGTGAGGCAAAGTAAGCCTGCAGATCAATGTCCATTTTACTCAGCTTTGTACCTTTCTGACCACTTCGGTTGGTGACTTAAATTGTCTTAATTATTGCAAACACCGCAAACCAGGAATCTAGCTGAGTAGTTTTAACCCTAATAAATGCATTAAAATATAGTTTATTGTCTTCTTAAAAAGGGCAGAGTAATTAATACAACTTCCCCATGCAAGACTTCAAAGGATTATGTGGTAAGATAAAAGCAGATATTTCATGAACACAAAACACAACCAAGGTTCATACATAAATATGAAAATAAAATATTTGGCAAAAGATCACCTGCTATTTCTAAACTAGATTTTCTTTTCACTGCCTATGAAAGTTTCAGTTTGAATAACTTGCTTTGCTGATTCCCTATCAACAATAATTTCTAAAATAACATCATCTACCTACCGACTCCAGTATGGTCTTTTCAAAGACGTCCAGTCTTCGTGTCTCCAGAGCAATGCCAATAGCCTGTTTATACTTGTGATCATCTAGACATCGCTGGAACATTTTATTTACGATGCCTTCCAATCTCTGGTCAATTGGTTTTTTTTCTCCTTCAGGCAAATCTGCATTTTCCACACATTGTTTGGTGTAGTGATCAATGCATTTTGCTGTTGAGGAAATAAAATAACTGATTATCTTGTAAATTGGGCTAAACTATCAGAAAGGGCAATGCCTATATTTATAATCATATATACTTATGGGATGACTATAAAGCAATAAGCAAATTTTGAAATGCTAGAACTTATGCATTTGAATACTGTTCTCCCATAATATTTACACCGGAGAACTACACATTAATTCCAATCCAGTTGACATTATTCAAAACATTTCTATCTGCCAGGTGTGGTAGTGCTCACCCACAGTCCCAGCTACTCGGCAGGCTGAGGCAGGAGGATCACATGAGCCCAGGAGTTCAACGCCAGCCTGAGCACCACAATGGGACCCTGTCTCTTATTTAATTTATTTTTAAAGTTTCTATCTTGTTACTCCATTTTGATCAAAATTTTATTACTCTACCCGATTAAGCTGCTTATTCAAAAGAACTGGCTACAAATAGCTGCTGCTTCACTTTCAAAAAACAAACATTTGCCATTACTGAAGATATTTTAAAAGGCCTATTATAGCAATTATCACATAGTAGTATATCGGACTTCTTTGCATTAATGAAACTATTAGCAACCTGAGAGTAAGAACTATGTCTAAATTGTCTCTGTAGGGTAATGGGGAAATGACTTGAAATGTGCCACAAGTTTAAAAGGCAGTTCCAAAGATTTCCAAAAACTTTTCCAGCAACTGTAGCAGATCCTTTGAAAAACAGTCCTGTGTCGCTTAATGACAGTAATACATTCTGGAAAACACATCTTTAGGTGATTTCATCATTGTGCAAACATCATGGAGTGAACTTACACAAACCTAGATGTTATATAACCTACTACATACCTAGGCTCTATGGTATGGCCTAGTGCTTCTAGGCTGCAAACCTGTATAGCATATTAGTGTATTGAATACTATAGGCAATAGCATTTGTGTCTAAACACAGAAAAGGTACAGTAAAAATATGGTATTGTACTCTTATGGGACATCTGTTGTCTATGCAGTCTGTCATTATGTGATTCCTGACTCTATTTATTGTCTCAATGTGAGGTAGGTGGAACCTATTTCTCCCAAGAAGGTGTCTGAAAATTCATGCAAAAGTGTTTGTGCCCAATTTAGCTTCCATATTTCACAATGATTTGGGTGCATGGAGGGGAGGGTGTGACATACTGAAGGATATCAATAGCACACCTGATAAGAAACATTTGTTTGCAATTTAGTTATATCTTTGCAATCACACCTTAAACTTTCTAAGTACAACCAAAAGAAGGACATTTCCCTAAGCCTTCCACCTTCATAAGGAAGATAAAACAGTCACCCTGGCCGGGCGCGGTGGCCCACGCCTGTAATCCCAGCACTTTGGGAGGCCGAGGCGGGTGGATCACGAGGTCAGGAGATCGAGATCATCCTGGCTAACACGGTGAAACCCCGTCTCTACTAAAAATACAAAAAAAAAAAAATTAGCCGGGTGTGGTGGCGGGCGCCTGTAGTCCCAGCTACTCGGGAGGCTGAGGCAGGAGAATGGCGTGAACCCGGGAGGTGGAGGTTCCAGTGAGCCGAGATCGCGCCACTGCACTCCAGCCTGGGAGACAGAGCGAGACTGTCTCAAAACAAAAAACAAAAAAACAAAAAAACAAAAAAAACAAAAAAACAAAAAACCCAGTCACCCAAGAGGAATGACATATACATTAATTATCCTCTCCATAATTCATTGGCTTGTTTCTTTCCCTTTCAAAGATAAGTAAGAAGACGAGGGCAAGATTTATTAGTTACAAACCATAGCCCCAAGAAATAAAAATAATTTTAACTAGCATAAATGATTGTTGGCCTACTAGATGACCCGGGTTAAATGGGTCTATATCTTGAAGGAAGCAGAGGACTTTTATAAATTGGAATATACTACATTCAAGATTCAGCTGGAACCATGAAGGTTCAGGTACAGTTAATAAGAACATAGTGGGTTGGGTCAGTGGCTCACATCTGTAATCCCAAAATCTTGGGAAGCCGAGGCAAGTGGATCACTTGAGGCCAGGAGTTTAAGACCAGCCTGGCCAACATGGCAAAACCCCATTTCTACAACACAAAAATTAGCCAGGTGTGGTAGTGTGCACCTGTCATCCCAGCTACTTGGGAGGCTGAGGCACGAGAATCACTTGAACCAGGGAGGTGGAGGTTGCAGCGAGCCAAGATCGTGCCATTGCACTCCAGCCCGGGCAACAGAGAAAAACTGCCAAAAAACAAACAGACAAACAAAAAAACACAGTGGATGTTATAATGCAAAATAGACCTTAAAGAATTCCAGTTGTTGAAAATGTCCACCAGGCCCTAATGTGAGCTTTTTGAACCAACTGTAGCTAAGTGAGGAAACATTACCCCTACCCCATCAGAGAGGAACCTCAAAATTAGAACATTTGGGGAATTTTCCTTAGATTATATAACTGAAGGGGAAAAATGTATGTCCCAGGTTTCAAATGAGATTCATGTTCTCATTCACCAGGTTTGCATATATGTCATAAATATATCCCAGGTTTATGTTATAACTAAAACTCAGCCTCATTTCCTGCTAAAGCCTTGTCATAACTTGGAGATTTATGAGTCCTGGATTTTCTGGAGGTACTGTTTACGATATTCATTAAGACGCTAGGAAGCCTTACCCAAATTCTGTTTTGTATACCCCCTCATGAATCTCACTGACATCTTAAAAAATGTGCCCTACAAAACTAGAGGAAGGGTGAACCCCACTTTTAAATAAATAAATGCAAACAGAACTGGTCTACTGATCAAAACTCACCTTCCAAAGGTAAAATGATACAGTGTTTAGAAGGCATCTACCATGCCATAGCACTTCATACCAACAGTCCAGTTTAAAAGCACAATTTGTACAATGGTGGCATTTTAAGCATTTGTAGATCACTGTTGTAAAAAACCATAAACCTTCATTAAAGAAAAAAAAAAGGCTGGCTGTGGTGGCTCACGCCTGTTAATTCCAACACTTTGGGAGGCCAAAGCAGGAGAACTGCTTGAGGCCAGGAGTTTGAGACCACCCTGGTCAACACAGTGAGATCCTGCCCTGTTTTCAAAAAAAAAAAAATCCATCAAATAAAAGAGATAAGTAAGGTATTTCACCCCCTGCTTCTAGCTTAAAGTGAAGAAAGTAGTCTAGTTTCAAATAATACGGTCCATCCTTTTAAGCCATCAGTTCTTCCCACTGGATTCACAGATGACAGCTCAATTCAATGAGCCTCCAACAGCAATAAAGTAACTTGCAAAATTTTCACATCATCATAGCAAAAACTTTAAAAACATGAACACAGAATCCCAAGGACAGTTGATGGTACCTCTATCAACCCCCTTGTGCAGGACTTCCCAATTTCTAAAAGAGAATACCAACTTCCTCCTTGTAAGTGTTCAAGTGAATAATACAGACCTTCTACTAATCAGCAATGTGAAATATCTGCACTGCACACTCCTGACAGAACATGCCCTTGAGCTCTCTGTACTATGAATCCAAAGTCTGATAAACACATGTCTGAAGGGTATGCAGTCCCTTCTTTCATTTACTACATCAACAGTTTTCAAGCATTTTTTTACACTATAAAATCTTTGTATCAAATCTTACATAACTAGTTGAATTTACAACTCTGGTTGAAATATGTGTCAGAAAATTCAAAGCCTTGCCTGTGTGTTATCCCCTTCCTTCAAAAATAAGGAAACAAGTAAGAAAACAACGGTTACAAATAGAAACAGTATGGGTTTTAGAGTGAGTAAAACCAGGTTTTAAATTTTATCCTTCTATTTAATAACCATGTCTTTATCATCTCAAAATCCAAGTTGTCTCATCTGTAAAACGGCTAGCTCCTTCCTCATGGGGTAGCTGTGGAATAAACCATGGTATGCAGAGTGACTAGCACGGTGCCTAGCACAATGCAGATACTAAATAATGGTTTCCTGTATTCGAAAAAACTACACAAACTGGTACCACTTGTTACTCATACTAATCTGATTTAATCTTTTCCTCTAACAGTAGGCTCACTGGACTGGTGATCATCATAACCACTGAGAACCAGCACTCAGTTGAAGGGCAGATCTAAAAACTCAGCCTGCATAAAATTATTATAGAAAGATTAGGAACTTCCAATTAAAATGAAATTTGGCAACATCAAATTCAGGAAAAAAGCTTCTATGTGCACTACAGCAAGAAAGAAGCCGACAAGATAAAGCCTTACCAGATAGACGATAATTACCTATAATAGTTTCCACATATTCAGAGTTATCATTGACATTGAAGAGGTCCCCTGCTCCAAGAGCATAATTCAGAGACTCCTCAAAAGCCCCCAGGTGATAAAATACTTTAGATGCCACTAAGGCTGCAAACTGCCGACTCCGGAAACCTTCATCTTCGTATAAAACCTCTCTGAAAGAAATTAGGAAGTACAGGTCTAGTTCAAACTGTGGTTTTCCCTAAAAATCCCAAATCTAAATATTCAAGCCACAATTCAGTTAACAGCAAATTTCTAAATGAATCAATAAGCCACAAGACCCACATTCACAATTAAATTTGATCCATCTTATTCTGATTTATAAAAATAATTTCTTACATTTTGTCTACGGACTCGGAAATTTCTGCCCAGAAGTCATTAACAACTGCATTCAATTTGTGTAGTGCAAATTCCTGTAAAAGATAACCAAAATCCTATTTTGAGATAGACTTATCATTACACTTCCTTAAAAAATTCTTTTCAGCAAATCAATGATCAAATCCTCAGTAATATTTACTCAAACTTTTACTCTATGACAAATATAAAAATTTACCAACTTACACTTTTTCTTGAGTTTACACATTTCTTTTCTGTTTTCAATCATCAACATTTTTCTTCTTTGAATATAAACAATTAACTCCAGGTTGCTGGTTTAGATGTAAAGGAATCAAGTATCTAGAGCCACCAGAAGGACATTCCAAATTTTCATCAAATAAAAAACTTTAAATATGTGAAACAGAAGCAACAACTTTTTGTGTTTTCTGTTGATAATGAAACTGGGGCGGGGGAAGCGGAAGGTGTGGTGGCTCAGACCCGTAATCCCAGTACTTTGGGAGGTCAAGGCGGGGGGATCACTTGAGCCCAGGAGCAGGAGTTTGAGATCAACCTGGACAACACAGTGAGACCCCATCACAACAAAAAATTTAAAAATTAGCTGAGTGTGGTGGTGCATGCCTACAGTCCTAGCTACTTGGGAGGCTGAGGTGGGAGGATCATTTGAGTGTAGGAGGTCAAGGCTGCAGTGAACCATGACCACACACTGCACTCTAGCCTGGGTGATAAAGCGAGACTCTGTCTCAAAAAAGAAAAAAGATTAAAAAAAGAAAAAAAAGAAAGAAATTAGGGGGCTATTCAAGTGTCGTAACGAGGTTTATTTGTCTTAGCTTTGTTAAACTCAAGGGAAACCAACTGCTGTGGCCAAAATACTGTCCTCTCTGGCTAGGTTACAGTAACTGGGTACAAGCCAGCTAGGACAGCAACTTTAAATGATGGAAGATTACAGATATCACTAAATTCAAAAGGCTTCACAGTATTCACACTAAGCCTAGTTACTTATTCTTCAATTCATACCTTAAGCTGTGGTTCATCTTCATCCAGAAGAGAAATAATTCCAGCTATGAGAAAAAAGATGTAACATGATTATGAAACACATTCTCACTAAAGTGGAAATTAACACCTGGTCAAAAATACATGATGGCTGAAAAACAATTTTTTTGAGGCGTAACTTCTCCAGGGGAATGATTATTTTTCTTTGAAAGTGTAAAGGTTTATATCTCAAGTTTAAGACTTAACTATATTATCAAACCCTCATGGCACCACATATATTACATCATTTGCCTAATTCAATGGTTTTCAGTGTGTTCCCTGGACTAACAGCATTGCCTGGGAACCTGTTAGAAATACACATTCTCGGCCCCATTCCAGACCTACTGAATCACAAATTATGAGGATGGGGCCCAGTACTGTGATTCTTTTGCTCTCTATAGTTTGAGAACCATTGGCCTAATTTACTGATTAAAATGGGAAACTTTCCTATACAATTTTAGAATAAAATTATTCATACAAAATAAATCAACAGTTATAAGATTATTTACAAAAATGGGAGCATTTAGTCATCAAATCAACAAGGTAAAATACTTCAATTATTTCAAGGTGTGTATATTATGGCACCTCTTTCCTATCACAAGTAACCTGGGTTTTACCAAATGATGAACAATCATACTCATTCTGAATTCAATTACCCAAGCACAGTGTTCTCCATATGGCTTCTCTTAGCCTCAAGGTATTACCACTAACATAGGAGAGTAAAAGGAATAATTGTCCTCTCCAAAAGAACACACCTTGAAATATAGTCAAAGGTCAAAGGGATTATTGGAAAAATGATATGGGAAATTATTGTACTAAGACCACAAAGGAAACCACTCTCAAATGCTTTCCATGTGGGTTTTAAAATCATTCCAGAACACCGAGTTGAAACTGTGGTTTGATTAAAAAGTGTCAAGGCAACTTAGTTAGATGTAGCCATTTCTAATTGACAAGTATAGGTTTGCCAAATAGCTTAAGCAATCTTTAGGAAGCCACACAGGAAAAGATACAAAATTTACCAAGCAAAACTAAAGTAGCATAAAAGCAGATATAAAGAACCTCTTGGTACTCTAGGTTGGTATGACAAGTCCAGAACAGAGATTCTGAATGGACAGCACAGGGAACAGATAAATTTCAAAATTCAATCAGTGAAAAAGAAAAAATTGCAAACTAGTGATGTGGAGTAAGATGACAGGCCAGAATGCTTTAAATGTAGAACAGATCTTAAATAACAGAACACTTAATACTAAAACTGCTACCTATCCTCAGTCAATGTATTTGAACGGCTTTTACCAAAAAGGGAGATGGATTTTTATATTCTCTGGTTTGGTTTCACTTATGACTAACTGGTTACATGGTTGTCCTGGCTTGGAAACTCAGCCTCTGGCCATGGACCAGAACTAAATCAAATACTCTACACTCCATACATTAGTATTTCCCATCTTAAAAACAAAACAGAACTCTCTTCTGGAGAGGGGAGAGAATGGGAAAGGCCTAAGGATGCTAAAAGCCTCTTATGCCGTTATAGGAACTGAGCAGATATTGGTCTAAAACTGTTGAATCAATTGACAGAAATATTTGGATATTTATTTACAAATACGGAGGTATGTTCCAGAAGACACAGCTTAAAAGTTGGGAATACCTGCCTCTGGGGATCAGGAAAGGGAAAGTGAGGTGGGGGACTATTGTTTTAAAGCTTTTTAGCACAACTTTCCTTTATGTGTCTGTATTATGTTTAAAAAAGAAAACACCAACCCACTCAATTTCACATCTCCCGCCTGGAAGCACCTCTCTCTCTCTCTCCATTCCCCTGCATAGTCAAACCTCTTGGAAAAAACTAATAGAACATGTTGACCTCTTATTCACCACTGTATGGTGATGCCTAGCAACTGCCTGGTCAATAAATGAATGAACAAACTGACTAATCCACACCAGAACCATGAGACTAGCCTGTTTAGCACCTGGGACAAATTCTAAGCCAACATGAGCCATAGGACAGAAAACAAAGTGACAAAAGATTTGGAACAGAAGTTGACAAGTAATCCAATAAACTTAAATGGCAGTAATAAATATACACTATATGATCATCACAGAATCTCAGGATAGGACCTCAAAAATTATTAGTTTTGCCACCTTAAAGAGGCTTAAAGTCTATTATATTGTCACCAAGTGCTTTTTCCGCCTCTACTTTAAAAACTCAAGGGACTGATTAATTGCTTTGACTGGCTGACTGAGCTCTTCAGTCAAGACATACTTTTGAATTTCTGCCATGCTCTCAGCAGTATTCTAGAATTGTGAAAACAAGCTTCCTGCTCAAAATTCTACCAGAGAGAGAGAGAGAGACAGTGATCAGGCAAGTAAACAAACAAGGCAATTACAGAGCTGTGGTGGAGGGAGAGTAAGCGTGTTTTAATAGAATGATCAGGGAAGGATAACATTTGAGTTGAGACAAAAGATTGAGAAGCTAAGGGAAAATCTGAGGAAGAGAAGACTAGAAAGGAACAGAATGTGCCAGGGCCCCGAGATAGGAGAGAAACTGACATATCCAAGGAACAAAAAGTCCAGTGTGATTAGGATGTATTGAGTGAAGACAGTACTACAAGACAAGGCGGGAATCAGATCATGTGGGTCCTTGGTTAAGAGTCTGGATTTTACTGTATGCCAGGGGTGTCCAACCTTTTGGCTCCCCTGGGCCACAATGGAAGAAGTATCTTGGGGCATACATAAAATACACTAACACTAATGATAGCTAATGAGCTTAAAAAAAAAAAAAAAGGTTTGTATATAATTTTCACGATGTCCGACCACCACAGTAAGAAAAAAAGTCCTCGAATTCAAAGGGTTGGACACGGCTGCTCTAAACACAATGTAAGCACTGGTGGATTGTAAGCAAAGAAGTATTATGTGATTAAAGTTTTAAAAAGCATAGTCCACAAGAAAAACGGGCTGTACGGAGGTAATGGTCGAAAACAAAGCCTTAAGGCTGATATAGTAACCCAGACAAGAGATGAAGGTGGTTTGGGCCGAGTTAGAAGAAACATTGGTAATGGATGGATTTGAAATAGAATGAGGCCTATAGGTGGCAAGAAACTGAGTGTTTATTTGATCTTTACAAAGCTCTGACTGGAAAAACTTCCTGATACTGAACTAAAATTCATCTCGCGATCACTTGTATCTCTTGGGGACAAAAAGTCTTATTTCAGGTACAAGTGACAGCTCTTCAAATGTTTGAAAGTAACTACGTCTCCCAGTATCTCCAACGATCTCCTTAACCAATCCTCATAAAAATAAAGTTTTGATCGCCTTACCATTCAGATTACTGTCTTCTGCTCACCAGTTTGTTTACAATAAAATGCTTTCTTTGTGGGTCAAACACAGAGTAAGAAAATGAGAAAAGGGTATGTAAATAGGCAACGGAAAAAAGCACCAAGGCTCTGGACAGCTATATGCAAGTCAATCTGTAACGGGGAGCTTAAGTCTCCAATTGAAACTTGATCTCTGTAACTTACTCCATTGCAAATGTCACTACGTGAATCTACCTATGCAATGGTTTGCGCGTATGAAACCTGCTCCGCAGATCCATCCATTCTTTCTTGAATGTACAGTCAACAGACTGAGCACATAACCTCGAAAGGGTATAAGTAGGCTCTCAGTATAAAGGTATCTCCAGGGCGTCTTTAGGGTCTTCGCCGAACCCAAAAGTTCTCTGGGTGTTTTGAATGAACACCCTTGGATCGGACCCAGAAATGACCCACCTCAAACCTAATTTCGGGTTTCATTCTAAGGCGAATGGAGCTCGGCCACGTCCAGAAACACTTCTGTAGCAGTTAGGCTGCCCGATCAGGGGGGTTTGCCTTACTGTTCAATGGCACAGGGGCCCATCCCACCCCGGCCCCCTGCGGGCAAGAACTGGGGCTGGACGACCTCACACGGCCAAGAATGGGAGGCACAGAAAAAAGGTAAGCCCTTCTGGGGTCAGGGGAAGGCCCAGGAAGCCCCTCGGGTCCTGGCGCTGGGGTGTGATTGGGGAGGGATGCCGAGGCGGTCGACCCGGCTCGATTCCCTCAAGCCAGAGAAGCACGCAGTGACCTGATCAGACTCCCAGCCCCCCGGCCCGGGGGTGGGCCCTGGGCAGCAAGAAGCTGCCCAGGCCGGCGTTCCGCCGGGAGGCGCCCAGTCACCGGCCCTGACTCAGCTAAAAGCCGGCGCGGCGGCGGCTCCTCCCTCCAGGCGCTGGCTACGGGCCGCACTCACCGGCCGAGGTGATCATGGCTGCGCCCCTCACTCGCCCGTCGGCTCGCTCGCCGTTCCAGCTGCGCAGTGTATCTGTCAGCTCAGGGGCCGCTCAGTTCACCGCGCCTCCTTGCTCCCCGGGTGCGCTGCTCAGTCAGTCGCCTCCTCAGGCCGCCGGCTCGCTTCTCGCCAGGACCCCGCCCGCCCAGGGGCTGCCCGCCACCCCGCCTGCCGCCCGGCGCGAATTCTCCCCTGGCCTGCGTCTTCTGCGCGGCGGTATACTCCCCAGCCCTCGCGGAAGGGTACACAGAGAACACCATTGTTTTCTCTAAACCTCCTCGAGGTCAGGAGTCCCGCGCAACGGAACACTGGTCTGCACCTGAGGTCAGGCATTAGAATGGCCAGCCCTGCAAAGAGAGGACCCCCACCATCACCCGCCATTGCTGAGAGAAAGGGTGTTGAGGGGAGGTGCGAGCATTGCGCGCAGTGCCACCTACTGGTGGGAGGTCTCGCTGCAACACATCTCCCACCAGATAATGCTTAGGGAATTGGGGCTGCCGCAAACAGCGTTTTTTTTTGTTTTTTGTTTTTTTTCCCAGAAAAGTGGCTTTCAATTGTTTTCTAAAGCAAAACCTATCATAAAAAAAAGAAAATCCCCATAGAAGTGCTTTATTATCATAATGAATCCACAAGTAATCATTGGCTTATTATAAAGTTGAACAATGAAGGTTTTTACTTACTTTTGGAAAAATGTCCAGTGTTGTCAATATATTAAAATGTGCAGTAGTTATATGGCGAAAGCCTTTCCAAGGGAGAAAAAATGTCTTCCATTCTTTCCTTCTATCTGCCCAGGTCCTCTTTCCCCCGACGGCAGTGGGTTCTTCGTTTCTAATACATCTTCAGAAATTTGAAATGGCAGTTGCAATGGCCATTTGCAGTCTTATGCTAGCTTCAAGAAGTCAATTTATTTCAAGAGTCAGTACTGAGAAAGTCTTGACAAGGAATAGGGCAAACGGTAGCATTTTTTTCAGCCACCGGCCTTGCACTATCAAGCTAAACTCTTCAATCGCACAGCGATGGCGAGTTCATTTCTACGGCCTTCTACGTAACCTAGGGGCACAATCAATGTCTTGTGGTTGCCAGTGAATTAAATGTGCTTGATAACACATTTTGTTGTATCTGTGACTTTTTTTGTTTAAATTAGAATTCTTAAACTGTGGTTGTTTAAAATATATTAAATATAATTATTGAACATTTTTGAAGAGCCTGTGGCTCAGATTGAAAGGCAGGGCTCGAGAAGATGTGCATGCAAAGTAAACAGATTACTTGGGGTGTCATTCTACAGAGGTACTTCTTTTTTTTTTTTTTTGAGATGGAGTGTCCCTCTGCCACCCAGGCTGTAGGGCAATGGCGCGATCTCGGCTCACTGCAACCTCCGCCTCCTGGGTTCAAGCGATTCTCCTGCTCAGTCTCCCAAGTAGCTGGGACTACAGGTGTATGCCACCACACCCGGCTAATTTTTGTATTTTTAGTAGAGACAGGGTTTCACCATGTTAGCTAGGATGGTCTCGATCTCCTGACCTCATGATCCGCCCGCCTCGGCCTCCCAAAATGCTGGGATTAAAGATGTGAGTCACTGCACCTGGCTCTACAGAGGCACTTCTACCAAGCCCTCACATGAAGACAGTTGTATTCCCCAAACCCCTAGAGGAGTCACAAACAAATGCCAACAGGTAATGAAAATGAGTAAAGCAGGACCAGCGAAAGAAAATACAAGCTCCACAGGATGGTGAATGGCAACTAACAGTGTCAAGGAGGCACTAGGGGGTGGTGGGGACAGTGATGAAGAGTGAATTCCTGGCCGGGCGCGGTGGCTTACACCTGTAATCCCAGCACTTTGGGAGGCCGAGGTGGGCGGATCACCTGAGGTCAGGAGTTCGAGACCAAAGCCTGGCCAACATGATGAAACCCCGTCTCTACTAAAAACAAAAATTAGCCAGGTGTGGTGGCGGGCACTCGTAGTCCCAGCTACTCAGAAGGCTGAGGCAGAAGAATCGCTTGAACCCAGGAGGTGGAGGTTGCAGTGAGCCAAGATCACACCATTGCACTCCAGCCTGGCGACAGAGTGAGACTCCGTCTAAAAAGAAAAAAAAAAAAAGTGAGTGCCCCATCTAAAGAGAGCAACTGCTAAACAGAGCAACTGCTACTCAGTTCCTGCCAAGAATGCAGGGTGACTGTTGGAAGACATGTTTTTTCTAAGAGAAGCCAGAAATCAGAATTTCATGCAACATCTCCAGAATTTTACATGTTGGCTACTAATTCAACATGTTTTAAAACAGAGAGGTGGTCAACATGCCACCTCTGCTCTTCAAGGAGAAGTCATTCTGTATGAGAGGACAATCCTGTCTTCCACTTGGATGCTGTGTGTGTCATTGCCACAACCCCATGTGAGCCTCACGTGAACCTGTGAGATGGGCAAAAGGTAAGTAGCTTGGACACAGACATCAGACTTCTCCCCCCGGGAGGATTCTGTTCTCCCTCCTGAGTGACTGGCCCATGCCTGTGGCTTCTCCCTCTCCAGTCCATTCTGCATTCTTTAGCCAGAGCAATCTTTTCGAAACTCAACTCTGATTACTTCTGCTCCTTCAAATCTTCAGTCCCCATCTTGGATTCTATTTTTTTTATGTGTCTTTCTTCTGTGTTTCTGTCCATGGCCTTCTTCTCACTCCCTGCAACCCCTGTAAGAGTGAAATGCCATTGGCTGCTGTGCACAAGGTGGTGGCTCATAAAATGTGTCTCTACTGCCCTGCGCTTTCTCCTGAGCACAGACTCACACACTTCCTGGGCATCTCTGCTTGGCAGAGTCATAGGCTCCTTCAACTCAGTGACCTCAAAGTTGTGCACGCTGTTGTCGTCCCACAGTTGTGTGTTTCCTTCCTTGACCTCAGTGTGGGTGAAGGACATCCATCAGCCACTGCAACGGAAATCTGACTGTTCTCTTCTCCCACAACAGTCAGCACCAGATCTCCTCTTTAATCTCTCACACCGACCTCTCCCATCCTCACTCCATTACCCAATAGTTGCCTCTCCTTCTTCTTTCCAGACCACGACAGCCTCCTACAGCCTTGACTTCCTGCTTACAGCCCCAGAAGGCTTCAGTCCACTCTTCACAGCCAGCCAGGAGCATGATCAGAACCAACAGGAGCACGACTTTCTCCTCCAGGATGGTGGGACTGTCTTCATGTGGCTGGAGTGTGGCTCTGGCGTGCCACACTCCAGCCATCCTGAACCCCTGAAGCTCCCAGAGTGGCCACGTGGCCATGTACCTTTTCACTGCCCTTTGTACCTGCTCGTGTCTCTGTCGTCAAGGCTCGCTCCCCTACACTCCAGGCTAACACCACTTGTTTTGAGTCTCAGGCGGCACCTCCTCCAGGAAGCCTTTCTTGGCCCAGCCCACCATGGGTTCCCTTAAAGCCTTTACCCTACCCAGCTGGCATCACATCTCCTTGCCCCAGTCCCAACTAGACAAGGAACTACTCAAGAGCAACGCCACATCTTGAGTAGTTCATCTCATTGTCCGCTAGAGTAACTAGCACAGTATTGGGCACGTAATAGGTGCTCAATAAACGTTTCTCAGATGATCGGATGAACACCCGGTCATTTAGTTATTGGCACAGGGCTAGAACTCAGACCTACGGTTCTGAAACCCCCGCCCTGTCCAAGACTCTAAAATGAGCTCTATTTTTTAGGACATAGTGAAATCACGGAAAAAATTCTTAGGATGTGCTCGGTTTAGAAACAACCTCCCTCCAGAGTTGAGTGACACAAAACTTCTCAAAGCCCAATCGAGGTCAGCTGTGGCCTCACACAGGTATCGGCTGGGCTGGGGGCCGTGTCAGGGTGAAGGAAATCGTGGCGGTGCCTGGCCCTGGGTTAGGCGCTCTCTTTCCCGGCGAGGCCACCGTGGTTTCCGAGCTGCCCAGAGCATCTCCCCGCGGCGCCCGCTAGTGGGCGCAAGGCCTTCTAGGAGGCGGGCGCTCCGGAGGAAGCTGTGACCGCCCCTAGCGCACCGCGCATCCTGCAGGCATTCAAATCCCCGGGTTTTAGAAGGGCTCCGTTCTCCCGTCAAGACTCGAGCTCGACTGCCTCTTGGGCTGCACGGAGATAAGGTGGAAAAGGCAGGCCCGTGGAGCCTGGGAGCCCGGGAATCAAATCTCTGCTCTGCCACTTCGCAGCGCAGCGCTGTGGCCGCGGGCGTCCCTCGAGCCCAGCCTCTCCCGCCAAAGGGAAAGGGATGGCTGGATCCACCTACCTGGCAGGGCCGCCGGGACACGCAGCGCAGCGCTCCGCTCAATACACCACAGATTTTACGGCTACTCAGCACGAGGCTGGTGGCTGTTTCACGTACAACACACGAGCCACACGTTTTTAGAGTAAATACATTTATTCATGGGAGCAGAGATGCGAAACGCAGCCGGGTGACACGGGCCTCCCATGGGTGGGTGCTTGGTCAGAGGGAAACGCCTCACCAAGGCTGGAATTGGTCTGGGTGGACTGAGGCACGAAAGGATCGGTAAGGAACTAGGTTCTCTTCCAAGGATGGTGTCCGGGAGGGCGCATATTTTGGGCAATTGGAAGGCTGCCCTGCACAAGCCGACTGCTGGACGCTGCTGTCTTGCCCTTGCCCAAGGGTCTGGGATGACCAGCAAGCTCTGGGTGTCTGGGGAGGCAACTGCCGCAGGAATCACAATGAATCCCCAAGACAGGCCTCTCACCTGTTTCCCCTGTTTTTTGTTTGTTTTTGATACGGAGTCTCGCTCTGTCGCCCAGGCTGGAGTGCAGTGGCGCAATCTTGGCTCACTGCAACCTCTGCCTCCCGGATTCAAGCGATTCTCTGCCTCAGCCTCCCAAGTAGCTGGGACTACAGGTGCCCGCTATCACGCCCGGCTAATTTTGGTATTTTTAGTAGAGATGGGGTTTCATCATCTTGGCCAAGCTGGTGTTGAACTCCTGACCTCAGGTGATCCACCCGTCTTGGCCTCCCAAAGTGCTGTGATTACAGGCATGAGCCACCGCGCGAGGCCTCCCCTGTTCTTGAGGGGTGCTGTCCAATACAGTAGCCACCAGCCATAAGTGCTATTGAGCAGCTGCAATGTGGCTAGTGCAACTGAGGAAATGCATTCTAAACTTTAACTTTAATTAATTGAAATTTAAAAATAGATAGAAATTCCATAACTGCAAAACCTTTCAGTATTTCTGAAACAATTTGAGGATGTGAATGTTTACGACTGTACATTTAATTAAATCTAAATACAGATCAAGTTTTTCTGATGAAAATGTAGTATCTGAATTGGGCTCTAAGTGTAAACTCATGGGATTCAAAGACAATATGCAAAACAGAATGCAGAATGTCTCGATAATTTACAGTTGAAATGATATTTTAGATATATTGGGCTAAATGAAATGTATGCTTAAAATTAATTTTATCTATTTCTTTTTACTTTTTTCTAATGTGGCCACCATAGAAAGCTACCTATGTGCCTGCGTTAGATTCCTCTTAGACAGGGCTGGCTTAGACCCTCTCCTGGGCCTTCTTCCCTCTGACCTCCCATTCAGGCCTGGCCCTTTGGCTTTGCTTCAAGGTTTTGTCCGCTCTTTGGAGCTGCCATGTGCTGGGTCAGACCAGAACCGGGGGCAGAGGCTAAAGGTGAGACCCACTCCCTCCTGTCCCAGAGCAAGGGGCTGGGGGCGGGGGTTGCCCTGGCAGCCAGGAGTTCTGGAGCCGGTGATATACCTGGGACAGTGGTGGTCAGGGTGAGCTTAGGCTGGGGTTATGGTAATGGTTCAGGACAACACCCTTCTTTGAGATATTGTTAACTGGTGAGGAAGAGGAGGAGCTCAGGGCTACAAGACACAGACTAAGTTTCTGTAACCACGACTCAAAATCAGGCTTGGTCACAGGACTAAGCGAGGCACCTAATTACTCTAAGTGCAGATGAGGACAGCAACTTAAGTGCAATTACTCTAAGTGCAGATGAGGACAGCAAATTCAGAGACCCTCAAGCCTTCCTTGAGGGTCTCTGAATTTCACTGGTCAAAGAACAGGCAGTCCCCGGTCTGCATTTGTGGCAGGAGCCCCAGCTGGGGCTGGGGAGCCCAGGAAGGACACCAGAGAGGGTTCTCACCCTTGCCAAAACCACAGCCCCACAGTGGCTTCAGCACCCAGCCCCGGTTTGGACCTGAGCTACCCCACATCCTGGCCCCCACTACAGTGTGAACCATGGCATGTCCCAGGAGGGCCGTCTCTGCCTCCAGTCCCAATTAGGCAGCCCCAATATAAGGGATCCAGAGGGCTCTGGCTCAGACCAAAGGCATCTGAAGGGTCCATGTGGGATCCTGGCTATCCACCCTCTCCCTTGCACCTCATTTTTTCCTGAGCTCCAAGGTTACACAAGTGGCAGGCTGCCCAGGCCAAATTCCACGTCTGTCCCAATCCTCGATCCACTAACACACAAAACCAGGTCAGAAGCGGTTATGCAGCCCTTGGGTACAAACAGCCAGCTTCCTGCACTCACTCACTGGGCTGGCTGTGTTTGCCATACAAACAGGACAAAGTCCAGGCCTCCTGACCCCAGGGAATAAAGCCTGCAGCTTTGCTTTGCTACACTTTAAAGTACAGGCTGCTTTCAAGTTAACCAGGCAGTCCTTCGTCTTCTCCAGCAAGGCTGAATCCACAGTTCTCTGCTAGGGTAAGGGGGGCTCGTTCAGTTCAAAGGTTTGGGGACTCAGCTCCTGGCCCCTTTGCAGGGTTGCCTTAAGTTTTGGGTTTGACAACCCAGGGACTCTTGTGCACTAAGGTTTGGAGACAAACACTAGGAGAGGAGAAAAAGTGTGACCCAAATAGTAGAAAGAATTCTCTGAGACTCAGTTAAGGTTATTTTAGCTCTGGTTAAACATGCATGTGCGTGCTCACACGCTCACACACACACCATTGTATCCTAAGCTGAATGCTGTCTTTTCAAAAATCTGGCCATTGGCTCATGCCTGTCACCTCAACACTTTGGGAGGCCGAGGTGGGAGGATCACTTGAGCCCAGGAGTTTGAAACCAGCCCGAGCAACATAGTGAGACCCTGTCTCTACAAAAATTTAAAAATCATTTTTTAAATATATACTTATGCTTTCTCGCTACAGGTTTTTTAATCCCAGCTGGTACGGCAGGGGAGATGTCACCCAGGGCAGAGGCTGGGAGGCTTTCAGGCCACAGATTTCCACCATTTGCCAAGCTTCCCTGCTCTCCAGGGTCTCTCTGCAAGGAGCCCCTTAGGAGAATGAAGAAGATCCATTTTGTTTTCTATAAGATATCAACGAGGTACTTCTTGGTTTTATTAGATATGAGAATTATCAATTCAAGTCAGAAGTGCCACAACCACTGCCATATTAGAAAGATTAGTACCCGAGAGCCCAGACTGTCACCCGGCTGGAGGCCTCTCGCCGATGGCTCCCAGGGACCACTGACCTAATCAAGGGCCTCCTCCTTCACACGCCACCCTCCACCCCAACCCCTTTATGCCTTCTTAAAGTCCTTCAGGGAGGGGACCCACCATCAAGATTGTCCTTTCTGGCACCTAACTCTTCTGTCTGCTAGAAGACAGCAATGAGACTGTCCCTACAACGATGATGCTTATGGTGGCCACATCTCAAAGAAGCTGAGAGGGATCTCAGCCCCGTATTGTCACTTGGGAGGCAGAACCCAAATCTTAGTAAATGAAGACTTTCTCTCTTGAACCATTCACAGGAATACTGAAGGTAATGAAAAAATAATGTGTAAACCATCCTTTGGAGCAGAGGCTACAAACTCACATGCCCGCCTGGACCAGCACCGGGCAGACGTCTTACATGAGTGAAGTGCAGTGGGGGATGGGAAGGGCGGGGGAGGGGGTAAAGGTGGTGGGGGTGAGCCGCAGCAGACTTGAGATGACAGCATGCCCCATCCTCCACCCAGAAAACTAGGTATTTTTTATACGTAATCTCCCAAGTTTCAAATATTGGCAATACATACAAAAGGTTATGAAGCCTTATAACTTCTGCCTTAGGCAAATTCCAAACTTAAACAAAGCTCCCTCTCCCACTAAATAAGAAAACTTTAATAAGATGATTACAAAGAAATTAATAAAGAAATAGAAAATGATAGCAGCTTCAAAAATACCAGTCTCCCTGTTTTAAAACAAAATCAATAAAATCAGTGAATCACAATTCATTGAACTCATTCTTGGCTACAAGGAAGCAGCTGGATAGATCCACTGGCAGGCAGCCCTGCAGGATTAAAATGAGGCCCACTGCCAAAAAGCCCCAAATGAGATGCCGTCCTCCTCATCCTCACACCATCCTCATCAGGCAGGGAAGGAATAGGATTAGACTCCCTATTATGGAGAATAGGTTGAGGCACAGAGCAGGAAGGGCCCCTTCTTAATATCATAGAGCCCCTCTGTTGGGTCAGACCAGAACTGGGGGCAGAGGCTAAAGGTGAGACCCACTGCTGTCCAGGAGCAAGGGGCTGGGGGTAGGGGCTACCCTGGCAGCCGGGAGTTCTGGAGCCAGTGATCTAGAGCCCCCCAGCAAAACAGGTTTCCCATTGCACCATTTGGCACTATCCTGGAGAGAGCTGAAATAACAAATCAAAGTTAGGCAGCACCTTGCAGGGCACCGAGCAAATAGTAGGCGCAGTTGTGTGTCTGCTGCGTAAACTGTGCATCATGAATGAAGGGAGCTACTTCCCTCAGCTAGTGCCTCCCCTCCAGGGAAATCCAGGAGCTGCCTTTGCCATTCCGAAGACTCTGGATTTCTCCAAGGCAGGCAAAGAAGACAAGGGAGGTAATGGTGAGTTCCCTCCGTGAATAAACACATGGATTTCCCAGCTCTAAGGGAACATCATCGATTCTGTCAGACTCACGGACACAGAGGAAGGGATTCCAGAACCTCACAGAAACAGAGAGCCCGGAGGGGCTGTGTTTGCATTGAGCTTGGGCTAGGACCTGAGAGCTAGAGCAAGTCCTATACCCAGTAGTCCAAGCCCCTAGCTTTCCTTCTGTTTGGTGCCTATAGGAATTCCCTAGCATCCTTATACCCAAAGGACTTGGCACAGAAAGTCGATGTCAACATGAGAAAGAAAGAGGCTCTTTGTTCTCACCGGCATGTGTGGCTATTTCTGTCCTGGCCCTGCAGCACGCAGACCGTCTTGGCCCTGGCCCGACAAGCCCCCAAGGCAACAGTGTAGTCTTTATTTTGGCTTGCTCTGGGAGCCAAGGTCCAGGGAAGCCTGACCCTCTCTGCTCTGGGGGACTCTGACAGGGAGAAGGCATTGGCTCAGCCAGAATGTCTCAAAGGTACTACAATTGGCATTGAATGGACCAATTCTTTGCTGTCAGAGACTGTTCTGCACATTGTGGGATGCCCACTAGATGCCAGGGGTGCCCCCACAGTCACTGTGACCCCCTCAACACACACACATTTCCAATGCTGCCTGGAGGGACAACCTGCCCCTGGTTTAAAGCCACTGGGCTGGTGGCCCCCTCATGCATTTGTGAAACAGAAGCCCCAGAGACTGAGTGACATGTTCAAGGCCATGCCTCAGCTCTGATGACTTCTGGTTCAGAGTTCTTCCCAGCTGCACTCTCAACGATGGGTGCCCATGCATGTGCCCAGAACACTGCAGACACACCATGGGGTGCCACAGCTCTGCAGAGCCTCAAAGCGGACAGCCATCTGTCTCAGTGGCTCAGAGAAACCGAGACAGAGAGACAAAATAACCTCCCTGTGATCAGACTTAGCAAATGCTGGGTGGGGAGTAGGTTCCCAGGGGAGACACTGTTTTAGGTCCTGCTTGTCTTAGTAAGCCCCACTGTCTAGCTGGTAACTGTGAGTGTGGCAGGCCTCCAGCAGGCGGGGGTTTCTGCAGTCTCCATGGAGACCTGGGGGCCAGTAAGACGGAGCCAGGCCCCAGTCTGTAGGTTAGAGCCAGGGACAGCGCAAGGGTCCAGCCTTCATCTTGAGTCTCCGGTGGGCTCAGCAGGAGTGTGTACGACTCCATCACAGGCTTTTGACCCCCTTCCAAGGTCATCACAGTCTCCATTGGGAAATATGGCTGTTAGTGGCAGCTCCTCCTCAGGTTCCTGGAAGTCTTCTGGAACACAGGAGAAGAAATCACTGAATCAGAAGAGAAAGGTTGTGAGTGAGTTATCTAGGAAGGAAAAGGAGAAAGTTGTCCCCAGCAAATACCTACTTAAAAAACAAAACAAAATACATATCAAAAACCTTAACGATGTACACACCCTTTGACCCACAAATTTCACTTCTAGGATTTTATCCTAAGAAAATAATTAGGAATAATTAGTGGAACTGCTGGAGCTATCTTGCTACCAGCCTAAGGATGAAACTGACACTGAAGATGGCCCAACAGAGAGAAAGAGCAAACCTGGGTGTTTGGTGGGGTCCCTGAGCCCCTGAATCAACCAACTCTGAAGCCGACTCCATCTCTGGACTGTCTTTTAGGTGAGATAATGATTTCTCTTACTGCTTGTGCTCATGTGTGTCATGGTATCTTTACTTGCAGTTGAAAGTGTCCCGATTCCATGTCCAACAATGGGACTGGTTGAGTGAACTATGGCTCACACATATAATGGGATTCAGGTATTAAAGACAATATATAAAATTCCACAGACCTAAACACACACACACACACACACACACACACACACACACACACACACACACTGCATAGAAGTAAAATTGGGGAAATCCGAATAAGATCTGTGGATTACGTCAGTGTCAATATCCCGTTTGTGCTATTGCACTATAGTTTTGCAAAATGTTACCATTGGGGGAAACTGGGCAAAGTATACACAGGATCTCTCTGGGTGATCTCCCTTTTTGTTTTTTGAGACAGGGTCTCACTATGTCACTCATGCTGGTCTTGAACTCCTGAGCTCAAGCTATCCCCCTGCCTCGGCCTCGCAAAGTGCTGGGATTTCTGTATGATTTCTTGCCACTGCATGTTAATTTAGAATTACCTCAAAAAAGAAAATATGTTGTTGACATATAATTATTGCTGTGGAAGGCAGTTATAGTATGTTATTGATGAAGAAAGCAGATTCCAAAACAGTAAGTACAGTCACGTGCAACATAATGACATTTTGGTCAATTACGAACCTTAATAAGAGAGTGGTCCCATAAGACTGAAACACAGCTGGCCGGGCGCCGTGGCTCACGCCTGTAATCCCAGCACTTTGGGAGGTCAAGGCGGACAGATCACGAGGTCAGGAGATCGAGACCATCCTGTCTAACATGGTGAAACCCCGTCTCTACTAAAAATACAAAAAATTAGCTGGGCGTGGTGGCGGGAGCCTGTAGTCCCAGCTACCTGGGAGGCTGAGGCAGGAGAATGGCGTGAACCTGGGAGGCGGGGCTTGCAGTGAGCCAAGACGTGCCACTGCACAGTGCAGCCTGGGTGACAGAGCTAGACTCTGTCTCAAAAAAAAAAAAAAAAAAAAAAAAAGATTGAAACACAGCTAAAAAATTCCTGTCACCTAGTAACCTTGTAGTTGTCCTGATGTTGCAGTGCAATGCATTACTCACATGTTTGTGGCAATGCTGGTGGAAACAACCTAACTCGCTGCCAGTCATGTAAAAGTCTAGTACATACAATTATATACAGTAGACAATACTTGATAATAATAAGAAATGACTATGTTACTGTACTGTCTCTCTCTCTCTCTATATATATAAAATTATTATTATTTTTTGAGATGGAGTCTTGCTCTGTTGCCCAGGCTGGAGTGCACTGGCGAAATCTCTGCCCACTGCAACCTCCGCCTCCCAGGTTCAAGCAGTTCTCCTGCCTCAGCCTCCCGAGTAGCTGAGATTACAGGCGTGTGCCACCACGCCCTGGCTAATTTTTGTATTTTTAGTAGAGATGGGGTTTCACCATGTGGGCCAGGCTGGTCTGGAACTCCTGACTTCAGGTGATCCGCCAGCCTCGGCCTACTATATGTTTTAACATTATTTTAGAGTGTACTCCCTCTACTTATATGTGTGTGTGTGTGTATATATATATATATATAAAGATATATATACACACACACGTATATAAAGTTTATATATATATATAGTTAATTGTAAAACTGCCTCAGGCAAGCCCTTCAAGAGGTATCCAGAAGAAGGCATTGTTTATCATAGGAGGTGACAGCTCCATGTGTGTTATTGTCCCTGAAGACCTTCCAGTGGGACAAGATGTGGAAGCAGAAGACAGTGATACTGATGATCCTGACCTTGTGTGTAGGTGTAGGCTAAGGCGCATGTTTGTGTCTTAGTTTTTAGCAAAAAAAAAAAAAAAAAAAAAATTAAAATAGGAAAAAGCCTACTAAATAAGGATATAAAGAAAGAAAATATTTTTGTACATTTCTACAATATTTTGTGTTTTAAGCCAAGTATTACTACAAAAGAGTGAAAAAGCTTTTAATAATTTAAAAAGGTGGTTTTTGTTTGTCTGTTTGTTTGTTTTGAGACAGTCTCACTATGGTGTGCAGGCTGCAGTGCAATGGCAGGAGTACGGATCACTGTAGCCTCGAACTCTTGGGCCCGAGCCATCCTCCTGCCTCAGCCTCTGGAGTAGCAGGGTCTACAGGCACGCGCCATCATGCCTGGCCAAAAAATCAAAAAGCTTATAAAGTAAAAAAGTTACAGTAAGCTAAGGTTAATTTATTATTGAAGAAAGAAATATTTTAAAATAAATGTAGTGTAGCCTAAGTGTACTGCGTTTATATAGTCGACAGTAGTGCACAGCAATGTCCTAGGTCTTCCCATTCACTCACCACTCACTCGCTGACTCACCCAGAGCAACTTCCAGCCTTGAAAACTTCATTCATGGTAAGTGTCCTATGCAGATGTACCATTTTTTGATCTTTTATAGCATATTTTTACTGCACCTTTACTATGTTTAGGTATGTTGAGACACACAGCTACTTACCATTGTGTTACAGTTGCCCACAATATTCAGGACAGTAACCTGCTGTACAGGTTTGTAGCCTAGGAACGATAGGCTATGCCGCATAGCATAGGCATGTAGTAGGTTATACCATCCAGGTTTCTAAGTACACTCTATCGTGTTCACACAACAAAAATCCCCTAAAGATGTATTTTTCAGAATGTATATCCCTGTCATTAAGCAACTCATGATTGTATAAATGCATGTAATTATGATATCCTATATTTATCATATGCTATCAATGTGTGTACATAGTCCATAAATGCCATTTGCATTTTAATACATTCACTTCTATATGAGATTTGTACATACCACAGAGAGAGAAATTATCCAAGATTTATGTAAAATGGTTAATGATTCTGTTGCTTCATCTTTTCTCCTTTAGTTTCCAAGTATATCCAAAATGATGGTGGAGAGGTTGAAGTTAGCATTTTTGCAATTAAACATTTTAAATATCTACTGCATTTTGAAGATGATATAGAAGTGAGTTTATTAAATTTTAAAGAGCACAAGGAGAGATAGGTAAATAGAATGGCGTACCCCAAAATATAATTGTAGTTATCTCTGAATGATGGAATTAAGTGAATGATGTTTCACATTTGTTTTCTTTCTTTTTTTTTTTTGTACTTTTTTTTGAGTTTTCAAACATGACAGGCAGAATTCTAAGACAGCCCCCAAGATTCTGGCCCCTTATAAAGCCCTTCCTTGAGTCTGGATGGGCTCTGTGAATGTGATAGCTTAGTCACTCTGGGGAGTAGGTTGTCTCTCTGACAAATGCAATGGCTAGTGACTACCTTGACTCCTTAGGTTATGTGGACTCCCTCCTAGCAGACTGGAGAGCGGGGTTCTCCTGCTGATTGAAGGAGGATCTCTTGTGAGAGGGCTTGTGAGAGCAAGGAATGGCAGGGGCCTCTTGGAGCTGAGAGCAGCCCCAGCTGACAGCCAGCAAGAAGTCAGACACCTAATCAATGCCTTTGAAGCTGCTAAGCTTGTGATTATTTATTTATTTATTTATTTTGAGACGGAGTTTCACTCTTGTTGCCTAGGCTGGAGTGCAATGGCACAACCTTGGCTCACTGCAACCTCCACCTCCGGGGTCCAAGCAGTTCTTCTGCCTCAGCCTCCCAAGTAGCTGGGATTACAGGCATGTGCCACCACACCCGGCTAATTTTGTATTTTTAGTAGAGATAGAGTTTCACCATGTTGGTCAGGCTGGGCTTGAACTCCTGACCTCAGGTCATCTGCCCACCTTGGCCTCCCAAAGTGCTGGGATTACAGGCATGAGTCACCATGCCCAACCTACTTGCGATCATTTCTTATGCAGCAATGAAGACTGACACATCAACTAATGGTTTTCTTTCTTAAATGAGAGACACAATGAAAGTTAATTTTGAACCACCATCCATTGTTTCTGTAACAAAGCTATACTTCTCAGTGCACTTTGGGATGGGCTGTGTGCATTCAGCAGGCTACACCATGCTTCCGAGTACTGTAGCCACCCCCATCCATGGCGTCACTATCCGCAGTTTCAGTTACCTGCGGTACAGTCCAATAAGATATTTTCAGAGAGATACCTCATTCCTGTAACTTTTGTTATATATTGTTAAATGTCTTAACTGTGCCTAGTTTATAAATTAAGCTTTATCGTAGGTATATATGTACAGTAAAAAACACAGTGTATACGTAGGGCTTGGTGCTACCCATGGTTTTAGGCATCCACAGGTGTCTTAAAGCATCTCACGTGGATAAGGGGGGGATCAGTGCGCTTCCTATCTCTCTAACATCAGCATTGACATGGAGGGGTGTCTTCCCCTTCCCCTTCTCCCTCATTTCCATTTAGTGGCCTGATGATTCCACCTAGGAGTGGCTCCGGGTGAGTTTTCTCCCCTCCATTCCCACTGCCCAGGTCGGGCCCAGGCCGCCTGTTATCCCTCCTGGGACACGACAGCCTCCTCCTAGGTGGGCTCTGCCGAGGTGTCTCCCTCTCCTAGAGTCCATCTCTCTAAACACACCCCAATCTCTCTGCTCAGAAATCGCTCATGGCACACTACTCCTGAAGGCTGCACATCTGGGACACTGATTTGGTCCAAACTCTTCCCTTCAGCCTTGGCCCTCACTGGTTTCCTTCTGCACCTCACTCCCAGGGCCTCTCGAAGGTGGTCCCTTTTCTGAGCATGACATCATGCTGTCACTCCTTAGCTCAGTGCTCCTTTTCCAAAACTTCCCATTTCTGCCTACGAAAATCCCTCCATCCCCGGATCAAATATCACTTGCTCTAGGATACTCCCTGGACCCTCCAGGGAGACTTGCTGTGTTTGGTCCCATGCACGTCCCATGCACCCCACCATGCTCCTGGAGACACCTTTGTTACAGCCCTCCCCATACTGCCTTCATTAGGTGGAGACTCCTGGGGAAAGAGCCCAGCCTGACCGAGCCCATGTGCCCACTGCCTGGCATATGGGCACCTCACATTGCTCATCCCCACACCTGGCACATGGCAAGCACTCCATAGATGTTGGTCCACTCTGTCCCTAAGGTCCCCAAGTTCACGTGACCACTCCCATAATTCCATGCACCTGGCCCTCAGGATGCAGGAGGTCGGGGAGCACTCACCCTGAGCTGAGCTTCTGCAGGCAGCAACATCCTGGTTCTTCCTCCGGCTCCAGGGACCCCAGGAAAAGCAGGCTAGCAGTCCGGGGAGGCCTGGCCTCTCCCAGGCTCCTTCCACTAGGAAGAACACAAAACCTGAGTCAGAGGGTCACATGGTTCCCACTTCACAAGACTGAGAGATTTCGTTTAGCAAATCAAGTGCCCCAACGGTCAACTGCCCTAGTTTCAACTGTCTGATTAAAAACACAGAGTCTGATTTGCAAAAGTGGGTGGGTTTTTAAAACCGAACTTTAAAAATGATTGCTTTACTTTTATCTATGTTATCTCATTTAATTCTTACAAAAGCCCTGTGATGTAGGTACCATGTTGAGGAAATAAAGCAATGAAAATGACATGAAATTAATTACAATTACATAGCACCAAACAAAATACTCAAAGAGCTGCACGTTCCCTCTGATTTTAGTTCAAACTATTTCTTGGCAGGAATAGATACATTTTTTAGTAATCTATAAAGTCAACAGGAACTAGGTTGTTTATTTTATTTATTTATTTATTTTTAAAAGACTTCAGGCAACCAAAACAAGGAAAATCCTTGTTCATAATCTTTATTCAGGACCAATTTACTCTTAACCCGCACCCAAAGGTAAAGAGACTGTATCCTTAGTTTTTCAACCCAAAGGCAGCTGGATTAGGTACCACGAACTGGGTAAAAGGGCACTGCCAAAAGGCAAGCAACCTAGAATAAGAATTATCATCAGACGGTGAGGAAAGAAATTGGAAAACTTTAAAAAAACAGATCCAACCACTAGCGAAATCTTAGTGACATGAATCCATTTGGTGTGAAGATAATAGTTCTGCCCACTGCAAAAGCTGCAAAGAAATCAGTGGGCTATAAGTTATAATTCCACTCACGACCTTTAGTCATTTGCGAGAGGTTTAATTTTGTTCAGTATGTTTTTATAAAAGTAGGAAAGCGCTTAACATAGAGAACAATTCCCTTGCAAAGTGTTAAAATCTCAAAAGTATTAGTGTTTATTTAAAAGGAAGGGAGGATTCATTCACTCTGTCTGCATGCCAGGCAGGGTATCAGGAAATGGGACTGCAGATGGTGTTTAAACCCACAAGGGAACAAAATCATGTTCACAAGGGAACGAAATCATGTGGTAAGAGCTCAGAGAGCAAAGGGATAAAGGGTTCTGGGATTTCGCCAGTGAACTTGCAAGTGGGAGCAGGGAAGGTCAAGGGAGGCTTCCCGGAGGAGGAAGTCCAGTTCTGAATGCACAAATGGGATTGGCCAGGTGAGGAGGAGGGAGGAGAAAAGGCTCTTCAGGCTCAGGCAACAGCAATGTGTCTACAAAAAGCTTAGGAGGGACAGGGCGTGGTAGTTCATGCCTGTAATCCCAGCACTTTGGGAGGCCAAAGTGGGTGGATCACTTGAGGTCAGGAGTTCGAGACTAGCCTGGTCAATATGGCGAAACCCCGTCTCTACCAAAAAAACAAAAATTAGCTGGGTGTGGTGGCAGACGCCTGTAGTCCTAGCTACTTGGGAGGCTGAGGCAGAAGAATTGCTTGAGACTGGGAGGCAGAGGTTGCAGTGAGCAGAGATCGCATCATTGCACTCCAGCCTGGGCAACAAAGAGAGACTTCATCTAAAAAAAAAAAAAATGCATGCACTCATTAGGGTATAGAAAATGTGTGTGAATTCCCTTCTTTCTATTGGAGGCCTGGTCAGCAAAGGGGTTGAAACAAAAATCAGAACAATCACAGCCTCAACAAAAAAATGGATTGCACCCTAAGGGAGGAGGGTTAGGGCAGGCGCGCTCGCCCAGGCAGGCCAGGCTGGCAGGTGAATGTGACATTGGCAGCATCACAGGTGACAGGTCTCCTTGCTGGGACCCTCCGCCCCCCAACCAACGCCAATACTCCAGGAGACACACAATACAGCCACTTTCTTCATTATCTACTTAAGAGGAAGGGGCTGGAGGGCTTGAAGGGCTGCCCAGCTGGGCAGGGAGAGAAAGCTGGGAGCTGGAGAGTGCAAAGATCTCCCGGGTTTGCCAGATGCAGCTACTCTTTTTTTTTTTTTTTTTTAATACTTTAAGTTTTAGGGTACATGTGCACAACGTGCGGGTTTGTTACATATGTATACATATGCCATGTTAGTGTGCTGCACCCATTAACTCGTCATTTAGCATTAGGTATATCTCCTAATGCTATCCCTCCTCCCTCCCCCTACGCCACAACAGTCCCTGGTGTGTGATGTTCCCCTTCCTGTGTCCATGTGTTCTCATTATTCAATTCCCACCTACGAGTGAGAACATGCTGTGTTTGGTTTTTTGTCCTTGCGATAGCCAGATGCAGCTACTCTTAATGTGCATATTTTCATCCTAGAACATTGGAGAGTTCCTGTAAAGCCTTGTGTTCCAGGAGGAAGGAGATCCTGACCCTTCTGCTGATGGCAGCAGTCACGGGGGCTGGGAAAAGACCCTTAAATCCCTTCCACCTTTCAGGAGAATGTGGAGGGAAAAGGTGGCCTCAGCAGACCTGGGGGAGGCTGAGGGACACAGCAGTTGGGTGCACAGCCTTGGTGGGTGGCCAGAAATCAATAGAAAATGTACTCTTAGTCCCTCTCACCTCCCCACACGTCAAGTCCCGAGCACCCATTCCTTGCCCTCTTCCTAAAACCAGGCAGGGCTTCCAGGACGAGCCTCCACCGCGCTGGAGATGCCCCTCCGCCCCTCCTAGAGCTCCCGACGCATCTCTGGCTGCGCAGCGCCCTAGAATTTAGCTTCTGGCACCGCCAATCTCCTTAGCACCCATCCACCCCCTTGAAACTTTCCCATCCCAAGGCTTTCCCATTTCCTTCCCCACTCCTCTTCTCTCCCCACCCCCACCCACCCCGTAACTCCTAGATCTCGGCCTTGCCCGATTCATCCCTTCTCTCTACCCACTCCCTCTGCCTTCTACTCGGCCCCTCAGCTTTCCCACGCCCCCTAGGCATCTCCCGTGCACTCCGGACCCTTCCGGGACAGACTCGATCCGCTACGCACGGCCCGCTCTCCGCTAGCTGCGAGGCCTGGCTCTAGGCACCTCCCTGCTCTGAGCCTCAGTTTACCTCGGTGCTCAATAAGGGAATGGCCAAAGGGGTCCAACTTGGGGGACGTGCCCGAGCCACCGCCCGCCCGCGCCCAGCCGGGCCCCGCGCAGTCTCACCTGGTTGCCCGGCTCCGGCGGCTTGCAGGGCCCTGCAGGCGGCCGCCTGGACGGCCAGGCAGGAGGCCGGGAGGCCGGGGCAGTAGGCGGCCGCCTGCACGGGCCCCCCCGCCTGGCGGCCGAACACGGCGCGCAACAGCGCCTCCAGCAGCCGCAGCCCCGGCGCCACCGCGTCCTCTGGCCCGGCCTCGGCCACCAGCACCCCGACCAGCGCCGCCCCGGCCCGCCGCCGGCCGCGCACGTCCCGCAGCATCTCCCGCAGGCGGCGCCGCGGCTCCCGGGCGGCCAGCGACGACGCGCGGCACAGCACGAAGACCAGCGGCGAGCGGATGGCGCGCGCCGCCGCCGCCGCCGCCCCCGCCGCCCCAGCCGCCCTCGCCGCCCTCTGCGCCCCGCGCGCCGCCCCGGGCCCCGCGCCCTCTGCCGCCGCGCCGCCCGGCTTGGCCGCGCCTGGCTCCGGCGGGAACACCGCCCGTGCGAAGTCCCGCAGCAGCGCGCGGCTCTGTTCGCGCTCCCACAGCTCGCCCACCAGCAGCACCTGCCCGCGGCCCCCCGCCGCTTCCACCAACGCCTGGAAGGGCGGCTCGGCAGGGCGCGCAAGCCGGGCCGCCAGCGCCTCCAGCTCGCGCTCCATGCTGGCCGCCGCCCGCCCTCTGCGGCCGCCGCGGCCCGGGCGCACCCGCTGCCCGCCTCTCGGGGCGGTGGCGCCCCGGCACAGAGGACACGCCCCCGAGGGCCGAGCCCAGCCGGACCCCCGGGCCCCCGGGCGGGGCCTCTGTGTGCACGCGCCCCTGGGCGCAGCCCGCATCGCGGGCCCGGGTGGGAGGAAGAGGGCTTTCTCCTCAGCCCTCCAAGGGTGGCTCCTCCCGAAGTCCCTGCGCAGACGCGGGGAAACAGAGAGTCATTCATTCATTCATTTGTTCGTCCATCCCACACATACTTACTGCGCACCTACTATGTGCAGGCGCTGGGCAGCCGAGGTTGGGAAGACAGACAATTATCCCCTCACTAGATAAGATCGTTTGGAGACCTGGAGCAGAGTCCTGCACAGTTTGGGGTCTTGCCGAGGTGGGGTGGGAGGTAGGGGGGTAGGGGGCGGAGGGCGCAGAAGTGGGTAGGAAGGTGAGATAAAAGAGAACACGCAGGGGTTATTTCTGCCACCCAGCTTTCCTTTTGGGCTTCAACATTTAGCAAAAACTGACCGAGGGTCCATTATTTCCACAAATACTTATTGTACCACCCCAGGCGCTGGGGTTGAAACCCAGACTGTTTCCGTAAAGCAGAAAGTCTAGGGGGCCAGATGCAGGACACGGATGGTGCTCTGATCTGCGTGGGGAGCAAGGGGCCAGCCAGGTCAGAAGCAGGAATGCATTTCCCTTCCTTCTAAGGATCTAGGTCAGCCTTGTCCAATAGAACATTCTGTGATGATGGAAAACTTTTTTATTGTCTGCACCATATGTGACTATTATTGAGTACCTGAAATCTGGCGAGTGCAACTGAAGAACTGAGTATTACATTTCACGTAATTTGTAATGAAATGTAAAATTAAAGCAGAAAGTGACAAGATGATAATGTACTTAAAGGGCTGGCACCTTTCTCTGAATAGTACCCTAAAGACGCCGCAGAAGCAAGAGGGGAGTTGGTAAGGACTCTGAGAAACCAATGTAAAACCAGGGAAGGCCTGTCGCCTCCTCCCCTCAGTGCCATAGAAGGGGGATAGGCTGAGTGAACGCTATACACTTGTGCTCTTTTCTTTGCTTGCATTGGCCTGAGTAGACCATTTCTCAACCCCATCTCCCCAGCACTGCTGGGAGGCAGAAAACAGCTGTGCTAGCCAGGGATGGCATATCAGGCTGGGGCTAGCAGCACAGAAAAACCAGACCCGGCAGCCTCTTCTTCCCACTTCATGGGTCAGGAATTCCAACCACGAGACCTGCCTCATGAAAGAGGATTGGCCAGGGGAGAGTGCCCAGAAGCTCCCTGAGTGGGGTGTCTGGTGTGTGTGAGGGTGGCACATGGGGAGTGGCTACATTCACATTTGATGCCAGAGGCAAGTCCCATCACACCCCCATTCCTTAAGCTCCCAGGTGGGATATATAGGAAGAGCCTAGGTTTTAGTCTCTTCCAGGTGTACCTATCGCCAACCAAAGTAGCTGATATCTAGGGAAACATGAATTCACTGGGAAAAATAATTAGACTTCTGGGGCCGGGCGCTGTGGCTTGTGTCTGTAATCCCAGCACTTTGGGAGGCCAAGGCAGGTGGATCACCTGAGGTCGGGGATTGGAGGCCAGCCTGACCAACATGGAGAAACCCAGTCTCTACTAAAAATACAAAATTAGCCAGGCATGGTGGTGCATGCCTGTAGTCCCAGCTACTTGGGAGGCTAAGGCAGGAGAATGGCTTGAACCCAGGAGGTGGAGGTTTTGGTGAGCTGAGATCGTGCCATTGCACTCCAGCCTGGGCATCAAGAGCGAAACTCTGTCTCAAAAAATAAATAAATGAATAAAATAAAATAAAAAATAAAAAACAGTTAGGCTTCTGGAAAGTATAAAACAAAGCAGGTTTAATGGATATATGAATTAAGATTCATTTCTTAATAACACAGACAACACTAATAACAATGAAAATTTCTTTTTCTCTTTTGTAGACGTTTGGGGATGGACAGTTTATGGCTGAAATAGTATAATAGTTCTGCTTTACTAGGTGTTTGAAGACTCAGATTTCATACCAAGTCACTATTGCCCTCTGACATCTTCATAATCCAAATTGGCTGCTAAAGCTTGGGCCATCACACCTGTATTCCCAGAAGCTGGGTAGTAGAAGGACTGAGGAAGGAACAAAAATCTGGTTGACTTCAGATTTCTTAGCAACAACATTGGGTTTAAGAAAAAATGGAAAAATTGTTTTAAAGTATCAAAGAAAAATAACTTTGACCCTAGATTTGGATTTCTAGCTAAATTATCAGGTATATAAAGAATCAGAAGGCGTATCACATATAGCCCCTCTTTGAAAACACTATTGGAGGAAGTGCCCTATCAAAAAGGGAACTAAATCTGGCTGGGCATGGTGGCTCACTCCTGTTACCCCAGCACTTTGTAGACTGAGGCTGGCAGATCATCTGAAGTCAGGAGTTCAAGACCAGCCTGGCCAAAATGGTGAAACCCCGTCTCCAATAAAAATACAAAAATTAGCTGGGCATGGTGGTGTGTGCCTGTAATCCCAGCTACTTGGGAGGCTGAGGCAGGAGACTCGCTTGAACCCAGGAGACGGAGGTTGCGGTGAGCCAAGATTATACCAGTGTACTCCAGCCTGGGTGACAGAGTGAGACTATCTTAAAAAAAAAAAAAAAAAAAGAGGAACTAAGAGTGCTCAATAATAGCAAGTAAGAGGGATTAAATCACTTGTCTAAATAACAGTGCAAGGCCATGCCAGCAAAGCACAGCCTAAGTGGGTATAATAAACTGGGAGGGTGGGTGGCAGAGCCAGGGTGAAACCTACAAGTTGACCAGAAAGGGAATTAACCCCATCCAGGTCACCTCTGAGGAAGAGAGAAAGACAAGTTCTAGAGAAGCACTGTCAGGTATACTGGGATTTTTAGCACATTCTTACAAGGCTTGTCTAAAACCAACATGCTCTGCCTCCTGAACTATATATTCTCAGCCTCTAAATCTCCACAACTAATTACAAATTTCCATAGGCGGGATGCGGGATGGATCAGAGGGGGGTGGAATGTTAAACGAAGGTTGGAGTCCAGGGCCAGTAAAGTTTATCTTTATCTGTGTTATTTACACAGCAAAGGTTCTGGTATTAAATTAACAGGAAACTGCAAAGATCTTTTTTTTTTTTTTAAAAAAAGGCAAGATGCCAAGAATATTTCTTCCTCCTCTCCCACCGCACCTTAGAAAAACATCATAAAATTAATGGACTTCTTCTTTCTCTGGTGTTCAATGAAGATATAAAGTAAACTGGGATTTTTGAAATACTTTACCTCTTCATGTTCATTTAAACAGAATTTGGTGGGAATCAAGTGATAAGAGACTGGTGTGGTGGCTCACACCTGTAATCCCGGTACTTTGGGAAACTGAGGTGGAAGGATTTCTTGAGCCCAGGAGTTTTAGACCAGCCTGGGCATCATAGCGAGACCCCATCCCTAAATAAACAAACAAACAAAAATCAAACAGCTAGTTGGGTATGGCAGTGTGTATCTAGTCACAGTTACTCCTTGGGAGGTTGGGGTGGGTGGATGGCTTGAGCCCGAGAGGTCGAGGCTGCAGTGAGCCGTGATTGTGCCACTGCACTCCAGCCTGGGTGAGAGATCAAGGACTTGTCTCAAAAAAAAAAAAAAAAAAAAAAAAGTGACCAGAAAGTGTTGGTTTGGAAAACAAGGAGTAATCTCCCTCTAGTTGCTTGCCAGCTCCTTTTCCCTCTTTACTCACACTCTGTCACCCTATTCTCCTCTCCTTCTTTCTTCCTTTCCCCGCTTCCCCTCTCCCCACCTCCCCCTTTCTCTCTTCTTTCCTTTCCTTCCTCTCTTCTCTCCCTGTACTTTTCCGCTTTTTCCCTAAGATGTTTGATTTGGGGGCTAAAAGGAAGGCTGGACCTGGGGAGACTTTCTGGCTTCCTGGGGAGCTGGGTGGAGGGAGGAAGATCTTTAACATGAGGAAGACCTCAGAGGGAAAGGAAATTGGAGGAGCCCCCAGGACCCACGGAGGAAAGAGGCTGAGGTGGGAAGAGGGGCTGGAAACTTGAAACTGGGTCTAACAAGTGCTGGGTGCCCCTGAGGTGGAGCAGGCCTGCTCGCTGGTGTGCTGGGACTTCGTTTCCTCCTCTGCCAGGCCCAGGCTGGTTCCCATGAGGGCACCAGGAATGCAGATCTCTGTGCCAGCTGGTGTTCTTATGGGGGTCAAATATCTCAATTTCGCCTGAACTTTAGGGGTCTGGTGAAGGTTTGTTAACCCACTTATGCAGGAGGTTGCAATTTTTTGAATTGCAGACATGTGTGAAAAATCAGACCTTGGCAATGACCTTGAGCAGCAGGAAATAAATAACTCCCACATGCTTAGCGTTCCAATAATGGAACACTAGGAATAAATGGGATTGAAGAAGCCTGCAGGAAATGCTGACGGGCAGAGACCAGGCTTCAGTGCCTATCATGCTCCTGCTGAGCCCTGGACTAGTCAGTGGTGCCAGGAGGAGGGGCAGGCAGGCCCCCAGGACACACCTGTACTGGCTGAGGGCATCACAGTGGGGGCAGTCCTCCGTCAGCCAACACCTGGCACATAACTGTGGGGAGAGTGTCTACACCTGTCACCTTGGTGGCCACAGCTGCAAGGTGACTTCGTGGGGATCTGTGAGCATCTGAGGCCCCAGTAGGGGTGAGGAGGAGAACAGCAGCTCATTTGTGCAGCAAGGACATATGGTGACTTCGAAGCCACTCAATTTGGGCCTCCTTTCAAATCTACTGGGCCAGATCAAGTTAGAGCTTCAGTGTAAGTCTCCCAAGGTCCCCTCCTGGGAGAATGGCACCAGCCAAAATTGGCCAGGAAGAAACCATGGTCTCTAAGAGTTGAATGGGACCCTGGTTGGCCTTTCCCTCCCCCAGGACAGGGCTGCACCAACTGCACCCAAGCTGGCACCTCAACTGTCAGGCCCATTGAGGTTAAAGTGGAGCAAAGAGCAGTTATTACTGGAGGCAACCTTATTCCTCCCCCAAGTCTCAGAGCAGGTGCCCTTTTATAGACTATCAAATACAATGTGAGCTGTATCTGTGGGGTGGGCATGAGGGCCGGTGCCCACCACAGACGCCCTGCCCCTGTACCTGTATGTCTCATTCTGTTCACTTTCTGCAGCTCCTCGGTCCCCGGCTGATGAAAAAATAGGAAGTGTGCAAGTGTTGGGGCAATGGGCAGTGGGTGACTTCATGATCATCGTTCATGAGGTGCCTGATATAGAACAAGGTGACCATTAAAATAATCTTATGATAACCTTAGTTGCCCAAGCCAGCTCCTGGCCAGTGCCTCTCTTTCCCAGAGGGGTGGATCAAGAACCCGGTCAGGAAGATGGGCTCAGTGAGTGCATGGAAACATGAGGTTCCTCTGCACCAGATCTTGTCAGAGCTCTGTGACTGACCCTGACGTGACTCTGCAGGACAGGGAGCTTCTGTGATCACTGGCTAGAGGATGTTCAGCTTACCAATTTCAGGTTGCACTGGACAAAGATGATGGCGGTGTTGCTAATGACACTAAGGTGGCACCACCTCACCACTTTAGAGAAACTCTCGCTTCACCACTTTAGAGAAGCCTCTTATCAGTGGTAGCGGCAGATGGACAGGCAGTGGTTGCCAGTAGAGCTTTCTGCAATGAAGAAATTGTTCTAAATCTGTGCTATCCAGTACAGTAGCCACTAGTCACATGAGGCTATTGAACAGCTGAGATGTGGCTTGTGTGACTGAGGAACTGCATTTAAAGTTTTGTTTAATTTTAAGTAATGTAAAGTTAAGTTTAAATGGCACGTGTGGCTAGTGGCTCCCATATTGGACAGCACAGGTCTAGAAGGTATGCTATCATCATTCTCTTCCAAGGTTGATTTATTTCCATGGCCTGATTAACAACTTAGTTTAGATTGGTTTTCAGGTTTAGACAGTGACAGGACAAAGGTACTGGCTGTGGCAGACACTGTTGGTTTTCTGCTCATTGGCCACTCATGCTTACTGAGCCCTGATTTTGGTGTAAAAGCAATGGACCCAGCCTCAGGGGTTGAAGCGTGAATAGATGAAGCCAACTGTTCTTCATTGCTAGTGATTGGTCTTGAGGTGGGCATGCTGCTCACTTCTAGCCAGTCCAAGACAAGGAGAGATTTCCAGGAAAGATTTCCTTCCCTGACTAGGGAAGTTGACAGGCCCTTTTGGGGCCATCACCTTCCTTGCTTCACAGAATGTTGTGTGAAGACTTGATATTTGGAGCTATGGCAGCCATCTTGCTACCATGAGGGAAAGGCCAAAAGAATTAGTATCTTTCTATGAATTGTTAACGATATTTGGAAAAGCTCAGTGAACACCTTACTTCTTTGGTGTTGTCAGTTTTCACTGCTTTGAGAGGAATTCTGCCCTTCAAATTGTATAACCCAACATCTTCCTTAAATTGTTTTATATTGAGATAGGACATAAATTATTAAATAAAATATTTAAAATAGGTCAAATAATAGATTGCCTTTAGAAGGAAATCCAAGCTACTGGTAACAGGATGGCTTCTGACAAAGGGAAATGACAGGTTAAGATTTATGGGTGGGAGGGACATTTAACACTGCCTATCCATTTGTTTGTTTTGAATTTTGTTCCACAGGAATGAACTGTCTACTCAAAAATAGGTTTATTAAAGTTAAGGCCAGGCGCAGTGGCTCATGCCTGTAGTCCCAGCACTTTGGGAGGCCGAGGCAGGCAGATCACTTGAGGTCAGAAATTCGAGACCAGCCTGGCCAACATGGTGAAACCCCATCTCTACTGAAACTACAAAAATTAGCTGGGCATAGTGGTGAGCTCCTGTAATCCCATCTACTCAGGAGGCTGAGGCAGGAGAATCACTTGAACCCGGGAGGCAGAGGTTGCAGTGAGCTGAGATAGTGCCACTGCCCTCCAACCTGGGCAACAGAGCAAGACCCTGTCTCAAAATAATAATGATGATAATAATAATAATACTACTAAAATAAATAAAGTAGTACATGAGGATCTTATTTTGCTGCATGGAAGTAACCACCCAAAAACTCAAACCTGAGTTGTTAAAAGTATGTGTTGTTTACATAGGTGTGTTCACTTTGTAAAAATGTATTGAGCTGGTCACTTATGATTTATGTCCTTAATAACAAGTTTACATTAAAAAAGCGGTGGCCTTTTTGGAGTGGAGCTCAGAGTTGGAAGGAAAACCAGGAGGCGGCTTTGTTTCCATTGTAAAAAGCTGTTCTACTTGCCCTAAAAAAAAATTTATGCATATTATTACATACTTTGATTAGAAAATATATTAAACAAAGTAGAAAAGAAAAAAGCTAAACAGCTTGCCGCTATTTGGGATTGCTGTCTTTAAGAGCCAAGCCTTGTCCAATCTATTTGTATAAAACACTGAGTAATTAATCTACCCGTTCACTTATTTCCTATTGGAAGCCATAAGGAGGCCATTGGTGAATATAAGTAACTTCTGGAGCATCTAAGGCACCTCACCAAGTCCTAGGCCTGATACGGTCAGTGCAGTGGACCAGCACGATGTCCTGCAGGATGGTGAGGTGGCTAAGGTCCACCCAGCACAGAGCCCACGAGCAAGATGCAGACAATGTGCTGCTGTCCACCCCTCCAGGAGCCACCATTCTGCACTGGCCAGAAGACGGGAGACTTACGTAGAGCTGTGAGGGGAATCACCCACTGCCTCCACATGCGCGCGTGCGCACACACACACACACACACACCCACCCCTTTTGACTCATTCACAGTGATATCAACATCTGTGTTCCCAGCAGGGACGCAGTGTTCCTCTAGATTTGCTATTTTGTTGAAGGGACTGGGGAGGGTCCAAGGGCTTCCCTTTGCTCCCTCTGTCATAATAGCCCTTACTTTTTGGGTCACAGAGCCAGTGTGGAGATTCCACCTGTAGCTTAGGGGATCTATTCCAACTCTACACCCAGGCACTGGAGAAGTGATGGGTTCAGGATTCCATCAGGCCTACCATGAACAGGAATCCCATCAAATTTGTCAGTAGTGTTCTGTTCCCCAGGGGGTCTGTGTCAGTTTACAGTTACTGTCCCAAACCCCCTCAAAGGTCTGGATCATCCCTTTCCCCACTGTAGTTTCCCTGGTCCATGGTCAGTTCCCCTGTGGGAAAGGAAGGGCTAAAACAGAGAATATTTTTTTGATGTTATCACATGGTCTTTTCTCAAGGGGACCTGGCAGCCACTTAATTCAAGGGACATATCAAAGAATCCCCACTGGGATGTTCTGCTGGAATCAGGGAGACCAAGAACAGTCAGCTTGGGATGCTGGCCCTGGCATTATTGCTGCTGGCCCCTCAGGACCATGGTATTGGACTCTTGACTCTGCTGCAGCCATTGTGAAAAATCTCTGGTTGACCACAGGGCCTTTGCATCACTTCCTCACAATCCAAAGCCCTTGGCAGGAGCATCTGATTGGCTAAGCTCAGATCACATGACTATGTACTAGTTATAAAGAGCCTGGAAGAGAGAATATTTGATTCCCTGTTGGCTTCCTTAGAGAGAAGTAGATAGACCCTGGCACCCCACCTGCCCAAAAGACCTCCCACTCCAATAGAATGATATCTATCTGGGCACCAGGTAAGCAAAATGGTGATTTAAAAAAAATCTTTGATTTTTGTGTGGTTGGGTTTTCTACAATGAGTATTTATTACATGCATAAATTTTAACAAGGAGTCTGTCATTGTGTACACTTTATTTTATTTTATTTTATTTTGAGATGAAGTCTCGCTGTGTCACCCAGGCTGGAGTGCAGTGGTGCGATCTTGGCTCACTGCAACCTCCGTCTCTTGGGTTCAAGTGATTCTCATGCCTCAGCCTCCCGAGTAGCTGGGATTACAGGCGCCCACCACCATGCCTGGCTAATTTTTGTATTTTTAGTAGAGATGGGGTTTCACCATGTTGACCGGGCTGGTCTCGAACTCCTGACCTCAAGTGATCTGTCCACCTCAGCCTCCCAAAGTGCTGGGATTACAGGCGTGAGCCACAACACCTGGCCATTGTGTATATTTTTCAGTCAACCAATTCCAACAGTACAATTACTATTATACACATGGGGAGCATTAAAAATATTTCCTGAACCTGAAAAGGTCAGGAACACTGATACAAGAATTTGGGGCCCAGTCATTTGTGTGTGAGTCTGAAGTTGAAACTGGAGTGGCCTGTCTGGGTCCTGCTTGGCCCCGCTCTGTGGGGGTTCTGGTGGCCTCTATTTGGGCCCCTTGAATTTCAGAAGAGGTTGTTAACCCTGCGCAGCTGTCTATTCAAACATTGAGATTTACACTTAACCAGCAATGTGGAATATTCTGGATCCTTGTTAGATCAGAGCCACAACCTCAAACTCACTGCTATTCAATACTTAGCAAACATTTGGTCGAATTGAAGAAACATTTAGGAAGACTTGTCTCCATGGCAGTACAAAGAAAAAGCGTGCTCTCTACTCACAGCACTTCTGGCACCAAATACGTGGCTTTTCCATATCACGAAATTCTCCAGTTCTCTGAGGATACCAGCTGGGTGTCCAGTGATTCAATTCTAGCATGAACAAACTAGAGTTCCATCAAAGCATGCAGGTTAAGGGCTCAGTCCCACAAGCCTGCCCCCCACTTCAGACGCCAATCTCAAATAGTGGGCCCCCAGGTTATTCACACTTCTGTCTGACTTGGCTACAAATTGGGGACTCCTATGAACCCTTCCTCAGGTCCGTAATTGGTTCTAACAGCTCACATAACTCAGGGAAGCACTTAATTTGTGTTTGCTGGTTATTATATGGGATACAATAAAGGGCACAGATGGAAGCCAGGTGAGGAGCAGGTACAAAGGGAAAGGTCCCACAGGCTCCCGAGCAGAGGAGTTTCTGTCCTTATGAAGTTGGAGTGCACCACTCTCCCAGAATGGATACTCACCCACCCAGAAGCTCTCCAAATGCCTTTTTTGTTTGTTTGTTTTTGACAGAGTCTCGCTCTGTCACCCAGGCTGGAGTGTAATGGCATGATCTCAGCTCACTGCAACCTCCATCCCACGAGTTCAAGTGATTCTCATGCCTCAACCTCCCAAGTAGCTGGGATTATAGGTGAAGGCTACCACGCTCAGCTAATTTTTGTATTTTTAGTAGAGACAGGGTTTTGCCACGTTGGCCAAGCTAGTCTCAAACTCCCGACCTCAAGTGATCCTCCCACCTCAGCCTTTCAAAATGCTGGGATTACAGGCATAAGCCACTGCACCTGGCCCGTTTGGGGTTTTTATAGAGGTTCTGATTATGTAGACATGATTGATTAAATCTTTGGTCATTAATGATTACCTCAATCTGTAGCCCTTCTCCACTCTCTGGAGGTGGGGGTGTTTGGGGAGTAGGGGTCAGGGGAATGGGGAATAAAGGAGCTGAAAGTTCCAACCCTTTAAAATACATGGTTATTTCCTCTGGCCATCAGCCCCAGCCTCCAAGTGTCAGCTTATTAGATAAACTCAGGTTTGGTTGAAGAAGGCTTATGATAAGTAACAAATACTCCTCACTCCTATCACTCAGAAATTCCAAGGGTTTTAGGAGCTCTGTGCCAGGAACGTGGGATGAAGACTAAATATATATTTTTTATTGTATCACAATATCATGGGCAGTCACATATTCATTCATGCACGAGAGAGCTCCATTCCTCATTAGCATTTATTTTGGGATTGAATATGGCAGCTTGGATGACCCCATGCTTTCCACCCCTGTAGGATTGCTTTATTTACATTCACATGGGTTAATGTGTTAACTTAAATAAGGGAGGTTAACAATCCTCGAGGTACTCATTGTTTTGTTTACTGTAAAGATGGTTTTAGGGCCTTGTTTACTACGTGACACAGGCCATTTGGATAGAAACACATGGAAGAAATACCTTTCTGGTCTTGGAATTTGTCTTCTTCTGAGCACTGGATTTGTTTTTATCCAATGGACATTGTGAGTAATACAGCTGGTCTTGTTTTTTCTTTGCATAGGCTGCTGGGAAGCTGAGTCAAATTGTGACCCATATCTAGCAAGTGTAAAGGACTTTCAAGGCAAACATTTTGTGTATTAATCTCATCCCTGGATTCACTTTATTTCTTTCGACCTAATTTTCTTTCCCTTCTTCCTAATGTCCTCCATGTCTTTTTTTAAAAAAAGTATTTTGTGAGTTAACTTAAATATTTTTCCTTTATTTTTTAGTCAGTCGAAAATAAAAAGAAAGGTACACATAAAATATTTAAAATCTTATATTTTCTCCTGGCCTCTTATACTGCTCTCTGTGCCATTCTCTGATCCTGGAAGCTCAGGGATTTTATTTGGTTTTAAGTTTTCATTTTAGTCTGAGAATAATCATTTTGTTACCACTCCTGTGTTTACTGTGGTAGAAAGAATTGTCATCGGCCAGGCTCAGTGGCTCACGTCTGTAATCCCAGCACTTTGGGAGTCTGAGGCTGGCAGATCACGAGGTCAATAGATTGAGAGCATCCCGGCCAACATGGTGCAACCCTGTCTCTACTAAAAATACAAAAATTAGCTGGAAGTGGTGGTGCACGCCTGTAGTCCCAGTTACTTGGGAGGCTGAGGCAGGAGAATTGCTTGAACCCGGGAGGTGGAGGTTGCAGTGAGCTGAGATCGCGCCACGGCACTCCAGCGTGGCCACAGAGCGAGACTCTGTCTCAAAAAATAAAAAAAAAGGAAAGAAAAAGAAAGAAAGAAAGAATTGTTATCTACTTGCATCCTTTAAAAAGTCTTTTTCTGGTATGTACTTGATACTGGACACCATAATTATGAACTTATCTTTATTCTCTGGATAGTGGAATGTGACTCAGAAATCTATTCAGAAATTCATATCCTTGTGCAGTTTTTTTTGTTTGTTTGTTTTCTTTTTGGAGACGGAGTCTCACTCTGTTGCCCAGGCTGGAGTGCAGTGGTACAATTTCAGTTCACTGCAACCTCCATCTCCTGGGTTCAAGTGATTCTCCTGCCTCAGCCTCCCGAGTATCTGGGACTACAGGCACACGCCACCATGCCCAGCTAATTTTTATATTTTTAGTAGAGATGGAGTTTCACCATGTTGGCCAGGCTGGTCTCAAATCCCTGACCTCAGGTCATCTGCCTGCCTCAGCCTCCCAAATTGCTGGGATTACAGGCATGAGCCACCACACCCAGCCCCTATGCAGTTTTATAATTCTCTAAGAATTCTAAGAATTTTGACTTTTTCAGCATTATTTTTTTCTCTTTGGCCATGGACTTGGGACAGATTGACATCATAAAGTCACTAATTTGTCCCTAGAAGCAAACTTGAGAAGACAACTCTGTGGTCCACAGAGCTCAGTAGAACCTCAGTTAACCGCTGGCTGCCTCCGCCACCAACAGATACAACAAAGGGCTTTTGATACAACAGTGGTCGCTTGCTTACACTACGTATGTATTTATTCTGGTGTTTTTTGAAAGCAGTCATTGCAGTCCTCTTCTCAGCACGTTTCTTGTAGAAAAAAATAAAACTTAAAGTCATTAAAAAAGAAAAAATTATCACCCATCTTCCTATTACTAGTAACTAGGGGGTTAGCAGTCCAGATTTTTAATTAAGTGTATATTCAACAAATATTTATTGATAAACTACTATGTGTTAATCTGTTAATCACTGTGTTATGTCCTGGAATATAGCAGGATTCAAAACTAGATGTCATCCATACTGTACGCCTTATACTGTGATCTCATTGCCCATAATACATTTATACAAACCGGATCACCCAGTATATAGTGTTCAGTGACCTGCTTTTCTCACTGGACATACACATTCTGGATATCCTTCCATGTAATCTGTAGGCCAACATCATTATTTCAAAAGGCTGAATAGTATTATGCATATGATTAACCATAGTTTATTCTAATCAGTGCCCTAATAAAATGAACTTTTATGCAATTATAAAAGGCACTTCTGTGCACATCCTTACAAATATAGATCTGTGCACTGGTCTTATTATTTCAAGATGCTGTTAAAGCATCCTCAGATGCACCGGTGTGGAATATTGGTTCCACATCACCCAGGATCTTTCCGGCTTTTCTAGTTCAATGACTGCAGCTGCACCCGGGTGATCTTTTTGTGCAGTAGCCCACAATGCTTACATTTAGGTCTATCTGACCAGGAATGCTTGTGAGACGGTGGAAGAGTGAAAGAGAGGGGCTGGCTTTATCCTTTTTTAAAAAAAATCGAGACAGAGTGAGACTCTGTCTCCCAGGCTGGAGTGCAGTGGTGCAATCTCGGCTCACTGCAACCTCCGCTTCCTGGTTCAAGTGATTCTCCTGCCTCAGCCTCCTGAGTAGCTGAGGTTACCAGTGTGTGCCCCTATGCCTGGATAATTTTTGTATTTTTAGTAGAGATGGGGTTTCACCACGTTGGCCAGGCTGGTCTTGAACTCCTGACCTCAAGCGATCCACCCGCCTCAGCCTCCCAAACTGCTGGGATTACAGGCGTGAGCCACGGCACCCGGCCTGGCTTTATCCTTATAATAATATTACATCAACAGCATCATCTCAAATTGGTCTTTTAGTTAATAGTTAATGATTAAATTGCCTTGTCACTTGTCACTTCTAGTGGTGGAAGGAGCCAACTCTCCTTCTATTTTTTGGTACATTCTTCCTGCGTTAGTGTGTTGCTCGATAAGTGTGTATCTGGTAGGCGAATGCATGCAGGAACAGATCCCAGGACTGGAGAAATGGTGTGGACGAGGGACAGACAATCCACAGTGGAGGTGACACATGGGAGGCAGAGGGGATATGCTGACGGGCAGGCTGGAGTTTAGTATCATGGACAAGTTAAAGATGCATGTTTCAATTTCTAGAGAAAACTCTAGAAGCAACACCAAGAGGCTGAGCTAAAATTTAATAAATGAAGTCAATGGCATACTACATGATATCCAATTCACCCAAAATAAGAGCAAGAAGGGCAAGCAAAGAAAAAAGAAACATGAGACAAATAGAAAACCAAACCAAGATGGTAAACCCGACCATACAGTAATAGTTATCTAATATCAATGACCTAAAATTTTTTTTTTTTTTTTGAGACGGAGTCTTGCTCTGTCACCCAGGTTGGAGTGCAGTGGCGCGATCTCAGCTCACTGCAAGCTCCGCCTCCCGGGTTCACACCATTATCCTGCCTCAGCCTCCCAAGTAGCTGGGACTACAGGTGCCCGCCACTGCGCCCGTCTAATTTTTTGTATTTTTATTAGAGATGGGGTTTCACCGTGTTAGCCAGGATGGTCTCGATCTCCTGACCTCATGATCTGCCCACCTCAGCCTCCCAAACTGCTGGGATTACAGGCATGAGCCACCACACCCGGCCTTAAATACTTTTATGTAAGAGACAGAGATTGACAGACTGTGTAAAAAAACATAGAACATTCACCAGTATAGATCATATGCACATTCACCAAGATAGACCATATGCGGGGTCCTCTTAATAAACAAACCTTAATAAATTTCAAAGGATTGAAAATACACAGAGTACATTTTCTGAGGTATTAAATTAGTAATCAATCACAGAGGTATTAAATTGATCATCAATAACAATATGATATCTAGAAATTCCTGAATATGTGGAAATTGAGCAACATATTTCTTTTCTCTTTTCTTTTTTTCTTTTTTTTTTTTTTTTTTTGAGACAAGGTCTCACTCTGTTGCCCAGGCTGGGGTGCAGTGGCTGTATCACTGCTCACTGCAGCATTGACCTTCCAGGCTCAAGTGATCCTCCTAACTCAGCCTCCGGAGTAGCTGAAATCACAGTTCCAGAACACTTAAAAAGGCCTTGCCACTTTTTAATTTGTCCCACAGGTTATTTAAAAGTGCACTGCTCAGGCCAGGCATGGTGGCTCATGCCTGTAACCCCAGCACTTTGGGAGGCCTAGGCAGGAAGTTCTCTTGAGCCCAGGAGATTAGGACCACCCGGGCAACATAGTGAGACTTTGTCTCTACTAAAAAAAAAAAAAAATTAGCCAGGTGTGGTGGCGTATGCCTGAAGTTCCAGCTACACAGGAGGCTGAGGTGCAGAAATCACTTGTGCTCGGAGGTCCAGGCTGCAGTGAGCTGTGATCGGGCCACTGCATTCCAGCCTGGGTGATAAGTGAAAGCCTCTGTCTCCAAAAAAATTTTTTTTTAATAGGCTAGGCACGGTGGTTCACTCCTGTAATCCCAGCACTTTTGGAGGCTGTGTTGGGAAGACTGCTTGAGCCCAGTAGTTCGAGACCAGCCTGGGCAACATAGTGAGACTTTGTCTCTACAAAAAAATTTAAAAAAATGAGCCAGTTGTGGTGGTGTGCACCTGTCGTTCCATCTACTCTGGAGTATAAGGCGTGAAGATCACTTGAGCCCAGGAGGTTGAGGCTGCAGTGAGCTGTGATTGAGCCACTGCACTCCAGCCTGGGCAACAGAGCAAGACCCTGTCTAAAAAACGGTCACAAGTGACATTATGGAATATGTTTAGTTGAATAAAAGTAAAAATAAAGGTCCAAAATTTGTGTGATGCAATTACATTAGTACACAAAAATATTTTTCTTAAAAATAGCTATGGACTGGTGATTATTATGTGCCTCCCTGTCTCCTCAACTTTTTGAATGAGAGTATTGCAGTTTTCCTGGCTCTACAGTATTTTTCAGGTGTTGGAGGAGTAGATAACTGGTCTTTTTAGTTCATAGGTCTCTGCTCCTAGGAACAACACTTGGGGAACCTTACCTGAATAGCATCGTCCCCCCTGGATCTGACTTTGATGGCGAAATCAGGGACTTCAAGCCTGAACCTAATGTTGTCACAGAAAGATACTTTGGAAGTTCTGTTTTTGCCTTTAGGGATGACCCTATTTTGCAAGCAGATATGAATTATTAAGAGTCAGAGGGCAGACAATGGTAGGTTGTTACATTAGTAGCCCCAGTGAACTATCCCTTCCGGTATATAATTCTGTGTTAACTCAGGGTGTGGCCAACAGGACATCAGCTAGAATGATGCAAGCAGAGATTTGATAAGTGCCCCCCAGTGGGGCTTGTCCTCTTGAAACACTCTTCAGAATTCAGCTGTGACACATAAAGCAGCCCATATTAGACTACTGAACAATGAAGGCAATGTAGAGAGAGACTCTAGAGGATGAGAGGCAATTAATCTTGGGTGCTGTAGTTCCCACCAAACTCCCAACTGAATGCATTTGCATGAGTAACTTCATCTCTACCGCTTAGAGCAGAAGACCCAGCCAGTTGAGCCCCATCAATCCATAGAATCATGAAAAATAACAAATCATTTTGTTTTAAGCCACTAAATTTTGGCGTGATTTGTTATGTGACGGTAGGTAACTGAAACACATAAAAAACATCATGGGATGATCTTTCAGAGTCTTCTCAAAATGAGACATGAATTTTGAGAAGACTTTTTCCAGGCCTTTTTACCCCTACATGGTCCTGTCATTGATTCATGTTGCCTCTGGGGAAGCGGTGTGATCTTGGGGTGAGGCAGCTTACTTTAGCCAAGGGCAATGCCCAGAGACAGGCATAACTACAAACAGCCAGCACTCTGGCATCTGGGGAAATGAGGGCCTTGATCTGGGTAGCACACTACAGCATTCACTACAGTCATATTTCTGGAGACTTCCATGATTTTCCCATTGGTGGGACACAGGAAAAGTAATTTATTTGATGCCAAGACAACCTCTTGGAAGGCTGTGCCTGCTTTAAAGGAAAGAGCAAATAATTAGTTTAAAGACACATAAGTGGGCCAAGGAAGGTATCTCACCAGAATTTCTGGCCCTAGTTGAGTACTCTACTGCCACAGTTGGCCATTGTGGAGTGAGAACTGAGCCTTGGATTTCCCAATTTTAGAAGGCCTTCCTGGTGGAGGTTGCAGTGAGTTGAGATTGCACCACTGCACTCCAGCCTGGGCAACAGAGCAAGACTCCGATTCAAAAAAAAAAAAAAGAGAGAAGGCCTCCTAACTCATTTCTGTCTTCCTTACTCAGGCTATGGAAAGTAAGGGCCAGGGGAAAAACTTCCCCTTTGCCCTCTGAAAGTTCACTGAAAAATCAACTCACAGAGGGCAGATTAATTGGAGAAAAGGCATATGAATTTATTTTAATATGCATAGCATAGGGGAATTGCAGGAGAATAATTATCCATTAACCCAATGGGGTGCAGATGCTTATATAACCTTCTTTTTAGGGGAAAGGAAGATGGGGAAGTGTGGATGATTTTAGGGGGATAGCAAATGATTTTTAGGGGAATTCAATGTGCTTGAAGAATATACTGTGGCCTGGGACCAAGTCTGTTGGGCCCACAGAGCAGATACAATGGTTTGTGGGAAAAAAAAGTCCATCTAGTGTGTTGACAGACTTTATTCTTTCTTCCTGAGATATGAGTTCAGTTAATGAAAACTCAAGGATGGGACCAGAGGTAACTGTTTTTTTTTTTTTCCCCTTTGGTATGTCCACACTTTAGGTAGATAAAGGAACTTCAGAGAACAACTTCATCCTGTGTTTTGAGAGAGACAAACGATAGAGAGTGGGGTGGGGAGTCGAGTGGGGAGGCCAGAGAGAACTTGCCTTGAGGCATCTTCTTCAGTTCAGCATGTCCATGCACCATATTTTGGGGTATTGGTTTCTGGGTCCCAATAGAGGTAATGATAGTAGAGGCATCAGATGGCTTGTTCTTAGGACCCCAAGCATGGAACAAGAAGTGCAGGGCAAATCTGAGGAGGATATTGAGGGGGTCTGGAAATCAGAGGAGAGTGGCACTGAGAAGGAATCCTTGGCAAAAATATGTGTTTAAGGATGTTCATTGCAATACTACTTATAAAAGTGAGATTGGGCCGGGCGCGGTGGCTCACGCCTGTAATCCCAGCACTCTGGGAGGCCGAGGTGGGTGAATCACGAGGTCAGGAGATCGAGACCATCCCGGCTAACACGGTGAAACCCCATCTCTACTAAAAATACAAAAAAATTAGCCAGGCGTGGTGGCAGGTGCCTGTAGTCCCAGCTACTCGGGAGGCTGAGGCAGGAGAATGGTGTGAACCCGGGAGGCGGAGCTTGCAGTGAGCTGAGATCGCACCACTGCACTCCAGCCTGGGCAACAGTGCAAGACTCTGTCTCAAAAAAAAAAAAGTGAGATTGAATAAACTTAAGTATCTGTTAGTAGGAGAATAGTTAAAAAAAGAAAAATCGAGGCCTGGCACGGTGGCTCACTCCTGTAATCCCGGCACTTTGGGAGGCCAAGGTGGGCGGATCACAAGGTCGGGAGATCGAGACCATCCTGGCTAACATGGTGAAACCCCGTCTCTACTAAAAATACAAAAAAAAATTAGCCAAGCGTTGTGGCGGGCGCCTGTAGTCGCAGCTACTCAGGGGGCTGAGGCAGGAGAATGGTGTGAACCTGGGAGGCGGAGCTTGCAGTGAGCCGAGATCGTGCCACTGCGCTCCAGCCTGGGCAACAGAGTGAGACTCCATCTCAAAAAAAAAAAAAAAGAAAAAGAAAAATCAGGCCAGGCACGGTGGCTGAGGCGGGTGGATCACCTGAGGTCAGGAATTCAAGACCAGCCCGGCCAACATGGTGAAACTCCATCTCTACTAAAAATACAAAAAATTAGCTGGGTGTGGTGGCACGTGCCTGTAATCCCAGCTACTTGGGAGGCTGAGGCAGGAGAATGCTTGAACCTGGGAAGTGGAGGTTGCAGTGAGCTGAGATTATGCCACTGCACTCCAGCCTGGGTGACAGAGCAAGATGACTCCACCTCAAAAAAAAAAAGAAAAACCAATACTGAAAACAGACATGTGTTGATGGCCTTCTCAGCATTCCTTGATTCTGGGGTGTAGAATATCTCTCCCTCCCCTGCTGAAGGTTTGAGTCTTTAAGTCTGCTGAAATAAATGGGCAATAGATAAATAAGAGAAAAGGCACACAAATGTATTAACAAGAACATGTGCATAGGGACCACACAAACTATGAGACTAAAAGAGGGCCAAATGGCTGAAGTTTCTATACCATATGGAAAGGAAGAGAGACTTGGAGCATCTCGGGGGAGGTGGCAATAGGTTATGGGAAGGAGAGGGGAGGAGATGCATGGTGAGCTAAGGTTTTCTTATTATGCAGATGAAGGCTCACAAGCAACAGCCTGCAGAAAGAGTAGAGATGTCCAGTGTGTTGACAAACTTCAGTCTTTCTTCCTGCAATATGAGTTCAGATGGCAGCTTGTGGTAAAATTTCTCCGTCATGATGGGTGCGGTGGCTCATGCCTGTTGTCCCAGCACTTTGGGAGGCTGAGGCGGGCGGATCACCTGAGGTCAGGAGTTCGAGACCAGCCTGACCAACATGTTGAAACCCCATCTCTACTAAAAATATAAAAATTAGCTGGGCGGGGTGGTGTGCTCCTGTAATCCCAGCTACTCAGGAGGCTGAGGTAGGAGAACGGCTTAAACCTGGGAGGCGGAGGTTGCAGTGAGCTGAGATTGTGCCACTGCACTCCAACCTGGGTGACAGAGTGAGACCCTGTCTAAAAGAAAAAAAAAAAGTTTCTCTATCAGACCTTTAAAAGTGTCAGAACTTCTAATCTCCTTCTCCTGAGAGATCTGGATAAGGCAGATAAAGGGGTCTCAGAGGAAGCCTGTTTGCATCCACAATTTACTTCACTAATGTAGATTTCTACTACAGATTCAAAACTCCCCACAAAAACACAGCTTTCCAGAGCTATCCTGTGTCTGCAGCCCCTCTGAATAGCCATCCCAAAATATGCCAAGGAATATTTTTGGGTGGCATATTTTGGTTTCCCACACTTCTTTACTAAAATAATGTAATTTTCATTCGGATATTCTGCCTTCTCTCACACAGCCTACTCACTTCAAGGGAAGCTAATCCAAATCTGACTCACAGGTGGCCCCTAGGTGGCCCCCACATGGCCTCAGCCAGTCAACACATTCCCAGTTCCCCGGGGCCCAGTCATTGGTGGGGATGTCAACTGAGTTGGTCCAATTAGAGTGAATTATAGGACTCTTGCTCAGAATGCTGGGAAATTCACAGGCTTGTGGGCACTCTCTCCGGATGTAGACAAAGTCCCATTGTACCCGTGGGTGCTTTTGGCTCTGTGCCAGGCTCTGCCATCTTACAACCAAAGGGGAGGGAAGCTGATACCACGGAAGGCAAAGGGGGGCAGTGGGAAAGAAAAGAGCATGTCAGATTAAGCTCTCCCCAAAGCCTGTGTTATCTTTAGACTTTACAGTTACATAAACCATTAAGTTCCCCTATTGTCTAAGCCAGATGGAGCTAGGTTCCCCACTCCCTGTAAATGGGTCTAACTAATATCGTAGCCAGGATTCTTTGAGCAGTACCATGGGCACTAAGGTAAGCTCTGTAGAATCTCATTTGATCAATTACGAAACAGGCATATGATGCAACGCCATGCAGCTGTTTAAAAATGAGATATTACATAGAAAGATTTCTTTGAGAAGTGGGAAAAAAAGCAGACAACAAATATGTAGTATAAAATCCTGTATCATCAGGGTGGGGAAATGTACATTTTAACTGAGTGATGTCTTGATGGTGAATGGGAAAGCTATTGAGAGGAGAGAAGGAGTCTGTTGTTTTCCTGGGTTATCTCAGCTTGAATCCTATCTGATGCCTGAGAGGAGAGAGGAGAGGGCACCCGCTCCTCCAGGGGAAGCCTCCAGGGGTGGGAGGGGCCCCCTAGAAGGCCTGGCTGCAGGCTTGAGTCAGAAGCCAGGGAAGGGACCTAGCCTTTGTTTTTTATTTTCCTTTTGAGATAAGAGTCTCAATCTGTTGCCCAAGCTGGAGGGCAGTGGCACGATATTGGCTCACTGCAACCTCCGCCTTCCAAGTTCACATGATTTTCCTGCCTCAGCCTCCCAAGTAGCTGGGACTATTGGTGCCCGCCACCACACCCAGCTAACCTTCTTCTTCTTTTTTTTTTTTTTTTTTGTAGAGACAGGGTTTCACCATGTTGACCAGGCTGATCTCGATCCACCTGCCTTGGCTTCCCAAAGTGCTGGGATTTTGGGTGTAAGCCACCATGCCCCGCCAGGACCTAGTCTTTGAAATGCCAAGGCAGAGAATTCGGGGAAGTGTGGGTGGTGGGGCATAGACAGAAATGACCCGTGCTTTTCACCGCAGTGGAGATCTGCTCCTCTGAGGAGAGCTGAACCCAGAACCTCTTGGTTCTATGGGGGAAGGGAACAGGCAGGCCCAGGGTCCCTGGAATGGGGGTGGAATTGACTCATTTAGAGGCTTGTCTGGCTCATTAGATTTGAGCTTCTGGTGAACAACAGTTCTGTCTTGTGAGTCCCCAGTCACCCAGGGCTACTATGGGCACTCCTAAGCTAGCACTGAATGAAAGGATGGAGGAGGCAAGGCCAAGGTGGGGATGGGGCACAGACAGGGAAAGTGGGGGCTTCACGCCTGCCCATGCCCAAAGAGGTGAGGCTCCCACCTTCTATTTTCAAGCCGGACTTCACAGCTGGAAGTTCTGCTTCCTTGAAATGCAAATGTTATTTTTAAGGAGTCTCCTGCCCAGGGAAATCTTGGTCTGCTTCACAGCTCCGTGGGAATATGCCACTTTAAAGTGTTTGAAAAGAAGAATCCACTTCTGAGACATTTGCATTTTCAGAAAGCTTTCCGTAGAGGGCCAGGCCTTGGAGCTTGTGAATGAGGCCTTTCTGTGTTTGTGGCTCCCTGTGAATAATGCAAGGGGAAGAAGAGAAAGGAGGCACTTTCCATTGCCCCCACAGCTGCAGGCCGAGGGTGCCTAGGGGCCCAGAGGGTCTGGGACGTGTGTGTTGAGTCACTTCTCCTCTGGAGGTTTCCAGGGAGCTGCTTTGCATGAGTTAAGCATGCGGCCTGATTCCAATTCCACAAGCCTCTATTCCAGGCTTTGCTGCCTCCTCTTGCCTCTAGGATACGACCTTGTGGGTCAATCCTGCAAGGGAGGCCGCTGGCCAGTGCAGGAGGACGGAGCCCAGCTGTTTGGTACACGGGGCATTTCTGTCTATGCCTCACCACCCACACCTCCCCTAATTCCCTGCGTTGGCATTCCAAAGACTAGGTCCTGGCGGGCCATGGTGGCTCACACCTGAAATCCCAGCACTTTGGGAGGCCAAGGCAGGTGGCTCGAGATCAGCCTGGTCAACATGGTGAAACCCTGTTTCTACCAAAAAAAAAAAAAAAAAAAAAAGCCAAAACGATAGTTAGCTGGGTGTGGTGGCGGGCGCTGATAGTCCCAGCCACTCAGGTGGACTCCCTTTCTTTCCATCCTTCGCACCTTAGTTGGGACTCTGTAGGGTTTGCTGGTGCTCCCTCTCTCCTCAGTTGGGACTCTGTAGGGTTTGCTGGTGCTCTCTCTCTCCTCAGTTGGGACTCCCTGTAGGATTTGCTGGTGCTCCCTCTCTCCTCAGTTGGGACTCCCTGTAGGATTTCCTGGTGCTCCCCTCTCTCCCAAGTTGGGACTCCCTGTAGGGTTTGCTGGTGCTCCCTTTGGCCCATCCCTGGATCATCTTTGCTCTGAAGAGGCAGAGAGAGCCTTGAGAAGGAAGGGCACCTTAACACCCGACCTACAAAAGGCTTTGACCCCCATTACAAGAGCCCACTGAAGGTCCTTGGCTTACCCCAGGGGGCTACCTTGAGAGGTCACTGTGAGAAAGATGGAAGTGTTTGGCCAACACCTCTCCCCCATTCTCACCCTCTACAAACACACAGTCCTCCCAGTGCTCCCACTGTGGCCTGTGTCAGCCTCTTGGTGGGTGTCCTTTTGGAAGGATGGAGACCAGCAGAGTACCAGAGGAGCCCCACGATGCCACCAGGTTGCTGTCCCAATCTTGCACCTGGGATTGCAGAGCTGAGGGGTCCAGATGGGCAGCTTCCGTCCCCCAGGATGCCCCTCAAAGCCAGGAACACACACAGTGTTACTGGAAAAAGGAGACTTACTCCAGACCCCAAGAGCGAGTTCTTGGATTTCATGTGGGAAAGAGGGTGAGTCGCAGTGCATAGCAAAGATAAAACAGTTTATTAGAAACTACTCTATTACAGAATAGGGTGTCCTCAGAAAGCAAGAGGAGGAATTCCTCTAACTGAAACATAGCACTTGCTTACATGGGATGTTAAGGCTAAGAATAGTAGACTTTATAAACAAAGGCTTATGATCAGCTTGTGACAGGCTATTAGCATTGTTATTTTCCTATGTAACTATTGATTTCAGCAAGAATTTATGAGAGTACTATTACCTTTAAAGTGAAACTTATTCTCAAATGAAGGATGCTTTGTTCTTTAAATATCAGGACGTTTTCAGACGTTCTGGGTCTCTAGTTAGCATCATTAACCCCTTCTTTGAGCTACAAACATCTTGTGATGAAGGGTGTCTAACCCCCAAGGAATGTAACCCAGCAAGTTTGGCTTTATCTGGCCTTTATTCGAGGTGCAGTCACCCTGGTTAAGATGTCCCTGACAATAGGACACCAGGTGAGTTGATTCTAAGGCCAGCCTATAGCCTAGACCAAGAAATGATCCTTCAGTGAGCTGATCATGCCCCTGCTGCACTCCAACCTGGGTGACAGAGTGAGACCCTCAAAAAAAAAAAAAAAAGAAATTACCCTTTATTTTATGTCTGATATTAACTAACCAAAAAAGTTAATAAAATAGACAGCAAATTAGCCAAGATAAAATGCCAGTACAATTAAAAACATGCCTTCGAGACTGAGGTGGGCAGATCATCTGAGGTCAGGAGTCCAAGACCAGACTGACCAACACGGTGAAGCCCCGTCTCTACTGAAAATACAAAATTAGCCAGGCATGGTGGCACATGCCCGTAATCCCAGCTACTTGGGAGGCTGAGGCAGGAGAATCGCTTGAACCTGGGAGGTGGAGATTGCGGTGAGCCGAGGTTGTGCCATTGCACTCCAGCCTGGGCAACAGGAGTGAAACTCCTTCTCAAAAGAAAAAAAAAAAAATCTAAAAACTGGAACCAATCTGAATGTCCATTAACAGGTGAGTAGATAAACACGCTATGGCATATTCACACAATGAAATACTTCTCAGAAATAAAGAGGAATAAACTATTGATATGTATAGAAATATGATTTAGGTTTAAAATATTATGATGAGCAAAAGAAGCCAGGTAAAAAAAGTCCAAACTGATTGAGTCCATTTATGTTAGTTTCTAGAACATGCAAAATCATGTGTCTATGCGTCTGTCGTGACAGCAATCAAATCAGTCATTGCCTTGGGGGAAGGGGGATGGATACTCAAGAGGGCGCTGGTAGGTGGGGAGACTCGGTGGTGAGTCTTGGAGGTCTGGTGAAGCAGGGAGGAGAAGGGGTAAGTCTGAGGACAGAAGAGAAGCGTCTTGGGGAATAAAATGTGATTTGATCCCTGGCAGCATCAAGGCCCACTTGGAGCCCATGGTCATGAATTTCAAGCGAGTCTGGCCTGCACGGCTGAGCTTCCCAAAGTTTAGCTGCACAAGTCCAAGTGCGCAGGAGGCAGAGAACTGGATTTGCCCCAGGGTTGTGGTTTTGCCAAATGAATGGGATGAAGGGAGATGGGCAAGGGAGTTGGAAGTTTCTTTCACCAAATTCATTGTTAATTTCATCAGAACAAAACGATTCTTTTGCTTGTTCCCACAGAGAAAGCAACATCCCCAAATACATATGAAACACCGATCACTAAAGGCACAAAACAGACACCACATGATCCTCTATTCCACTTCTCTTAGGCAGCTCTGTTCAGCTACGGGGACTCACCTAGTTCCCTGGCAGTAGCCCAAGTCTCTTTCAGCAACAGCAGCCTTGGGAATCTTCTGTACATAATACCTTCCTGAGGTTGGTTTATCAGCACATTAAAAGCACCTCCTACCAGACACACAGAATGGAGCCCCATTAGAAAAAAACAACTAAACTCTAATGTCATCCTGCAGCAGACTGCAATCCACACACCAGTGTCCAGGGTATAATCAGATTCTCCAGAATATGGTATACACAGTCCATTCTTGACTGCTGGCAGTGGCAGGCAGGAGAAGGGCAGAACAGAGGAGGAGAAAGGTTTAAAGGAGAACTCATTCTCGAAAGGTGAGCTTCTTCTGGAGCTGGTCAGCCCAGACCCTTCATCCTGACCCCAATGGGAGACAAGTGGGCTTCTCCATTCATCTCCTTGATGCACTCCTCAGATGAGATCAGACACCCGCAGACCTGAACAGAACTCTTCTTTTTAAATTCTCAACCTCGAGGCCCCTCCTGGAGGAGTCTGAGCCTGGATCTCTCGCTCAGCCCTGCCGCTGGGACCAACCTGGCTCTCTGCCTTGGACACTTTCCTTCTTGCCGCTGGTGATTGGCACCTCCTTTCCTCCAGACTCCCAACAAACAGGCACCTCCAGCTCCTCTGTCCTCCTCATTCGCTAGCTCGCAGCTCAGTTCCTCCTGGCTTAGGACCGGAATGCATCTTGGGACATTGGCAAGGGCACTTTTCCAGTTCAAATCTCTGCTTCGACCCCCTGTGACTGGCTGAGGTGTAATAAGTATATGCTGTGCTTGCACATACAGAGGGGGAGCTGCCTGGGGATGCAGAGGCTTCCTGAGTTTCCCAGCGAAGCCAGAGCCTGTAATAGCAGCCTGAAGTGCTGTCCTTCCTCTGATGGGTCATTGGTGGCTGCAGGCCTGATTGACTCCAACATGGCCCTGAGCCTGGGGCCTTGGCAGGACAGGCTGCATGGCAGGTGTCCCCTGAGTCTCATGGCTGCCTTTACCTGGCAGTTTGGTTCCCTGGATCCTGGTTATTTACTTACTCTGTGACTGCGGGATGGCCTGGGTGCCAGGCTTCATGGCCAGTGGGAGGGTGGCTGTCCTCAAGGGTGGGGGTGGGGAGGATGGAGACCAGGTTGTATCTGAAAAGCCAAGGACCTCTCATCTGGTCCTGTGTCCCTGGCACAGTGGACTGGACAGACCAGACAGGCAGCTGCAGGAGGATGGGGCTTCCTGGACTTTCTTCTGCACTTCGATGGATCACTATACAGGGACCAACCTATCTCAAGAATAACCAACTGGACCGGGTGCGGAGGCTCCCAGTACTTTGGGAGGCTGAGGTGGGCAGATCACTTGAAGTCAGAAGTTCGAGACCAGCCTGGCCAAAATGGTGAAACCCCGTCTCTACTAAAAATACAAAAATTAGCCAGATGTGGTGGCGTATGCTTGTAATCCCAGCTACTCGGGAGGCTGAGGCAGGAGAATTGCTTGAACCCGGGAGGTGGAGGTTGCAGTGAGCCAAGATTGAGCCTGGGCGACAGAGCAAGACTGCCTCAAATAAATAAATAATAATAACATAATAACCAATTGATTGATGGCTTTCTTTTTCTTTTCTTTTTTTTTTTTTTTTTGAGACAGGGTCTCCTTTTGTCACCCAGGCTGGATTGCAGTGGCACGATCTCAGCTTACTGCAGCCTTGACCTCCCAGGCTCAAGTGACCCTCCCACCTCAGCCACCCAAATAGCTGGGACTACAGGTGCTAATTTTTGTATTTTTTTTTTTTTTTTTTTAGAAAAATACAAAATATGAGTTTTCGCCATGCTGCCCAGACTGGTCTCCAATTCCTGGGCTCAAGTCATCTGCCTGCCTTGGCCTCCCAAAACGCTGGGATTACAGGCGTGAGCCACTGCACCAGGCCAGTTGATGGTCTTGAGACAATGTTCAGAGCCAGGGTCTGAGCTCAGCCTGGTGAAGATGCTAGACTCCGCTGGAGCTTAGACAATAATACCTCAAAATGAAGGCCTCAGAAGGGAAAGTTTTCTGTGATCTTCTCCTGCCCTCCTATCTCTCAGTCCCATCTCCCCCAAGGCTAGCCATACAAACTCAATCCTTTCCCAAGATGCCATAGAAACAAGAACCCATTCTCCCCAGAGCTAGTCAGAAAACCTAAAAGTATTACTTGAATTTTCCCCCAGCCTTGTGTAAGAACTGGTCATAACAAAATGATCTGACCTACCTTGTTTGCAGTCAGTCATAAGACCCCCATTCCAGAGAAGATCTTGCCCCATGCCCCAGAGGAAGGAATGCTGCTCAGAGAGGCCAAGAAGAATCTAGACAGACAGGCCTTGCTGGGTTCCCCACATAGTCTATTAGCATTAGATCCGACCCTTTTGTCCAGTCCTATTTCTACAAGGCTGTCCATCTTTGTTGAAACTCAGCATGAAGACAATTTCCTCTGTACCTCTGGGTCTTCATTCTGAAGGCTCCCATGTGTACACATAAATGTGTATGCCTTTCTCCTATTAATCAATTTGCCTCATATGAGTTTTCAGTGAACCTTTAGAGGACAAAGGGCCTTGGCCCCTATAACTTGCAGGCTCAGCTACAGCCAGGCTGTCCCCAAACTCACAGCCACAGCAGTCTTAGTTATTGCATGGTGATTGATAGGAAATATACCTGCTCACTCTTCTTTCCAGCTCTAAACTTCCCTCTTGAAAGCCCCTATCAGGGGCTGTTGCTTGAAATTGACTGTACTTAAAATAGTCCTCTCCAGTGATCACATTTATACTCACTCTGAATATCACACTCACTCATTATACCACACTCTGAATACAATGGCCTAAGCCAAATCTTAATGTATCCCAAAGTGCTCCCGAGGGTGACAGGTCTACTCATTCATGAGTCTGCAATGTGCTGGGAAGGATTTGAGAAGAAAAAACCTGCTCTCTGCCTCCAGGACCTAACCACAGAGTAGCGGATGTGTCAACAGAACTGCACTCGGCAGGATGAAGACAGGGACTCCGGCATGTGGTCGTTTAGCATGTGCAGTTTCCACTCTTCAAGAGGGATCCCTATGGCCCACGACAGGCAACGTGAGCCACAATGCAAGGCCAGTGTGGGAGAGATGAGCCCAGGTGACAGTGACTGTCCGGGAGGATGCTCTTGGGGTTTTGGTGGGATGGTTCTTTATTGTGTGGTCTGTCTTGTGCATTGCATTCTTGGCCTTCACTACTAACAGCCCACAGCATCCCCCCGTCACTGTGACAACCAGCAGCGCCCCACACATTTCCCCGGGGATGGAAGGCTAGTTTTCACCACTGCCCGGGGGATCCAACTGCCAGGATCTGCTGCAAGTCTGCCGCTTGAGGCAGCTGGGAGTTCTCTCTCCTGGCCACTTGAGCATTCATTCTGGTGAGGTGGTGGTGGTGGAGGAAAACGGGGAGAAGCAGAGGGAGAGCACAGGTCCTGGATGCAGACCCACAGCCAACTGGAGGGAGCATGTGCTGTTTTTAGCTGCCCAGCGTCCATTCCCATCTCTTTTGGTAACAGGTTACCCACACTGCAGTTGGAGAATCATTTTCTTCCCTGCTCAGTGCTCACTGTTTCTGTGGATTTTATCCTCATGTTCCAAAGGAGGCTGTGCAGCTCCAGCCTGGCCAATCAGCCCCCTGCATTTTCCTGGGCACAGTGATGGGTACCAGGAGGGACACAGGACCTAGTCAGAGCTGTGATGCCGTTTGCTGTGGGGAGACAGGCCGGCTCACCCTCTCTGCTAGACTTGATCTCTGTAGGCTGGGAGCTGTTGCTGCTGTAGCTAGAATGGAACTAACTCTGCTACAGAGAGAGGGAAATGGCCTGTGCCCCTGGAGCAAGCCACATCTGAACCAGAACTCTCTCCTGACTTTTATAGGAGCTAATACATTGTCATTTTGCTGAAGCCTAGTTTGGGTTAGGTTGTCCAACATTTACAACAAAGGGGGACCTCAATATGCCAGAAAAAGGAAGTGTCTTCAGTCCAGAAGCTGCAGCCATGGAGTCCCCAGTCCCTTCCACCATGTCTATAGGTCCCTTCATTGTGACCTGCAGGACAGGACCACAACACGACCCCACGCAACTCCCACACCTGTTTCAGAAAGGAAATCTTGGGACTGAGGGGTGGGGAATGGGCTCCAGCCTGGCCCATCCTGCCCAATCCCACCAGTGCTGTTGTGGGTAAACCAGCTCCCTGCCTTCCCAGTGGCTGCCCTGCTGGGTCCCGGTCTAACTAATTCTTAGAGTCATAGGAGGTCACCTGGGCATGGGTCTGTGGATGCCTCACAGGCATTCAGCATTGTCCTCCCTCCACCCCTACACCATATGCCGCTGTCACCGTTCCAGTGCATGCGGGCTGACTCCTAAACCTCGCATCTGCACTTCTTTGCCTGGGGGCTTCCTCTCCAGAAGGGGACAAAAGTGTGGAGGAATTAACCACCTCCCTCCTCGCAGCCTTTCTCCAAGACCAACAGGTTACAAATGCCTCAGCTCCCTGTCAGGTGGGATGACTATGCTGTGTGGTGTGTGTTCTCCATTCTCCCATCCCACGACGCCCCAGCAGGATCAGGCTTCAGCTGCCCTCAATGGCCACTGCATTAGGACTCACTAGTACTGGCTGTCCTCCCTTCTTTGGTGGTTCCTTTTTTTTATTTTTATTTTTTGAGACAGGGTCTTGCTATGTCGTCCAGGCTGGAGTGCAGCGGTGCAATCATAGCTCACTGCAGCCTTGACCTCCTGGGCTTAAGCCATCCTCCTGTCTTGGCCTCCCAAAGTCTTGGAATTATAGGCATGAGCCACCAGGCCCAGCCTCCTTCCCTCGTTGACACTCCTCTCCCCTATTGGTGTTTGCTGGGATCACCTTGAACTAAGATTTCGAGTCGCCTGTTCAGGAGCTAGAGGTAGAATCGCACCAGGCACTGGCTGGGTGTAGCCACATCACTAGCACTAAACACAAGGCTGCATGGCAGGCTGCTCCCCATCACAGGTGACCCTAAAAGAAGCTGTTTCTAGAGACAGTGTTCCTGGGCACAGGGCCTCTGTCCTCTGGGGTGCAGGCCTGGAGGCGAACCGGCACATTCCTCCTATTCCCAGTAACTGGGATTACCCTGGGACAGAGGTGCAGATGACTAACTACGTTAGCTATTGAGTTAAGCTTTATAATCCCTTCCTTTAGAGTGAGAAAATCTAAAGCAAACACTGTGTTCTGTGAGTGTGTGCAGAGAAAGCTGCTCCACCGGGGGTCTGTGGCCCTGAACAGGAATGACAGGCACCAGTTCTGCTTGACCTGTGGCCCAAAAGGTCACTGGGGCCCCCAGACCTCCCTTCCTAGTCATTTGCCAAGTCCAACTTTTATGTCTCTAAGTAAAACATGCTAAAGAAACAGAACTCGTTTTTTTTTTCTTTTTTTAAATTTTGGTGACAAGAGAGGTCCCTTTGATGGAAACTGGATCTGTAAGAAAAACAAGGACAGAGCCAATCAGCTTAGACAATACCCCGTGTGACCTGGAATCCTGGTGGCTTTCCAGTTTCACAGCCTCACAGGTGAGGCTTCAGCAGCTGTGATCCTTCCGTGGAGAAATAAATTATTTAGGATTCAAATTTCTTCCATTCCTTGCACCCACTCCTTCTTTCAGCCACACACCTCAGGCTGTAATGCCTTTTGCCAGGCGCCTGGCCAGGCTTGGCTCCTGCTCAGCTCATCGGTGCCAGCGCCTTCCCCGGGGGCCCCTGCAGCTATGATGGAGTCTCACTCCCCAAAAGCTACACTGCAGTGGTTTGACCACATTCAACGCCCAAAATGGCTGGGAAAGAAGTCCTTTGCTTTTAGGGCCTCACCTTCAGCTGAGGAAGATGCCAAGGGAGAGGTTCACCAAACTTTAGGAAAGAAAATTCTAGAAGCATCTTTCCCCAAAAAGGAAAGATGTCACTGTCGTCAGATGGTTCTTCACTCTCTGGACAGGGAAGGACATCAAACTGCCTGTTGATTAAGAGCTGAGCCTACAAGATCAGCACGACTTAATGTACCCCCACGATGCACCTCCATCGCCCTCCCCTACAGTGACTCTCATACAGGTGCCCGGGCAGCTTTCATTGGCTAAAGTTCTTCCCTGGCCAGTTAAAAAGTAAGCTAATTTTCTTTTCTTTTTCTTTCTTTCTTTTTTTTTTTTGAGACAGAGTTTCGCTGTTGTTGCCCAGGCTGGAGTGCAATGGTGCGATCTCGGCTCACTGCAACCTCCACCTCTTGGGTGCACACCATTCTCCTGCCTCAGCCTCCCGAGTAGCTGGGACTACAGGTGCCCGCCACCACGCCCGGCTATTTTTTTTTGTATTTTTAGTAGAGACGGGGTTTCACCGTGTTGGCCAGGATGGTCTTGATCTCCTGACCTTGTGATCTGCCTGCCTCGGCCTTCCAAACTGCTGGGATTACAGGCGTGAGCCACCACACCCGGCCTTTTTTTTTTTTTTTTTTCTTGAGACAGGGTCTCATGAGTTCTGTCACCCAGGCTGGAGTGCAGTGGTGCAATTATAGCTCATTGCAACCTCCAACTGCTGAGCTCATGCAATCCTTCCACCTCAGCCTCCCAAATAGCTGGGATTACAGGTGTGTACGACCATGCCTGGCTAATTTTTTAATCTTTTTTTCTTCTTCTTTCTCTTTTTTTTTTTTTTTGTAGAGACAAGGTCTTGGTATGTTACCCAGGCTGGTCTCAAACTCCCAGGCTCAAGTTATCCCCCTGCCTGGGCCTCCCAAAGGTCTAGGATTACAGGTTTGAGCCACTATTCCCAGCCAAAAAGTAAGCAAATTTAAAGAAAAATATTAAGTGATTTTACAGGTATCAAAAGTCAGTAAAATTAGGGGAACACTGATTTAACAAATGGTAATGATTATCATGATGATGATAATGGTGTTGATGACAACTACCTCCAAGGGTGATGGTTGTAAAGATTAATTGAAGGGATGTGCAGAATTGCCAGGTGCAGGGCCTGGTGATAGAGGTAGGTGGTGGTGGTGATGGTGATGGTGATGTTGATGGTGATGGTGATGATGGTGATGATGATGATGGTGATGATGGTGATGGTGAGGATGATGATGGTGATGATGATGGTGATGATGGTGGTGGTGATGATGGTGGTGATGATGGTGGTGGTGGTGATGGTGGTGGTGGTGATGATGGTGGTGATGGTGGTGGTGGTGATGATGGTGGTGGTGGTGGTGGTGGTGATGGTGGTGATTGTGGTGGTGGTGGTGATGATGCTGATACTGGTGGTGGTGGTGATGATGGTGGTGGTGATGGTGGTGATGATGGTGGTGGTGGTGATGGTGATGATGGTGATGGTGATGATGGTGATGATGATGGTGGTGATGGTGGTGGTGATGGTGATGATGATGGTGATGGTGATGATGGTAATGATGATGGTGGTGATGGTGGTGGTGATGGTGATGGTGATGATGGTGGTGATGATGGTGATGGTGAAGATGGTGATGGTGATGATGATGGTGATGATGGTGATGGTGATGGTGATGGTGGTGGTGGTGATGATGATGGTGGTGGTGATGATGGTGATGGTGATGAGGATGGTGATGGTGATGATGGTGGTGGTGATGATGGTGATGGTGGTGGTGGTGATGATGATGGTGATGATGGTGATGGTGATGATGGTGGTGATGATGGTGAGGATGGTGATGAGGATGGTGATGGTGATGAGGATGATGGTGATAATGGTGATGGTGCTGACAGTGGTGGTAGTAGTGGTGATGTAGCTATGTTGAGTGCTTATCCTGTGCCAGGAACTGTGCTAAGTGTTTTACATGCATTTTTTCCACTCAATGCCCCCAACAATCCAATGAGATCTGTGCTATGATTATCTCCATTTAACGAAAAGAAAATGAGACATCAGGAGTTAGGGAACCTGCCCCAGGCCTCAGAAATACTGGGTATTGAAGAGGCCTCTGACCTCAAGCCTGCCTGCCTCCAGAACTCCAGCTCACAACCAGTAGGTTCTGCTGCAAGGAATTTTGAAGAGAAAATGCTTTAACTCGGGTGCATTTGTCATGTTGCCAGTGGCCAGCATCCACCCATCCCTGACACTGGGTCCTGTGCTCAGCACTTCCACACATCCCCTCAGTCAATCCTCAAAACCATTGCCTGTGGAGGTAGTTATTATTGTCCCCACTAGACATGTCACTGTCAGAGAAATTAAGAAACGTGTCTCTAACACCCAGCTATCAGGCAGCAGAGTCAAGAAAGGAGCCGGCAGCTCTAACTCCAAAGCTGGCATCCTTCCCACCACCTCCATGTTGACAACAGCAACGGGACCCCCCAGCAGTGAGCTCTGTCCTCTAACACCTTATCTCACCTCTCCCAACAGGCTCAAGAGGAAGGTACTGTCATTTTCCCTATTTACAGATGAGGAAACTGAGGTTCTTGCCACTCAGGAAACGCCTCAGGAAATAGCATAGCAGCTAAGGAACTACTATGTCCTCTGCCACAGACATGGGACATGGTATCACAGAGCACATGAGGGGATAGTGAGCTCTCCCTGGAGTTTACCTTCTGGACTTGGCTTTTGAGATATTCTGAACATCTTCTCCCAGCGCCATCACCTATCAACTCCTGGGGCTGGTGGAGGTCTGGAAGTGGGTTGAAATGTTTCTCATTATCCCCATGCTATCATCCCCACTGTCACTTATTAAGCATTTGCTAAGTGTGGACATGGCAAGGGGATCATCGTGGCAGTTCTTGGCACCCCACCCAGACCTTCACACCTCACACCCAATGTCTTCTTCAAGCCTCACAATAACCCTACAAGGTAGGTTCTATCATTTCACTCCACTGGGAGAGAGGAACCTTGGGAAATAATATATTACGCCCACTGCAAAGGCAAGGAAAACAGACGATTATCCCCTTTTTGGGCTGGTGCATCCACTGCCCAACTCCTGTGAGTTGTGAATGTGCTGCTAATAGCTCAGAGCTGCCCCTCCTCTAGGGAAGCACCCTCAGCCCAAAGGGAGCTGCTCTTTCCACAAAGACATGCAGTCCCTACCCAACACTCAGAGCCAAAGCACTGACAAGGAGGAGCACCAGAGGGCAAGTCTCTCCCCTCTGCTGAGACTAACTCTGTGTCATCATTCTTGTTCCAGGGCTCCCACAGGGTCAAGCTGAGGTCTGGCCTCCTGCCTCTCAGCTCCTTCCCTTGCCTCTTCTTGCCTCCCTCACTCCCTCACTCCCTGAGAGCACCTCCTCAATAAACCTGTCCATTCAACCCCAGTCTCAGGCTCTGCTTCCAGGGATGAGGGAAGATGGCTGCATGAGCCATGCCCCTTGCCCTCAGGGGTCTTGCAGGACAGATGGGAGACAGGCCACAGGCAAACGACAGGATCATCCACAACACAGGAGGCACAGGTGGAGAGGACAGGGGTTGAGAAGATGGAAGACGTCATTGAAGTTGGGAAGATGGAGAAAGGTTTCATGGAAGAAGGGGGCTTTATGGGTGATGGACTGGTAGGACTGGGTAGGAGACAAGCTTTCCAGGCAGGGAGAAAGTTCCAAGAAAGGTCCGAGATGGGTAGAAACCTTTGCCCCCATCCCTCCCATTTCCTCTTGTCCAGGGTCCATGACCAGGGACACCATCCCGGGGCAGAGGAGGTGGGGGCTCTGTTTAGATGATTGTAATAATGAGTCTAGCGTCATCTGAGAGCATCAGGTCTTCCCTAGAGGGCCATGCCGGCTGACCCTGAGGCCAGGAGGGAGTCACTCCACTGGCAAGCTTCCCTTGAGAGGCCGGGGCTTGGTCCACCTGAAGAGACCACCTCCATTCGAAGGGACAGAGCGCTCAACATACCTGCCAGACTGTGGGCCTAGGGGCTTGTTCACAAGGATTCAGTGATGTAGTAGGCAGCTCCTAGAGCCCCCAGAGCCACAGCCACAGTTCCGAGGGCTTGGAGGACACGCGTTACGATGACTGGAGGGTTTTCTTGAAGATTTTCTGTAGAGCAAAGCAGAAGTGGGGGTGGTGGGAAGCTGGGCTTCAGTGCCTCTCTACGAACAGGAGAAAGTGGAAATTATGTGGCCCCCTCAGGATTGCAGGAATACCCATCTTCCCCCTCTCCAAACTCCTCTTAGGAGAGCATTTAATTCTTCCCATCCTTCCAACAAGTCCCTACTGAAAGACCCCTGAGGATCGGAGGGTGAGCTGGCCTGGGATGCTAGCTGCCCTGAACACTCAGAAGGGGACCAGGTTAGGAAGGTGGTCAAGTCTGCTGTGAGCCAGGCCTTGTGCTAAATACCTCACACCCAGTGTCTTCTTCCAGCCTCACAACAACCCTATGAGGTAAGTTCTATCACTTCACTCCATTGAGAGAAAGGAACTTGGGAAATAATATATTACACCCACACAAAGGCAAGGAAAACATGACTAAGGCAATAATTGTGAGGAGGGCATTCAAAAAATGCAATACCCGTTTTGATAAAAATCCTACAAAAATAGGGATTCTTGTTTAATGTGAATGTGGATTGAAAGCCAAGAGCCAACATTACACTCCATTGAGAAAAGCATGCCAGTGCTAAAATTGGAGCAGAATTAAAACTACATGTCTTGCCCTGGCCAGATATGGACCCTGTCTCTCCCTGCTCACTTTCCTGATTCTGAGCCTCACGCTTGCCTTTTCCTGCACCCAGATTGCTCCCGCTTTTCATCTTAAGCCAGAGAGGACTTCAAGATCCTTCTGGACTCGGCTCACATGCTGTTGACAGGAACCTTTCAGAGGTTCCTGTTGGAGCCTGTTCCTGTTGGAACCTTTCAGAGGTTCCTGTTGGAGCCTCTCCTAGAGGACACAAGGCTCTTTGCATCTTGCATCTTGGTTTCTAAATGCATGGGTCTTAGCTCTCCATGTCGACTGCAACAATTTTAGGGGTAAAGTTCCCTGTTCTGGTTTCCCTCACAGTGCCCCATGTCCTCTGCATAGTAAGTTTCCCTCAATAACACTTGCTGGTTTTAAAACGATATGAACCCATGGCACGATTTGGCCATGGATGGATGGAAGTACTAAGCGTGTGGGCAGGGTGTGGCTAACGGTGGCAGGCAGACCTTTCCTTGACGGAGCTTACTGGGTGGTGGAGTATTTTTGGCTCCAAGCGTGTTCTCCCCACACGCCCCGGTATCTATTTACTTATCTCCATGTGTAGGAGAGATGGAGTTTTTCAGCTCCAGAAAGGAGAGGGGATTGGGTAGGGAAGAGGCTGGGAAGAGGAACAGGACAAGGATGGGGGTTGGGGGGCCTCAGTTCCTGGGGTGGGGGTGTGAGGTCGCCAAGTGGAAGGGCCTCTTCCATTGAGATCTGTGAGGCCCTCAGGTGGGGCAGATGGCGACCCCTCTCCCAGCCCATGCATGTAACCTAGCAGCGCCCAAACGTGGGAACATCTCCAGTCTGTTCCCTGCATGGATGGGGTCTTCCTATGAGGGCGGTGGCAGCCATGACACTGCTCCTGGTGGCTTTTTGGGAAGAGGAAGGAAGGACAGATACTATGGGTGATGTCATGGGGGCCGCCACCAACAGACCAGCCTGGGGGCAGATGTTCCCTGTGGAGACCCCCAGAAAGAGCCCAGCACAGTCTGAAGGGGGCTGACGTCTTGCTATTGTGTGGAGGAGGCATATGAGTTACAAGTAGTTTTTTATCATTAAATTCTGGGCGACATTCGTAGGCAGATCAGGAACCTAAGGCCCCTGCCTATGACACAGGCCACTGAGGGCCCACGGAGGTGCATGGCCAAACAGTGTTTAAACACAAAGCTCCTGAGCGACTCTGTGAAGGGCTGAGGGGGAGAGTGTTCTGAGGAGGGGAGGGCATCTCTGGAGAAAAGAAAAAGGAAGCCCCTGAGGAGGAATCCCAGTGAGGAAGAAAACTGGCACCTCTCTGTACAGGCGGGGTGGGTACCCCGGGGGTGGGGCCGGTCAGAAAGGGCCCTGCCTGCCAACGTCCAGGAAGTGGGCAAAGCAAAGAGGGAAAGAAAGGCTTTCCTTCGGCCTGGGATTCCCAAGAGGAAGTGATACATGATTGCTAATAAGGTCTGGGGGCAGAGCCTGGCCCTGGGGACTGTGTGCCCCGAGGCTCCAGCCCCTCGCGCTTGGAACCTGTAGAAGGTGAGCAGGTTGGGGAGTCCTCTCCCTGGCGCCATCTGCCAGTCCCGAGGCAGAAGGACATCGAAGATGCGGCTATGGCATAGCCCCAGACGACGCCAGCAAGCGGAGCTGCAGGGGCAAGTGGCACAGGAGCAGGAATGCGGGCCGGCGCGAATCAGAGGCCCTGTGGGGACAGAAGGAGAGAGGTGAGGGAGGCACCTGCCCTGGGAGGCTGGGGCGGGGGAGTCTGGAACACAGTCTGAGAAGGCCCCCCACAACGGCAGCAGCTGCAGGATTACCAGGGCGAACGCTGGATTTTTTCCAAGGCATCATTGAGGATTTGGGACTGAACTACCTAAGGAAGGCAGTTCTCCCACAAAATGTTCTCTAACCAAACAGAAGAGAAGACTGACCGCATGGGAAAATGGCTGTTTTATACTGGTGCTACCTGGGAGTAGCAACAGCGACGACAACAACGATGATGATGATGGAGGTGGTGCTGATGGTGCCATGGCTTACACCTTCAGGATGCTTTGCACTTAGCATGCTCATCTCATTTAATTTCACAGTAATCCTGTAAAGGGGATACTGCTGGTCTTGTTTTACAAATAAGGAAACTGAGGCTCAGCTAATTTAAGGGATATGCCCTTTTGGGGAGTAGATTACAGAAGTTGGCTTTCTCAACTCAGGCTTTCTCACGTTTAATTCAGTGAAAATGGAATTTCAGGTGACTGCTCACCTCAGGAGAGGCTGCACTGACATTCCTGGAATTGGAGCTGCCACGTTCCATTGATCTAGAGCATTCTGATCCATCCAGAAGACAACCACAGCTCTAGTTTCCAGTCCCGATCCTATTTTCTGTTTCTGTCCTCCTCTGGTATGGATCCCAGCAGAATGTAGATGATGCCCTCTGTGGTTGGGCAAGATAATTTCTGGCTGGATTATTCCCTCCTGTTTCCTATCTGTAGCCCTGCGTCTTCTTGACAGAGCTACAGATTCTTCTGACCCTAAGCTGCATGAAACAGGTGGTCAACCTGGCAGATTCAATACACTTTCTGCTTAGACTTGCCCACGACACGTACTTTCCCGGAATGAGGAGAGGGGATTCTAAAGGCAAGACTTGTCTTTTTTTTTAATTACAAAAAAGTTTTTAAATTGAGATATCATTCCCAGGCAATAAAATTCACCCTTTTAGAGTGCTCAGTGGTTTTTAGTATATTCACAAAGTTTTGTGGCCATCACCACTAATTTCAGAACGTCTTCATTTCCCCAAAAAGAAACCCCATCTCCATGAGCAGTTACTCCCCACTCTCCCATTTCCCCCAGTCCCTGGCAATACATTTGCCTATTCTGAACATTTCATGTAAATAGAATCATTCGATGTGTGGGTTTCTGGGAGACTGGATTCTTTCACTTAGCCAAGTGTCTATAAGGTTCATCCAGGCTGTACCATGTATCAGGACACTATCTCTTTTTATTGCCAAATAGTATTTCACCATACTCATTGTACTGTGGTATTTCATACCACATTTTGTTTATCCATTCATCAGCTGATGGACATTTGGGTTGTTCCCACTTTTTGGCTATTACAAATGCTGCTGCTTTGAGCATTTGTGTACAAGTTTTGGTGTGCTTCTAATATGCTTAATAAGATGCTTCGAATTCTCTTGGATGTATACTGAGAAGTGGAATTGCTGGGTCATAAGGTAACTTCATGTTCCTCTGAGGAACCACCAGACTGTTTCCACAGCAGCTGCACCATTTTACATTCCCGCCTACAGTGTATGAGGATTCCAGCTTCTCTACATCCTCACCAACACTTGTTATTGTCCATCCTTCTGATTATACCCATCCTAGTGGAAGACTGGCATTTTCTTGAGCTACAATATTTCTGCACACAAAAAGGCTTGGATTTTAGAAAATGGCACGCTTTACTTGCAGGCCCTCATCCTTCATCTCCAACATTCCTTTCTACGCAGAGAATTCCTTTGGAAGAAGTATAGGGTGTCTGCTGTAACCACTGGCGAGCCACCACCATTTCTTGCTTTCTTGCTTTGCCTGTTCAATGGGCCAAATTCTTCTCTGAGTATGAGTCACATGTGTTCATTAAAAGACTTGGGAATGGAAAGTCTTGCTTTCTACCAGTACTGAAGATGCCAGTTCTGAAGATCATAACCCAGAAATGTTTCTCTCACTGGCTGATGATCACAATCTTTACAACATATAGTATGGTGCTCAAAATCAATATCATATGTCAAGAAAGGTTTGATTCCTGGCCATGGAAGGATCATTGGCATGGCATGCCTTATATTTAGCACTCTCATCTCCATCACTTATTTATTTTATGCCCACACAATCCCGGGGGGTAAACTGTGGCCCAGGGAGTGTGGCCTGTTCAAGGCTATGGAGTCGTGGGCACTGGCTCATGGCAGATCCAGGAGATGCTCGGACAGAGATGTTCTTCCTCTTGTGGAGACTCCTAGGCCTCTTGGAATGGAAAGGTCAGTGCTGTGGTTTAAAGTGAGGGTTCTGGAGTCAGAATAGAGTGGGTTTCCCTTCTCAGGGCTACCAGCGTCTGCTCAGGAGCAACCTGTTTGACTCCTATGAGCCTCAGTTTCCCCATCTATAAAATGGAGATAATATGGAAGAACTTTTATAGGATTATCACGTGTGAAAATTAAGACACCTGATCTGAATGCTAGGTACACAGTAAATGCTTAGTGATAATGTTAGTTTGCTATCACCATTATTGTTAGTAGTATAAACCAGCCCACCTCCTGAACTCCACTTGAATTCCCTCTACACAATCCAATGCTTATACAGACACTGTTTGGCTCCCAAGAAGACAGGGAACCACTTTTCCTGACAGCCATTCCATTTTCAGACAGAGCTAATTGTTGGGAAGTTTTTTATGTTGAGCCGAAGGCTTTCTGTCACTAATGTCTTCCATGGGTAAGATTGCTAATTTAGCAAATAAAAATATAGGATGCCCATGCAATACTGGGGACACACATACTAAAAATATTATTTGTTGTTTACTAAAATTAAAATTTAACTGAGAGTCTTGTATTTTGTCTGGCTATCCTATCCATGGGCCTGTATTTGTCTGTTTTCACACTGCTGATAAAGACATATCTGAGACTAGGCAATTTACAAAAGAAAGAGGTTTGTGGAACTTACAGTTCCACGTGGCTGGGGAGGCCTCACAATCATGGTGGAAGGTGAAAGGCACATCTCACATGGCGGCAGACAAGAGAAGAGAGTTTGTGCAGGGAAACTCCCTTTTTTAAAACCATTAGATCTCATGAAACTTATTCACTATCACGAGAACACCACGGAAAAGACCCTCCCCCGTGATTCAATCACTTCCCACTGGGTCCTTCCTACAACACCTGGGAATTCAAGAAGAGATTTGGGTGGGGACACAGCCAAACCACATCAGACCCTTAGATCTCTGAGGACAATAAGGAACAAGTCTATTCACATCTTCCACTTGACAGACAGACATCCTCCAATTCCTTCAATTGACTGTCATACACTAAATGGTCTCCCTGATCCTTCTCATCCTCCATCAACCCAGACTATCTTCCTTGGACTAGTTTGTCAGGCATCTTTTACAGCCCAAAAGGATAGCTTGATGAGGACAGAATAAAGCAGTATCATCACCTCCCTTATTCTAAACCATATACTTCTATAAATGCATCCTTGGTTTTTATTTTTTAGCAGTTGCATGGCACTGCTGATTCCTAGTGAGCAAGTATTACTATGGAACCAAGTTAAATGTTTATATGTATGTGTGGCTGTCTTCAGTGAGACTCAGGATGATGAGAAATGACAAAACCCAGGAATCCTGGTCTCTTGGGTAGAAACAAAAACAAAAACCTTCCCACTCTACAGCACAGCTCCAGGATACACGTTAACCATGCATCACTATCCTACAAGAACCAGCCTTTGGGATGACCCAGAACTCCATCAGCAGGAAGGCTGGAACTGCTGAAGCTAGAAGACAGCCCACCTGCTTTCCTGGATTGAGGGGCTGCCTTCACGTTAGCATCTGGAGATAAAAGGCAGCAAGAGGAGCGGCGGATTTCGGGTGCTGGAAGGGCTTGGAATGCTGGCTGCCGGGAGGTGGTTTCAAGGCTGGAATGCTGTGGTGTGGATTCAGGGCTAGGCTGCTGTGGTGTGGATTCAGGACTAGGCTGCTGTGGTGTGGATTCAGGGCTAGGCTGCTGAGAGGTGGAATTGGAGCTAGCATGCTGGGAGGTGGAGTCTCGGTGGCGTCTGGCCTCTGACCTTTTCTTCTTGACCTTCTTCATGGTAGATCCTCCCAACCTAAACGTGGACCTACATGGAGCTGCGTAATCTCCCGGCTCCCTCCTGGAGGGGCCGTTTGCCCTCTGCCCTAGGAGCCTGGCTTGGGCCTCCAGCTGGACCCAGGCCCCACAGAGAACAGTGACCCACACCTCCTGTGAGGTCATAAAAGCCAGGGTGGCTCCTATGGCAGGGCTTCAAGGGACAGTCTTCTCTGCAGACACCAGCCTGGTGTCCTCCTTCATCCCAGGCTGCCAGGCTAGGCAGGGGACAGCGGCTGCCCTGGTCCTCACAGCCCTGGCTACGGGGCTGGTGACAGCCAGATCCTCATGCTTCTGCGACCTGAGCGCTGCCTTCAGACACCTCTCTGCTGGCGTGTTCCTGGGTCCATGTGAGCTACCTGTTTTGCTCTAAGATACCCTGGATGTGACGCTCAGCTCTGTCACTGGCTTCCACATACCCCCTACTCCTACACCTCAAAAATCCATGTTCCCCACGCATTCATCTTCAGGTCAGCTTCCTGAAGATTTGGAGCTTCTTCGAAGGCTTTACCATGGCCCAGAGCCTGCTACCATCTCAGAGTAGCTTACCCCTTCCCCCAAAGCCTGCCCTCCCGCACTGTGGGAGGGGAGTTTGGGGGTTGACTTGACTTTTATAAGAACCTTTGCATTTGGCAGATAATTTTCCCTGAGAACATAACAGCTGTTCAGAAAACTAACATTTGTCTCAAACTCATGGCAATGGCAACCACAGACTATCTCCCAAACCCCAATTGGTTGGGTTAAACAGGTGACTGAATCTTTCTCTAGATTAATTAATTTAATGTGCTCATTAAATGTGATTTTTGTTTTAGGATGGAAGAAGGAAAAGTATTTTTAAAAGACAATCTGAAGCTCATACTGTGACTGCAACATAAAATGTGTTCACCTGAGGAGACTGCTTTCATCGCCAGTGTGTCACAGGTGGGTGAGTGTGGGACTGGCAAGCGCAGGAGCTCCTGCCCCAGCGGAAGGTTTAGAGCAGACCTATGCAGATAAAAAGGGCTTCGGTCACGCCTGTAATCCCAGCACTTTGGGAGGCTGAGGCGGGCAGATCACGAGGTCAGGAGATTGAGACCATCCTGGCTGACATGGTGAAACCCCGTCTCTACTAAAAATACAAAAAATTAGCCGGGCGTGGTGGTGGGTGCCTGTAGTCCCAGCTACTCGGCAGGAGAATGGCGTGAACCTTGGAGGTGGAGCTTTCAGTGAGCCGAGATCGTGCCACTGCACTCCAGCCTGGGCGACAGAGCGAGACTCTGTCTTAAAAAAAAATGGGGGGCTTTGGGCCACACAAAGCCAGACCCAACATGAACTCTGAAATGACAGGACATAGTTTAGGGCTTCTAGAGCCTAAAAATACCTTAATGATGACCTTTCCTCAGAACACTGAGGTTTAGCGAAATTAAGTTACTTTCCCAGGGTCACACAGCTGGCTGGGGGCATCGGAAGGACTAAATTCCAGTTTGGGGCTCATTATTTTCATGATCCCAGAAAACAATAGGGAGTCAGATAATTATACAGGCTTTGAAATAATGAATTAAAAAGTCCCCCAGTGGCCTGGTGCGGTGGCTCACGCCTATAATCCCAGCACTTTGGGAGGCTGAGGCGGGCAGATCATGAGGTCAAGAGATTGAGACCATCCTGGCCAACCAACATGGTGAAAACCTGTCTCTACTAAAAATACAAAAATTAGCTGGGCATGGTGGTGCACGCCTGTAGTCCCAGGTACTCAGGAGGCTGAGGCAGGAGAATCACTTGAACCTGTGAGGCGGAGGTTGTGGTGAGCCGAGATTGTGCCACTGCACTCCAGCCTGACGACAGAGTGAGACTCGTCTCAAAAAAAAAAAAAAGGTCCCTGAGCGAGAAGATTGAAGAAAACAAAGGCAGGAAGGATCAGAAGTGAAGGCAAGCTCAGCTCAAGAGTATTGGGTTGTGTTTGGTTGACCTTGGCCTAAGGAGGCTCTGGGAGCAAGTGAATCTGTATGAAGCTGGTAATTTCCTGAAGCCAAGAGCAATGGAACCCTTGAGGGGACTCCATTTAGAATCAGAGAGACTGGAAACCGAGGCCGGGAACCCTGTTGAGATCTAGCAGACAGCTCAGGAACTCCTAAGGCATTAATCTCTGCAAAGTTGGATTTTCAGGTACCAATGGGCTTCGGCCGAGGGCCTCAACCTGGTTTAAATCAGTGTTTTTCAACCTCAGCCCTGTTGACATTTTTGGGCTGAGTAATTCTTTGTTGTGGCGGGTCATCCTGTGTATTGTAGGAAGTTTACCAGATCCCTGGTCTTTACCCAGTCTTTACTCCCCCCTACCCCAGGACAACCCAAAATGTCTCCAGATATTGCTAAATGTCCCCTAGAGATGGGGTAGGAGTGTGTGTGTCCACATTGCCCCTGATTGTGCCATGTTGGTGTAAATGAATCAGATAGGAGCAGACACATATAGGTAGAACTTCCTGGTAGCAATGAAAGAAATATTCCATTTTACCAGAAGGAGCCAAACAGGGCACAGAGAATGAGTCTCTGTCTTCCTGTAGAAAGATGGAGGAAGCACAGAGGGCAGGCCGAGGGAGGAGTGGGGAATTTCTCTGTGGCAGCAGCAAAAATATGTGTGAATTCTTTAGTAAGAGTGGTCCCAAGAAGCAGAGAGAGGGCACCTGTGGAAAGAGGTTGTCCCAGAAGAATGAGGAAGAATGGTCCCTCAATAGCTCCTTGCTAGAACGTCTTCCCTGCAGCCCCCACCTTCTTCTTCTTCTTCTTTTTGTTTTTGTTTTCAGAGTCTCACTCTGTCTCCAGGAGTGCAGTGGCCCAATTTTGGCTCACTGCAACCTCCACCTCCCGGGTTCAACTGATTCTCCTGCCTCAGCCTCCCGAGTAGCTTACAGGCATGCTCCAGGCTCCTGAGTAGATTACAGACATGCGCCGCCATGCCTGACTAATTTTTATAGTTTTAGTGGAGACAGGGTTTCACTCTGTTGGCCAGGCTGGTCTCGAACTCCTGACCTCAAGTGATCTGCCTGCCTTGGCCTCCGTAAGTGTTGGGATTACAGGCATGAGCCACTGCGCCTGGCCCCACTGCTTTCTGTTTGAGCACCTGTTCCTATACAGGAAGCCTGGCTCTTCCATAATACAGCCACAGCCCACTGCCCAGTGCTTATCAGCCACTACTACTACCTGTGTCCAGCTCTAGCTAACCGTGAACATCAGAGATCTCATGAACAGGCTGAACATTCCTGCATTTTCAGAAGCCCTTCTCCTCTATCATCCCTCTCTGCACCTCTACCAAAGCATTTTCTGGTCAAGCCCTATCTCAAGTGGATAAATCTCTTCATAAAGCCTTTCTAAGCTGGGCACAGTGGCTCATGCCTGTAATCCCAGCACTTTGAGAGGCTGAGGCGGGCGGATCACCTGAGGTCAGGAGTTTGAGACCAGCCTGGCCAACATGGCAAAATCCTGTCTCTACTAAAAATATAAAAAAATCAGCTGGGCATGGTGGCACACGCCTGTGGTCCCAGCTACTCAGGAGGCTAAGGCAGGAGAATTGCTTGAAACCCGGGAAGTGGAGGTTGCAGTGAGCGGAGATCGCGCCACTGCACTCCAAGCCTGGGCCACAGAGCGAGACTCCATCTCAAAAAAAAAAAAAAAAAAAAAAAGCCTTTCTTGAGATCTCCAACTGGAAGCCATCCTTCCCTTGCTGCTGAGCTCCGGGGCACCTCTTTGTATGAGACTGGTCATATTCTGAACGGCATTAGAATTATTTCTGTCTCTGCCTTCCCTCTCATTCCCCAACCCCAGATGGTGGAAACCTCAGAAGGCCACAGTCCAGAGTAGGGGCTTAATGCAAGCTGCTGGAACTGAATAAAGGTAAAGTTAGGACAGAGAAAGCAGGAAGCTGCGACAGCAGGAAGCTGTGATGGGGGCAGGTGGGCATGTGGGATCAGGCACCTCCAAGGCTTCATCACCAAGGGGGTGTTTTCAAAAATGGACTGGGACTTCTCTGGCCTTGGCTGAGGATCACAGCTGGACTAGTCCATGGGCAAGGGAGTTTCCTAACTAGGGATGCCAGTCATGTGAAAATGCAGTAGACTAGGTAGGGGAAGGGAATTGGAAATTAGATAGTCAGAATAAGGTCTTGATGGGGTGAAAATTTCCTCCCAGAAGGTCTCTGATGGTTCTGGTTTCCTGGGCACCTAGAATAAGTGTGTCACCATTTGTCCTGAAGCTGACTTCTCTGAGCTGGATGGCACCCTGGACATCAACCAGCCCTTCACCTTCACGTCACACAGGAGGGACACTGGTCCATAGAGAGGATGCCTGCTCTGGTCACCAGCTGGAGAGTGGCAGACCTTGGGTACCTGACCTTTGGACTCTGCCACACAGAGCACTTCCTCAGTCCCTCCTGCTGCCCCTGGCAGGGTGGAGCTGGCAGGTAGGTTGCGGGACTTGGCGCTCCCTCAAGATCTCACTGCCCAGGGACCTTAGACTGACAAATTAATCCCGTGGGCCACAGGCCTGGTCTCCATAACAGAAAGGGTCTCAAGAGTTGCGAAGGAGAATCCTGAAGTCGGCCAGCTAGTCTAGCGGAGTTCCACCTGAGAGGGTTGCCATGAGGATCCAGGTGAAAAGCCCTTAGAACAGCGCCTGACTCACAAAAGGCGTGCTTTTAGTGTTATTATTCTTCCCTGGAGAAGACTAAAGAAGCAAGCAAGGGAGAGGAGGATGTGGAGAGGAGGGAGTGGGGCCCCGTTTCTACAAAGTCCCAAATCAATACCTTACAAAAGCGTGACCCCAAGTCATGGGAACCGATGCCCCAAGTTGCATGTGGGGCCAGTGAGTGGGGGTCGTAGCCCTCCGAATTAATTCGAACACCTCTGACGCTGAGATTGCCCCAGTGAGCACACCGGGAGGAACTCTAGTTCCTTACCACCCAAAACAGTACCCAAAACTCCTGGAGGCGCCAGGAGAGAGGCCGTGACTCCGGGGCTTTGTCCTCTACCCCGCGGGGCGGCAGGGTCGGGGTCCAGGGCTGCGTGTTTGAGCGTTCTCCGCCCCGGGGCTCCCCCCTCCCCGCGCCGACCCCTCACCATCGGTCTGCGTCTCCCGATCCATCAGGGAGACCCTGTGCACTTGCTGGCGGCGCGCTTGGAAGTCCAGGGTGCCCTCGGGGCGGCCGGGGCAGAACACGGCCGTGTGCACCTCCACGGCTGGGCTGTGCGGCGCGAGGACTCGGCTGAGCAGGGCCTCCATGCGGCGGCGCGCCTCGGCCTCCTCCTCCTGCTGCGGCTGCACCACGATCCCCACGAGCGCGGCGGGCGGACGTCGGTCCCGGGCGTGCTGCTGTTGCAGGAGCAGCTGCAGCCGCAGCAGCTGCGTGAGGAGCGCAGACGCGCGGCACAACACCAGGAGCAGCTGCGCGCCCCGCTCAGGCGGGTGCTGCGGTGCCCCGCGTGCAGACGCTGTGTCCTCTGCCGCGGAGGTGGGGGTCCCAGGAGGAGCCCCTGGCGCCTCGCGCGGGTCCTCGGCCTTGGGCTCCGAGCGCCGCGACTTCTTGGTGAAGCGCTTGGACTTCGTGGCCGGGCAGTCGTCGCAGTTCATGGAGCTGTCGCCCCAGCGCTTGGACCGCCGTGCGGTGCAGTTGCTGGCGCTGGTGTGGCCGCTCATGGCTCGGGCGGACGAGGGCCTGGGGAGCTGATCGGCTGCAGTGTCTCCTGGAAAGCTCTGCAGGCTCAGGCCGTCCTCATCCTGCTTCCAGAGCCCGCTGATCAGCAGCACCTGGCCGTGGCCCTCGACAGACTGGGCCGGGGCCTGTGGCTGCGCCTCCGCCTTCCTCTCCTGGGGTGCCCTGCAGGGCTGGGCCCCAGGCCGCTGCTCCATGTCCGGCCCGACACCCTCGCCCCTCTGGGCTCGGGCTTCCGTTGGGAGGGAAAAGCTGCCCTTCTCCGGAGCATGTCACAATACCCCTGAGCCCTACCTTTTCCTGTCGTGGCCAAGCACCTCCGCCCCGCTATTCCTTGGAAATCTAATATATAGGAAGTTGCTGTTGGACGCTGGTATAACGCCGACTGTGTTCAGTTTCTCCATTTTCTACTTTTGTGGTTTCAAAAGGTGCATCCTTTTATACCATGGATAAATCTTCGTCCCCAAGGCTCTAAGTAAGGCGAATTTTTATGCACCCGGGGCATTTAAAAAGCAGTGGACCAGATCTCATTGCACCCGCAACTCTTGAGAATCAGCGAAGAGTGGCGGCCTGGGTGGCTGGGCCCCGGCTCGGCCAGTCGGCTCTCTGGGTGATTCGGGCGCCGGAGTCTTGCGCTATTACGATATAAACGGGTGGTGTTGCCCGAGATGATTTTGGGCCCCCTCAGTTCCAGGCTTCTGTGGGTACCAGCGGCCTGTCAAAACGCCAGGAAAGGTCCTCAGGAAAACAAGACAGAAAGCATAGAACTCGTTTGCTGCCCAGCACGCGGGGTGAGCAGAGTGTCATGATGAGGCAGTACGGAGGGAACAAGGACGGTCACAGAGACTGGAAACCCAACGGTGGGGAAAGTTGTTCCCTTTGTTATTTTTCTTAAAATGAGCTTTACCAAGTTATGCTAAATTATTTTTAAAAATATAAACATAAAAAACTCTGAAAAGCAGGGTGTCAAACAGAAAACTCTGAGCTAGAATCCCGCTAAAAACTCCAGGATCCTCGGGCGCGGTGGCTCATGCCTATAAGCCCAGCAATTTGGGAAGCAGAGGTGGGAGGATTGCTTGAGGCCAGGAGTTCAAGACCAGTCTTAAGCAATATAGTGAGACCCCCATCTCTACTAAAAATACAAAAATTACTCGAGCCTGGTGGTGTGCCTGTAGTCCTAGCCATTCCCGAGGCGGAGGCAGGAGAATTGCTTGACCTGGAGAGGCAGAGGTTGCAGTGAGCCAAGATCACACCACAGCACTACAGCCTGGGCGACAGAGCAAGCCTAAGTCTCAAAAACAGACTAAACAAGTCTGCTGGAGTGCAGTGGCGTGATCTTGGCACACTGTGAGCTCCACCCCCCAGGTTCAAGTGATCCTCCTGCCTCAGCCTCCCAAGTAGCTGGGACTACAGATGCCTGCCACTCCAGCCTGGGCAGACTTGGTCTAAAAAAAAAAAAAAAAAAAAAAAAAAAAAAAAAAAAAAAAAAAAAAAAAGAAAGATGGATGCTAGACTTTCATCCAAGATAAATTAGACCTGACAACTTCACCATACAGGAATTGGCCTTTCCACAGGTTTACCCTAGTGTGGGAGTCTCAAGATTGAGATTACTAGGGGAGGTAGGAGGCCCTACCTGGGGCTGGGGCTTGCTTTTTGCCTTCTCTAAACCAGCTTTTATCAACATATCCTAAACTGGGGAGTACCAGGAAGGAATAGAGGTTCCAGACTCCCAAAACATGGATTTGAGCTACTCTGTCCCTCCTGACTGGGGTAAAGGAGCCCTAGTGTGCTGTCTTGTTCATTGTCAGTTCAACCTGCAGTCGGACAGTCATTGAAGAACCCTTGTACTAACTGTCTGACACGTTGGACTACCTTTAATCAGCCCCTGGCACACTGAAGCCATGGAACGGGGAGAGGAGCAGAGAGAGGTGGTGGGACTACCAGTCTCAGTGCGACCTCAGGGAGGGGATGATCCAGATGGCAGGGCTGCCAGCCTCAGTGTGACCTCAGGGAGGGGATGACCAGGCTGGAGTTAAGCCATCCCTAGGGTTCCCTGGGTCCAGCCCTTGCAGGGGCTTTTTTTTGTGCATGGTGGGGTGGGGGGAGACACTAAAGGTAAGAAGTGGCACTAAAGGCAGAAGCTCTGTCAGCTGGTGTTCAGAATGAATACCAAGACTCCTGGGCATGCACTTGAAACACCACGATTATATCTAAGTTGGTGTAACAAAGAGATCCAGAGATACGTTGGGTTAGGAATATTTATTTCTGCAGATGTCAGTGGTTCTGGGGTGTCAGGAAGGCTCTGCCATCCTCAATATGTGGCTTCCTTTCCTTTCTCCAGGGCAGCTGATCCAGGACCGTCCACTTCCAAGCCAGCAGGAGGATGGAAAAGCAGAATGGAGGGGAAACAACCTCCTTTGCAGGGCGTGACTCGGAAGTTGGACACATCATTTCCAGCCACATTCCATGGACCAGAATTAGCCCTGTGACCAACTCTGGCTGCCAGAAAATCTGGGAAATACAGTCTCTGCTTGGGCGATCAGGCAGGCAGTTATATCTTTGGGAACATCTCTCACCCCCTGGGAACACCTGAGCAGAAACTGAAGGACATTTAACAGATTCTCCTTTGTGTCTAATAAGAATTGCCCCCATCAGTCGGGGCTGTCCTAGGTGCTGGGTACATAGGTCATCTATACACAACCCAGCAATGGAGAGCACACCATTCCCAGGCTGCAGATGCAGAAACTGTGGCTCGGAGAGTTAAGCGTCTTGTTCAGATTCAGTCAGCTGGTAGATGGCAGGTCTGGGATTGAGACCCAGGCCTGGCTGGTCCTGCCAGGACACAGTATCACAGCTTTGACTGGGAGCTTCTTTTTGTTTACATATATTTTTTATGCTCAATGTGCATTCCTTTTGAAATACACAGAAAAGGGAAAGAAGCCGGAGTCCTGCCTTGTGTAGGAGGGATAAGTTAGAGGTGTGCACCGGGATAAATCTGCCTCCCGCGCTGGCCCTGGCCCTGGCCCTGGCCCTGGCCCTGGCCCTGATCCTGCTCCTGATTCTGGTCCTTGGGGCCTGGGCGGCGATTCCCGGCGCTGGCTGAGCGTCACCGGCCACCAGAGGGCGCTGCCGGGCTACCGGTCCGGTCGCCCGGGGATCACAGCCTCAGCGGACAGGAAATGATCAACAGCTTCTCCTCTCGGATCCACGTGGACTCAAGGAATCTCCGGGGGGCAGGACAGGTGCAGAGCCGAGTGCAAAGGTGGAATTCTATTCCCAAAGCACATCCCGCGCCCCTTTCCTCTGCAAAGTCCCGGAACCGCGTGACTCCGGATGAGTTATCGGGGCTGGAACCGAGGGTTCAGCCCCCTGCGCCTCTGTGTGTCCCGGTCCCTTTCCTCCAAGTAGACAGGAGGCATCTCCTCATCGGCTCAGTTCACATTCCTCCAGGGGCTCAAAGGGGACCCAGTCCCTGTCTTGGGACACCAAGTCAGGCAGACTCCAGGAGAGAGGAAGGAAGATGATTCCCGCGCTCAGGTAGGGAGCCCCTCCAGGAAGAGAGAAATGAGGGGTGTACAACGTGAGAGTGGAAATGCTCAGAAATAGTCAATGGCCTGGGCAGCTGAGCTTTCGTCCACGCCCTGGCACAGTGTGTGCGGCACAACAGAGGTGTTCAGTGAACGTTTTTCATTCAATCAACAAACACCCTGAGTGCCTCCGTGTGCAGGTCCTGGGCTAGGCTCTGGGGATGAAGTCCCTGCCCCCTGGAGCTTATACTCCGGTAGGAAAGAGTAAACAAGGTCGGCCACTACTATAACCTCACATGGCGCTGAGCTCTAGAGGAAATTAAAGCAAGATAAGGGCGCCCAATCCAGGGCTTATATTCCCCCAACCCCCACCCCCAGTCCAGCCCGGCAGTGATGCAGGGGGAAGGGGGCAGGGGTGTGGGGGGTGAAGAGGGCAAGGAAGCCACCCCCATCCTCTGGGCACAGCCAACAACCCCCAGTTTTATACAGGAGAGGCTTCTTGGGGAAAATGTCATTCCAGGAGCCCTCAAAGTGATGGGATCCACTGACTGGAAAGAGAAAAAGGTCCAAGAAGGAGGAATTCAAGCCCCTGAGGCCCCTTTGGGTAGAACAGGGCAGGGAAGAGCCTCAGGGTCGCACAGCCTGGAAGCCGGAGGGCAAAGAGGAGGAGATGGAGAGCCAGACTCCCGGAGAACCCCGGAGGGCCTTGGAGGGGCCAGGGGTGGGGAAGTGGGAGGATAATTTTATGCATCAATTTGGCTGGACCACGGTACCCAGATATTTGATCAGCCATTATTCTAGATGTATCTGGGAAAGTATTTTTTGATAAGAGTAACATCTGAATCAGTGGATGAGTGCTGAGTAAAGCAAATTACCTCACCAGGTGGGCGGGTCCTGCTCCCTCTGTTGAAGACCTGAAGACAAAGATTGACCCTCACCCTTCACCTCCCACCTCTTCCTCACCTTGGAAAAGAAAAACATTCCTGAGAGGGGGGATTTGTCAGCAGAAGGCTTTGGGACTAGAACTGCAGCATCAGCTCTTCCTGGTTCCCCAGCGCCCAGGCCTACCCTGCAGATGTGGGCTTACTGGCCTCCACGATCAGTGAGCCGGTTCCTTAAAATCAACCTCTCTCTCTTCCTCTGTCTCTCCCTCTCTCTCTCTCCCTGTCCACATCCCATTGGTTCTGTTTCTCTGGGGAAACCTGACTAATAAGGGGACTCTCAAGGCCCTGGCTGAGGATGGCAGGCCTGAAGATTCTCTGAGGCATTCAGCATTGAATGAGCACCAGCTGGGCGTGGAGCTGTGTCAGGCGCTGGGCACAGGACTCAGCCCCGGAACCAAGTGTGGGCCCACATGGTGTGGGCCTTTGTCTGTCCCTGTCATGGCTTTGGACACACGCGTGGCCCAGAGGGGACAACGGATCTGGGTGGCGAGGTGGGAAAGCTCACCCCAGTATTCCTCTTGGTGGCAGCAGTCCCTTAAGGGGTCGCCTGAGTCGTGAGACCCACAGGTGTGGACCTCCCCCCCCCCTTCCTCCCCTCTCCCCCAGTGACTTTATCCAGCACCTGCCCTGCCCAGCCTTGCACAGGTTACCCTGTGACCCACTCACAGGGAGATAGGGCAGCTTCTTTCTGCCCTCAGGAGCCTTGTTCTCAAGGCAGCTCATCCAAGAGAATAACATACAGTAGATTGCCACACACATGACTGTGGCTTAGTCCAGGAAAGCCACTTATAAAATCCGGAGGTGAAGGAAGAAAAGATTGAAATCTCTGTAACAAATCCATTTCCCTCCTCCCTCCCTCCCTTCATCTCCAAAGTAGACCTGCCCCAGGGCCAGGGATCCTCTCCCTGCAAGGCTAGGTAACAAGCGGATTTTTGCTTTTGAGCTTCAAGGTCCTGGCTTCTGGTGGTTTATAGGTGATCTTTGAGGGTGGTTTTGACGAGAGGCTTGTTAGCTTCTCTACGCTTTTGAAACGCCCACTCTCCCCACAAGAATCTGGGACTTTGCAGAACCGGTCCAAGGTGAGAGTAGGATTAATTGCCAAATGAGTTTTCTCATAAGCCTGGGGTCCAAAGTACATTGGACAGCCAGCAAATGCTTATGAGGGGTTTGAACAAGTGAAATCAAGGCTCAAGGTCATAGGACTCAATGGAGAGTGAGGCAGCTGGGATCTGGGATGACCGGCATGGGCCTCAAAGCAGGGGGCTTGGAAATAGGCCCTGAAGAGGGGGTCGCTTGCGTGGCTAGGAAGGGGTTGGGGCCCACTAGCATTTCTCAGAATGCCTATTTTCTTCGGCAGTGAGAGCTGGAGGGAGGGATGGGTTTCTCAGCACAGTTCCAGTATGAGTGGCTGTCACCACAGGGCGCCATTGCCAAGTCAGAAAGAAACAAAGCTTAACCGCTGCCTCCTGTCCCCCATGGTCTGTGAAAGTCTCATACTGTAGTGCGTCTAATGGTGGCCCCCCAAAAGATACATCTACATTATAATTCCTGGGACCCAGAAATGTGACCTTATTTGGAAAAAGGGTCTTTGACCTTATTTGGAAAAAGCGTCTTTACAAATGTAAGTGACCTTATTTGGAAAAAGTGTCTTTACAAATGTAATTTACAACATTGAATGAGCACCTGCTCTGTGTGGAGCTCCCTATGTGGCCCAGGCTGGTCTTAAGGATCGTGTGTGTGTGTGTGTGTGTGTGTGTGTGTGTGTGTGAGAGAGATAGGGTCTCACTGTGTCATCCAGGCTGGAAGGCAGTGGCACAATCACGGCTCACTGCAGCCTCAACCTCCCAGGCTCAAGCGATCCTCTGGCCTCAGCCTCCCGAGTAGCTGGGACTAGGGTTGCACACCACCACTCCTGGTTAATTTTTTGTGTGTATTTTTTGTAGAGACGAGGTCTCCCTAAGTTGCCCACGCTGGTCTTGAACTCCTGGGCTCAAGTGACCCACCTGCCTCGGCCTCTCAAAATGCTGAGATTATAGGCATGAGCCACTGTGCCCGGTTCAAGTTAAAGATCTTGAGATGAAATGATTCTTGGGATCATTATCTTGGACGGATTGTAAATCCCAGGATGAATGTCCTTATATGAGACGCGCAGAGGAGAGACACAGAGATGGAAGAGGAGAAGGCCATGTGAAGGCAGAGGCAGCGACTTGAGAGTTGCAGCCACAAGCCAGGATGGCCTGGAAGAGGCAGGAGCAGACTCTTCTTAGAGCCTCCAGAGGGAGTGTGGCCCTGCTGACACCTTGATCTTGGACCCTTGGCCCATCAGAGCTGTAAGAGAGTAAGTTTCTGCTGTTTGAGGTCATCTGCTGCAGGAGCCCCCAGGAACAAATACACCTCCCAATCCCATTTTTAATTCCCGAGGGTTTGCACCCCCAGGACACTTCTTCCACACATGCCCTGTTGTGCTCCGTATTGCCCTGTGTCCATTTGGAAGTGGGACTCCATCCTGTTGATACGTTCCACATAAAATATACTTGTACCAAAAATGTCTTGTTTTTAGGAGACTGTGGGGGATGGGAGTTGGGGGAAGGGTTCCATTTTCCAGGGCAATTATAGCTGTCCCTCAGTATCCTAAAGGGTTTGGTTCCAGGACTCCTGCAGGTACCAAAATTCAAGGATGTCCAAGTCTCTGATATAAAATGGCATAGTATTTGTAAATAACCTATGCACATTCTCCTGTATACTTTAAATCATCTCTAGATTATTTGTAATACCTAATACAATGTAAGTGCTGTGTAAATAGTTATTGTACTGTATTAGTTTTAAAATTTGTGTTATTTATTATTATTATTTTGAGACAGAGTCTCGCTCTGTCGCCAGGCTGGAGTGCAGTGGCATGATCTTGGCTCACTGTACCCTCCGCCTTCCAGGTTCAAGCGATTCTCCTGCCTCAGACTCCTGAGGAGCTGGGACTACAGGTGCATGCCACCACGCCCAGCTAATTTTTGTATTTTTAGTAGAGATGGGGTTTCACCATGTTGGCCAGGATGGTCTCGATCTCTTGACCTCATGATCCTCCCACCTTAGCCTCCCAAAGAGCTGGGATTACAGATGTGAGCCACCGTGCCTGGCCTATTGTTGCTATTATTAAAAAAAAAATTTGGAGATGAGGTCTCAGTCTGTTGCCCAGGCTGGAGTGTAGTGACATGATTATGGCTCACTGCAGCCTCAAACTCCTGGACTCAAGCTATCCTGCCACCTCAGCCTGCCGAGTAGCTGAGACTACAGGTTCGTGCCACCACACCTGGCTAATTTTTGTTTTTTTGGTTTTTGTAGAGCTGTGATCTCATTATGTGTTGTCCAGGCTGGTCTCAAACTCCTGGCCTCAAGTGATCCTCCCACCACAGTGCTGGGATGGCAGGTGTGAGCCACTGTGTCTGGCCTGTTGTTATTTTTAAATTGCTTTTCTTTTTTCAAATATTTTTGATCCATGGTTGATTGAAATCTTGGATGTGGAACCAGGGGGTAACTGAGGGCGAATTGCACTGGGCTTTCCCTTGACTAAATTTGGGCAAAATAAAATGATCTCTAACCTTTGTAAAGCTAATCAGACACCTCTAGGGTAGCAAATCCTAAAAGAAAAAGATCAGGCATATGAGTGCGTGTGTGTGTGCACGTGTATCTGTGTTGCCAAGCTGTTCCCTCCCCCACCCCCACCACTTTGCTTTTGGAGGCAAAGGAAAGGCACCCTCCTGGCTAGCAGGCCAGATGAGCCTTGTCACCTGGGGGATAGGATGCGACCCAGATCTGCTCCTGAGCACAAAGATGAGCAAAATCAAAGGAAATTGCATGAGACTGAAGACCTTCTGTGTGGTCCTCCTGGGAGTGGCAGAAGTTTCTGGTGGAGGCGCAAAACAGGCCCCTGCTACACATAACTTCCATAACCACCAATCCACAGGCAATCCACCCACCCACACCACATCCCAGGCCTCTCCTTTCCGTGCCTGACCTGTGCTCCCGTGGCCTGCATGGGTGTGAGTCGCCTCTTTCTCCACTGCAGGCCTCTTCCAGGATGTCCTGGTGAAGAACACCACTGCCTGTCCAATTATACTAGTCAGAACCCTGGGAGTGTCTCTTGACACTCCTTCTCATCGTCCGCCAAACCCAGCCCATCCCCAAAGCCTGTTGATTGTATTTCCTGCTTGTCACACAAATGCCACCAGCTTTGATGGGCACCTTGTTCCTCCCCTTTGTGGTACTTGTCACAGTTGCAATTTGCCTGTGAGCTCCGCAGAAGACAGATGCCACGGCTGCTTATTCCTTGTCGTGTCCCTGGTTCCTAAAACAGTGCCTCGTGCATCACTGGTGTTCAATAAATACTTGCCAAATCATTGAATAAATAAGCAAATGAATGAAGGAATGCAGTTTTGAGTGAGGATGGTGTTGAAAAGGAATAAAGCCTTCCCCAGTAGTGCCTGAGGTCCATGTAAGAATGTCCTAGATGATAAGACAGGAGACACACGGGCGTGGTAGATGGGCTCTCCCCACCCCTCCCCATAAGAGTGCAAAGCTGGGACAAGCCAGAGGCTTCACAGGCCTGGTAACTGGGGGGTAGGGTTTGGTGATTCCTACCCAGGGCTGGGGGCATCGGGAGGCTCTTCCTCTCTACCTGGACTGTGTTTACCAGGTGTGTTTCCCATTCATTATTTTCCAGTGGGTACTGGGTTCAAAGTTTCTATAAGCAGTGGGGGCTTTGAGGTTCGAGGAAAGTGTAGTATAGCTTTCTCTTCCTTTTAGGAAGATTTCTGTTTTTCTTTTTCTTTTTTTTTTTTTTTTTTTGAGACAGAGTCTTGCTCTGTCACCCCAGCTGGAGTGCAGTGGCATGATCGAGGCTCACTCCAACCTCCGCCTCCCAGGTTCAAGTGATTCTTGTGCCTCAGACTCCTGAGTAGCTGGGATTACAGACATGAGCCTCTGCACCCGTCCTAGGAAGATTTCAAAACGAAGATGAGTCTATTGTAATTTAGAGGGCCATTTTAAACTCCCTGTGTTGGTGGCAGATGGTTTGGGTCTGGCAGCTAGCTCTATCCCAACCTTCTCTATCCACCCTGCAACTCCCTCCCCTCCCCCTCACATTTTATTTTGAAATTTTCAAACATTCTGAAAAGTTCAAAGAAGAGTACAATGAACTTACCCTGGATTCTCCAACTGTTAACATTTTGCCACAATTGCTTTGTCTCTGTTGGTCTCTCTCTGTCTTTGTATATTTCCACATACTTTTATTTTGCTGAGCAATTTGAAAGCAAGTTGCTGACATCTTGACACTTCACTTCTAGATATCTCAGCATCTCCTAATAAGGATATTCTCCCACAAAACCACAATACCATGATCACAACCATAATAGCACCCAGTGTACTATCTGTATTCAAATCTCTACAGTTGTCCCCGGAAGAGCTTTTAATGCTGGATTTTTTTTTCCTATCCAGGATCCAATCAAGATCATGTATGATATTTGGTTGTTATGGCTCTTCAGTCTCTTTTCATCTGAAACAGTCTTTCACCTTTTTATTGTTGTTGTTGTTCTTTGTTTATGTGAAATTAGTTTTTGATAAAGAGTCCAGGACAGTTGTCTTGTAGAGTGTCCCATATGTGGGTTAATCTGATTGCTTACACAAGATTAGATGCAGGTTGAATATCTTTGGCCAGAGTTCTGTACTGCATAGGTGCCACTGTAGACTTCTCAGTCAAGTATCACATCTGGAGTAAATAATGTCAATATCACATCTGGAGTAAATAATGTCAGGCATCACAACTGGAGTAAATAATGTCAGTATCACATCTGGAGTAAATAATGTCAGTATCACATCTGGAGTAAATAATGTCAGTATCATATCTGGAGTAAATAATGTCAGTTATCACATCTGGAGTAAATAATGTCAGGCATCACATCTGGAGTAAATAATGTCAGGCATCACATCTGGAGTAAATAATGTCAGGCATCACATCTGGAGTAAATAATGTCAATATCACATCTGGAGTAAATAATGTCAGTTATCACATCTGGAGTAAATAATGTCAGTTATCACATCTGGAGTAAATAATGTCAGTTATCACATCTGGAGTAAATAATGTCAGGTATCACATCTGGAGTAAATAATGTCAGTATCACATCTGGAGTAAATAATGTCAGTATCACATCTGGAGTAAATAATGTCAGTATCACATCTGGAGTAAATAATGTCAGGCATCACATCTGGAGTAAATAATGTCAGGTATCACATCTGGAGTAAATAATGTCAGTATCACATCTGGAGTAAATAATGTCAATATCACATCTGGAGTAAATAATGTCAGGTATCACATCTGCAGTAAATAATGTCAGTATCACACCTGGAGTAAATAATGTCAGGCATTACATCTGGAATAAATAATGTCAGTATCACATCTGCAGTAAATAATGTCAGTTATCACATCTGGAGTAAATAATGTCAGGCATCACATCTGGAGTAAATAATGTCAGTATCACATCTGGAGTAAATAATGTCAGGTATCACATCTGCAGTAAAAAACATCAGTATCACATCTGGAGTAAATAACATCAGGTATCACATCGGGAGTAAATAATGTCAGTATCGCAACTGGAGTAAATAATGTCAGGCATCACATCTGGAGTTAATAATGTCAGGCATCACATCTGGAGTAAATAATGTCAGTATCACTTCTGCAGTAAGTAATGTCAGGTATCACATCTGGAGTAAATAATGTCAGGTATCACATCTGGAGTACATAATGTCAGTATCACATCTGGAGTAAATAATGTCAGGTATCACATCTGGAGTAAATAATGTCAGGCATCACATCTGGAGTACATAATGTCAGCCACTCTTGGTCATTCTGAGTTTGATCACTAATCCTCACTCTGCTTCCCCTTTTGTAAGTAATTTTTAGAATCTTCACATGGTCACAGGATTAACTGAATATCCAAGTCACCAAACAGTTTTGGCAACTCTTGGTGATGCTTACCTGAAGGAAGCATTACATTGGAGGTTGGAAAATGGTAGTTTTTCATTCTTTTATTCCTGCTACATTTACTAGCTGGCCTTTTTTTCTGTAAGAATTTCCAAATCCCACTATATTAAAAACATTAATCACTGTGGGTTCGTGGAGTTTTAAAAATGCTATAATTGAAACTACAGTTATTCATTTTGATGTTCAAATCATCCCACATTTGAGCAGTGGGAGCCCTCAGGTCAGCTCCTGAATCCTTTTGACATGATCACATTTATCTTCCAAAACTGTTTTGCTTTCTGGTGTGACAAGAGATTCCATGCTCACGTTGTACATTTTCACCCCTGACCTAGAATCTACCATTTCTCTAACGAGCCCTGGTGCCTTTAGTGGTGAATGGTATAGAGAAAGAAAGAACCTGGTGATATATGCGATCATTGCTACTCGGCTGTCATTCAGTGGACAGGATTAGAAAACTCATTTTAAAAAAAATTACAAGTTCAAACTGATATATTTCCTACTCAAATTTAACATTACAGTTTTTCTTTCACTTCTTTACTGACTACTAGTATCTTTTTTCCCCGTCAGTAAAATATATATTTGCTTATTTGCTTTCCACTATACATGCACAAAAGAGTTTCAGAATTACAAGACCAATATTACTGCTAACAGTAAACATACTAAATAGAAGTTTTTCTATAGTTCTTCTGTTCTTAGAACAGATCCTTCTCCACAATCAGAGTGTTTGCTCTGTGTGGTTGTGGTATCAGTTTGAGGCGTTATCAGTTTGATTTCCTTCTTTTGCATTCTATTGTAGGGTATTCTTTATCCCACCTTTTTAACATTTAATTTTATTTTTAAAATACGTGAAACATTTATGTAGTTAAAAAGTAAAAATGGGTTGAGAATAGTGGCTCACACCTGTAATCCCAGCACTTTGGGAGGCCGAGGTGGGAGAATTGCTTGAGCCCAGGAGTTTGAGACCAGCCTGGGCAACGTAGGAAGACCTCATTTCTACAAAAATAAATAAATAAATAAATAAATGAATAAATAAATAAATAAATAGCTGGGTACGGTGGCGTGTGCCACTGGGAGGCTGAAGCAGGAGGATTGCTTGAGCCCAGGAGGCTGAGGCTCCAGTGAGCCACTGCACTCCAACCTTGGTGAGAGAGCGAGACCCCGTCTCTGAAAAAATAAAAAAATAAAAAGTGACAATGATATGAGATATACAAGAGAAGCCTCACTGCCGTTCCTATCCCTTCTACCCCATTCCTTCCCACCTCCACGGTGAATGCCTTCCATTAGTGTCTGTTTAATACTGTATTTCTTTTCACAAAAATAACACATACACGTATTCATTTTCTCTTCTTTCCATATGAAAGATGGTATAATATATATCCTCCTTTGCATCTTACCCCGAACCTCATTATCCGTTCACACAGACCTCTCATGCTCACATTCATTCCTTCCCATTTCAGAACATTCTGCTGTCACATGGAACCTGTTCAGGGTTGGTTTTTGTCTAATCTATATTAATGCTAGTTATTTCAGAAGACCATGCAATACCCGTGAAAACTTCCCCTTCGCTCTCAGAAAGTTTGCACAAAAATCAACTCACAAAAGGCAGGTTAATTAGATAAAACACTATGAATTTATTTTAACGTGTCAAGCATGGGGAACTGTAGCAGAGTGATTATTCGATAACCCAGCGGGGTACATATGCTTATATACCCTTCTTCTTAGGGGAAAGGGAGATGGGGCAGTGTGGATGATTTTAGTTTAAGTGATTTTTAGAGAAATTCAATGGGCTTGAAGAACATACAATGGCCTGGGACAAAGTCTGTTGTGCCTGCAGAGTATACAACGGTTTGTGACAAAAGTCTGCCTAGCTGTGTTGATAGATGTCAGTCTTTCTTCCTGGATATGAGTTCAGTTCATGAAAATTTAGGAAGGGACCAGGAGTAATTGTTTTCTTCTTTAGTGAGTCTGGGCTTTAGGCAGATAAGGGAACTTCAGAGAACAACCTCATTCTGTGCTTTGAGAGAGACAGACTGAGACAGAGGCGGGGGTTGGGGGAGGTCAGAGAAATCTTGTGGCTTCTTCTTCAGTTCAGCATGTCACAGAGCCATATTTGGGGGTATTGGTTTCTGAGCCCCAGTCTCCATGATACCGGCTCCTTTTGAACTGGCATGACCTCTGGATTCTGAGAGTGTGAGAAGGCAATAGGGCGAAGGTCCAAATAAGGGTGAAGGACACAATGCAGGCTGTCCCCTCCTGTCTGGCCTCTAGTGTTCTTGTGTCTCTTGGGACGTGCGTGGCTTGAGAGATGGGTTTGCGGAGAGGGGCTTTGCCACTGGAGGATTATGAAGTGTTGCCAGGAGAGAAGTGGTTTCTGTGCCAAACACTTGCCTCACTCAAAGTGTAAACTTTTCAAAAATTAAGGCACAATTTATATAGCATAAAATTTGCCACTTTAACCATTTATTTTTCTTTCTTTCTTTCTTTCTTTCTTTTTTTTTTGAGACAGAGTCTTGCTCTGTCAGGCTGGAGTGCAGTGGCGCAATCTCGGCTCACTGTAACCTTGGCCTCCCGAGTTCAAGCGATTCTCCTGCCTCAACCTCCCGAGTAGCTTGGATTACAGGCATGCATCACCATGCCCAGGTAATTTTTGTATTGTTGGTAGAAGTGGGGTTTCGCCGTTTTGGCCAGGCTGGTCTTGAACTCCTGACCTCAGACGACCCACCTGCCTCGGCCTCCCAGAGTGCTGGGATTTCAGGCAGAGCCACCGCACCCGGCCCACTTTAACCATTTTAAAGTGTACATCCAGTGGCTTCAGTACGTTCACCGTCTCATTCAACCATAACATTTTTATCACCCCCAAAGGAAACCTCATACACATTAAAAAACCACGCCCCATTTCCCCCTCCCCCAGGCCCTGGCAACCACCAACCTACTTTCCGTCTCGAATGGATTTGCCTATCCTGGATATTTCATACATATGAAATCATACAATATGTGTCCTTTTGTGTCTGGCTTCTTTCACTTAGGTTCATCCAAGCTGCAGCATGCGTTGGTAGTGCCTTCTTTTTATGATGAAATATTCCGTTTTATGAATGTACTACAGTCTAGTTTATCCATTTACAGCTTATGGACAGCTGGGCTGTTTTTACATTTTGGTCACTGTTTTAACCTGTGTTTCTATTCTTCTGGGTACATACTAGAAATGGGACTTCTGGGTCATATGGAAACTCCATGTTTAAATTTTTTTTTTTTTTTGAGATAAAGTCTCACTCTGTCACCCAGGCTGGAGTGCAGTGGCATGACCTCAGCTCGCTGCAACCTCTGCCTCCCGGGTTCAAGCGATTCTTCTGCCTCAGCCTCCCGAGTAGCTGGGACTACAGGCATGTGCCACTACGCCAGGCTAATTTTTGTATTTTTAGTAGAGTCGGGGTTTCATAATGTTGGCCAGGCTGGTCTCGAACTCCTGACCTCGTGGTCTGCCCGCCTTGGCCTCCCAAAGTGCTGGGATTACAGGCGTGAGCCACTGCACCTGGCCCCATGTTTAAATTTTTGATGAACCAACAAATTGATTTCCACATCAGCTGCACCGTTTTACATTTTTCACAAGCAAAGTAGGAGGGTTCCGGTTTTCCCACATCCTTGCCAATGGTTATTTTCCATTTAAAAAATTATAGTCATCCTCGTGGGTGTGAGGCGGTCAACTGTTAATACCCTTTTTGACACAAGCTTCGGGTGTCAAAAGATATGCTCTAATGCTGCCCTTTGGCTTCACGAGGCTACTTAAAGCTTCCAATTTCCTGTAAATCATATTAGACTTTGTTATTGTTACATTAACTTGGTGATCCAAGGGACTCATGGCTGTAGGGGGGCAATCCTGTTATATTCTAAGTGCTGTGGTTTGAATGTGTCCCCCAAAGTTCATGTGTTGGAAACTTAATTGCCAGTGCAACAATGTTGAGAAGTGGCACGTTTAAGTGGTGATTAGGTCATGGGAACACAGCTCTCATGAGTGGATTCAGGCCATTATTGGGGTACTGGATTAGCTGTCACAGGAGTGACTTAGATATAAAATCAGGGAATTCTGCCCCTCTTTCCTTCCTCTCGCGTGTGTTCTCTCTCACGACGTGATGCCTTCCGCCATGGGATGGCCCTCACTAGATACCAGCACCACGCTCTTGGACTTCCCAGCTCCAGAACCATGAGCCAAATAAACGTCTGTGCCTTGTAAATTACCCAGTCTGTGGTATTTTGGTATAGCGGCAGGAGATGAACTAAGACACTATGCATGATGTTACCCTGAACATTTGCATGAAAACAGCTCTTTACATCACATAGCCACACTCAGAATGTGTTATGGGAATACAGAAAAACAGAGGTGGGGAGACGACATTAACTGTGGTGAGGGGGTGAAATAATCCTTGGGACCAGTGACCTTTAGGGGTCTTTTAAAGTGACTTGTGTGCTCAAAATAACTGGCCCGGGCCTGCGGAATCCGGGCATCCTGACAAAACCACATGAATGAGGAGAACGGCACTTTTCATGACCGGCCCCACCAGGGGAATTTTTCAGGCACGCATCTTACTCTGATGCTCAGGTCAGCTGGCTACCACTAGTGAGCCCAGGCCCAGAGGCTGGGGCACCCCAGTGAGTCAGAGCCCAGATCAGGGAGGGTGAGAATTACCACTTCCTGTCTATGAAAAACACTTAGATAAATGTCGGTTCCCACCATGGCTAAGAATCAAATAATATTCTTTCTTCGAGCCTCAACCTCAAGTGCCTGACAAACTCTTGAAAAACCCAAGGCACTGCCCAAAGTAGTTTACACGGGGAGGTCCAAGGTGGTTTCCCTATGGCTGGTTGATGATGTTAATTACGGTATTTTTCAGGATTGGCAGTCAAGCAGATGTTATTAACATTAACTAATTAATCCAGGTCTTATCGCATGTCACCTGACGCCAAGTAAAAGCACCAGAGAAGTTTGGAAGTGGAGAAATGCCACAGGGTGGATCAGGAAAGACAGGACAGAGGAGGGGCCATTTGTGTAAGACCTACCTGAAAGGATAGGTGGAAGGGGACAGTGGGAGGGAAGGGGAGGATTGAGGCAGGGAGGTAAAGGTGCCACCCCCACACAAGCATGGAGCAATGCCAAGTGTCCCAACATAGAATGGACTTCTGGATACATCCACTTTATCCCAAAATTATTATGACAATGTGATCAAAAGAGAATATTGTGGCCAAAATGTTAAAGTTTGACATTCCAGAACAGGAATAATTATATCTTGGCACCGTTCATGGTGACATTTCTTCCATAGCTACTGTACTGAATATTTACCAGGCGAAGAAGACACTTTCAACTGAAGTAAGTGGAGAAGTGACTATTTTGGGGAACCCCCAGGCTACCTAGGGCAGTCTCTTTAACCCCTAGGATCGAGGTGTAGTTATTAAAAGCATCCACTTTCATTGCCCAAAGTGTCCCAGTTTAGACAATAAACTATATGGTCACTCTATTTATCATGGATTTTAAATTATTTTTAAAAATTGTGGTAAAATAGACATAACCTAGAATTCACCATTGTAACCACTGTAAGTGTTGAGTTCAGTGGAATTAAGTTATGTTCACCTAGTACAACCACCACCAACTCCCCATCCCCCACTTCCCCCAGCTCCTGGCAACCAACCATAATCCTAATTTCTATGTCTATGCATTTGACTACCCTAGGTACCTCTTTAAGTGGAATCATACGGTATTTTTCTTTTTGTGATTGACTTATTTGACTTAGTATAATGTCTCCAAGTTTCATCCATATGAGAGCATGGGTCAGAATCTCCTTCCTTTGTAATGTTGAGTAATACTCCACTGCGTGTGTATTCGTCTGTTCTTGCATTGCTATAAAGAAATACCTGATACTGGGCCAGTCACGATGGTGCATGCCTGTAATTCCAGCACTTTGGGAGGCCAAGGTGAGAGGATCACTTAAGTCCAGGAGCTCAAGACCAGCCTGTGCAACATGGTGAAACCCCATCTCTACAAAAAATACAAAAATTAGCTGGGCATAAGCCGGGCGCAGTGGCTCATGCCTGTAGTCCTAGCACTTTGGGAGGCCAAGGCAGGTGGGTCACGAGGTCAGAGGATTGAGACCATCCTGGCTAACATGGTGAAACCCCGTCTCTACTAAAAATACAAAAAATTAGCTGGGCGTGGTGGTGGGCGCCTGTAGTCCCAGTTACTCGGAAGGCTGAGGCAGCAGAATGGCGTGAACCCGGGATGCGGAGATTGCAGCAAGCCCAGATTGCGCCACTGCACTCCAGCCTGGGCGACAGAGCTCACTCCGTCTCAAAAAGAGAAAAAAAAATTAGCTGGGCATAGCGGCCCATACCTGTAGTCCCAACTACTCAGGTGGCTGAGGTGGGTGGATCGATTGAGCCTGAGAGGTCGAGGCTGCAGTGAGCTGTGTCATGCCACTGTTCTGCAGCCTGGACAAGAGAGCAAGACCCTGTCTCAAAAAAAGGAAAAAAGAATAAAAAAAGACATACCTGAGACTGGGTAATTTATAAAGAAAAGAGGTTTCATTGGCTCTCGATTCCACAGGCTGTACAGGAAACATGATGCTGGCCTTCTGCTTGGCTTCCAGGAGGCCTCAGGAAACTTACAATCATTGCAGAAGACAAAGTGGAAGCCAGCACTTACCACGTGGCCGGAGTAGGAGCAAGAGAGAGAGGGGGGAGGTGCGGCACACTTTTTAAACAACCAGATCTTGTGAGAACTCACTCATTACACAGTACCAAGGAGGGATAGTGCTGAACCATTTATGAGAACTATGCCTTCATGATCCAATCACCTCCCACCAGGTCCCGCCTCCAACACTGGGGGTTATAACTAGACAGGAGATTTGAGTGGGACACAGATCCAAAACTATATCAGCAATTTATCAATGGATAAACACAATGTGTTATCCATTCATCCATTGATGGAAGAAGCACTTGGGCTGCCCCTACCTTTTGGCTATTGTGAATAATGCTGCTATGAACATGGGTGTACAGAAAGCTGTGTGTGGCTTTGCTTTCAGTCCTTTTCAGTGTACACCCAGAAGTGGAATTCCTGGATCATATGGTAATTCTTTTTTTATTTTATTTTATTTATTATTATTATTTTTGAGATGGAGTCTCACTCTGTTGCCCAGGCTGGAGTGTAGTGGTGCGATCTTGGCTCACTGCAACCTCCGTTTCCCAGGTTCAAGCGATTCTCCTGCCTCAGCCTTCCGAGTAGCTGGGATTATAGGTGCCTGCCACTGCGCCCAGCTAATTTTTGTATTTTTAGTTAATTAATTAACTAAATAATTAATAAAAAATAATTATTTTATTTTTAGGGTTTCACCGTCTTGGCCAGGCAGGTCTTGAACTCCTGACCTCATGATCTATGCACCTCGGCCTCTCAAAGTGCTGGGATTACAGGTGTGAGCCACCGCGCCTGGCCTCTATTTTGAATTTTTTGAGAAAATGCCATTCTGTTTCCAGTAGTGGCAGCACCACTTTACATTCCTATCAGTACAAGGATTCCAATTCTTCAATATCCTCTCTTTCTTTCTTATAATAGCCATTCTAGTGGGTATGAAGTGGCATCTCGTGGTTTTGATCTGAATTTCTCTAATTAGTGATGTGCTGAAGTGCATGGCACCATCATAGCTCACTGCAGCCTCAAAATCTTGGCCTCAAGTGATCCTCCTGCCTAGTCTCCTGAGTAGCTGGAAGTATAGCTATGTGCCACTACACCGAGCTAATTTTTTTAATTTTCAAATTGTTTATAGAGATGGGGTTTCACCATGTTGTTCAGGCTGGTCTTGAACTCCTGGCTGCAAGTGATCCTCCCACCTTGGCCTCTCAAAGTGTTAGGATTACAGGCATGAGCCACCATGCCTGGCCAGCCATTCTTCTCTAGAGACATATCTATTCAAGTTCTTTGTTCATTTTTGTATTGTGTTGTTTGTTTTTGTTGTTGTTTTTAAGTTTTAGGAGTTCTCTATATGTTCTGGATATTAATTCCTTATCAGATATCATCACGGATTTTTTTTTTACATGATTTTGAAACTTTTCTTCCTTGTAAAAGTTTGAGATATAAAGAATTCCCAGGCTGGGCATGGTGGCTCATGACTGTAATCCCAACATTTTGGAAGGCCGAGATGGGAGGATTGCTTGAGCCCAGGAGTTCAAGACCAGCCTGGGCAACATAGTGAGATCTCATCTCTACAAAAAATTTTAAAATTAGCCAGTCATGGTGGTGTGCACCTGTAGTCCCAGCTACTCAGGAGGCTGAGATGGGAGGATCGCTTGAGCCCAGGAAGTCAAAGCTGCAGTGAGCCATGATCATGCCATTGCACTGCAGCCTGGGTGACAGAGCAAGACCCTGTCTCAAACAACAACAAAAGCAAAAACAACAACAACAACGACAAAATAATTCCCAAACTGGGCTCTTACTGGAATGACTTATGGTCCAAATGTATAACTGAATTGTGTAACTAAGAATTAAATAGCCATCCTAAAGTTTATTTAGCTTAATATTACAAATGCAAGTACACCAAATAATTTTTATAAGGATTAGATGTCATAAAGTCTAATGTCTGTCATCATACTTAACAGTCTCATTTAAATCTTTATATTGTGTTGCATCATAGGTGATACATTGCTCTTTTTTTTCTTTTCTTTTTTTTTTTTTTTGTGAGACAGGGTCTTTCTCTGTCATCCAGGCTGGAGTGCAGTAGCGCAACCTTGGCTCACTGCAGCCTTGACTTCCTGGGCTCAAGAAAACCTCCCACCTCAGTCTCCTGAGTAGCTGGTACTAGAGGTGCTATTGTTCTTCTTAAAGTTATCTAGTTAACACATTATCTTAACCATCAATCTACTTCCCTATTTATCTGTTGAGAAGCTCTTAATAACTGTTTTGGTACATAAAGTAAATACCTTTCACAATCATCACTAATTATTGGCACATTTTGCTCCAGCAATAATAATGGTGCATTTATACTTCAATGGACTGATAGAACTTCAAAACCTAAAGCACATAATATTTTCTCACTCCTCGTTACATCTCACATGCTCAACTATAATTCAAAGTGAATATGCAGCCTTACCACCGAATTGGAATGGCCTGCCTTGCTGGAGTAACTCCAGATGATATGCAGGCTCCATATCATGATCATTTCTGTGGCCACCTGGTCCCTGATGGACTTCAAGGCAGTGAAGCTGTTACCAGTGGAGGGTGTCCAGGTTCTTGGCATTTTGAACAAAGAGTTGGACAAAACCCACAAACAAAGCAAGGAAAGAATGAAGCAACAAAAGCAGAGATTTATTGAAAATGAAAGCACACTCCATAGGGTGGGAGCGCCCCGAGCATAGGGACTCAAGAGCCCAGTTGCAGAATCTTCTGGGGTCCGAATACCCCCTAGAGGTTTCCCATTGGCCACATGGTGTTCACCCCATGCAAATAAAGTAGTGGCCCGAAATCAATCTGATTGGTTGCAGAAAGCAACTCATCAGAGACTGAAGTGAAGTTACAAAGTTACACTCCTATGCAAATATCTGATCGGTTGCAGGAAGCAACCAATCAGAGGTACTTTCAGTTTTCCAGCAGAAACGGGTGGGTGGTTTTCAAAGGGAGTCGCCCCTGGTCCTTTTGCTACTTAGGTATGGAAAGTTGGGGTTTTCCTTTCAATTTGGTTCTAGGAAGTCAGCGTGAATCAGCCTTAGGTTTCCTGCCTCCAGACCCTAGTCTCCTGCCTCAAAGTGGCCAGTCGGCTCTCGGGCCTTCCCAAGGCAGAAGGTGGAGCTGAAAAGCAGACTTCCCTGAATGCTGAGGCTAAGTTGAAAAGTGGTGTAGGCTCTGTGCAGCCCACCTGAAGAACAGAGGAAGGGAGCACCAGAAAGCTGCTTGGGAGCTGGGTCTCAGGATGCCGGGCAGAGGCGTTTGAGCTTTACCCCTTGGGTGGTAGAGCATGGACCACTGCAGGCTCTCCAGGTCGTGAGTGGGCGTGGGTGGACCCGTGGGCCTATTTGATTTAGTTTCTCTCTCCCACACCATGGGAGCCATCTTCTCCCTCTTGCGACTCCCTGTCTTATAAACCAGAGAAGATGACTAGTGCTTATGAAAAGCACTTTTGTGCTGACAGGTGCCCTAAGGCCACCATCATCATCCGTGAGGATTTCTCTTTTTGTCAGAGTGCTGCAGCAGCTGCAGCCTCATTCAGGGTCTGGCCTGTGTCCCCAGATTGCAGAGGAGAAAAGAGCCAACATAGGCCAGGCACAGCGGCTCACGCCCGTAACCTCAGCACTTTGGGAGGCTGAGGCAGGCAGATCCCTTGAGTCCAGGAGTTTGAGACCAGCCTGGGCAACATAGTGAGACCCCGTCTCTAAAAAAAAAAAAAAAAAAAAGCCAGGATAGGTGGCATGTGCCTGTAGTCTCAGCTACTTGGGAGGCTGAGGTGGGAGGATTGCTTGAGCCTGGGAGGTCGAGGCTACAGTGAGCCATAATTGCATCACGGCACTCCAGCCTGGGAGACTGCTGAAACGCCCCAAAAACAAACAAAAGAACTACCACAGACCCAACAGTACAAAATCCAAAAGACCTGAAAAAGGTATACCATTCAAAATAGGTATCCCTCCCATTCTGTCCTCAGGGTTCCTGTTTTCTTTTTCCCTGAAGGCAACCGGGCTTCCAGCTTCTTATGTGTCCTTGCAAAGATTTTTTTTTAGAGATTGTCCGTACAGTACCTCTACAAGCAAATAAGGATAAATAAGGCCTTGGTTTCTTTCTTTCTTTACATAAACAATAGTGTACCATACACATTTCTCTGTGCTTTCTTTCCACAATATATTTTGGAGCTTGTCCTACATTTGGTCATAAAGCATTTCCTTTTTCTTCCTTGCAGCTGCATGGTATTCCGTTACGTGGCTGTCCCATCGTTTTTTAACCAATCTCTTAATGATGGACAATTGAGTGGTTTCTGCTCTTTTTGTTATCAACAATGTTGCAGTAAATAACTGTGGATTTGTTATTCCACACGTGAGTATATCTCCAGGATGCATTCTTCGTGTAGAACTGTAGGGTCAAAGGGCCTGCACAGCTATAATCTTGATTAATATTACCAAAATTTCCCCCACTAGGATTGTACCCATTTACATTTCCACCGATGATTCTTGAGAGTGCCATTTCCCACTTTACTCACATCATGTGCTGTCAAGCTTTTGAATGGGTGCCAATCTGATAAGATGAAACTGGTACCTCAGTGTACTTTTAATCCTGTATGTTTCTTATTAAGAGTGACACTGAGGCCGGGCATGGTGGCTCACGCCTGTAATCGTAACACTTTGGAAGGCCACGGCAGGCAGATTTCTTGAGCTCAGGAGTTTGAGATCAGCCTGGGCAACATGGTGAAACCCTATCTCTGCAAAACACACAAAAATTAGCCGGGCATGGGGGCACTCACTTTTAGTCCCAGCAACTCAGGAGGCTGAGGCGGGAGGATCACCTGAGCCTCTCAAGAAGTAGAGGCTGCAGTGAGCTGTGATGGCACCACAGCACTTCAGCTTGGGCAACAGATCAAGACCCTGCCGAAAGAGAGAGAAAGAAAGGAAGGGGAGGGGAGGGGAGGGGAGGGGAGGAAGAAAGAAAGAAAGAAAGAGAGAGAAAGAGTGACATTGGTTGAGCAATTTTCTATTGTTTAAAAATCACTGTATTTCTTTTTTTGTGAACCGTCTGTCTGTTCATGTCCTCCTTGCCCCCTTTCTATTGGGTTGTTAGCATTTTCTCACTGATTTGCTTGTATATAAGTGGTGAAAAGTTTTTTTTTTTTCTTTCAGTTTGGCATTTATCTTTTGACTGCTTATGGTGGCTTTACAGAAAGACTTTATTTTTGGCCAGGCACAGTTGCTCATGCCTGTAATCCCAGCACTTTGGGAGGCCGAGGCAGGCAGATCACCTGAGGTCAGGAGTTTGAGAACAGCCTGGCCAACATGGTGAAACCCCGTCTCTACTAAAAATACAAAAATTAGCTGGGCGTGGTGGCATATGCCTGTAATCTCAGCTACTTGGGGGGCTGAGGCAGGAGAATGGCTTGAACCCAAGAGGCAGAGGTTGCAGTGAGCCAAGACACACCATTGCACTCCAGCTTGGGCGACAAGAGGGAGACTCCACCTCAAAAAAGAGAAGAAAAAAAGAAAAAAAAAAGCTCATAGAATAAGGGTACAAAGAAAATATTTTGTGCAGCTCTATATGTTGGTGTTTTATGCTAAGTATTATTATAAAAAAGTCCAAATGTTTTTAAAAATTGAAAAGTTTGTAAAATAAAAAAAGTACAGTAAGCTAAGGTTATGTTATTCTTGAGGAAAGAACAAATTTTTCATAAACGTGGTGTAGCCTAAATGTACAGTGTTTACAAAGTCTACAGCAGTGGTCGGTAATGTCCCAGGCCTTACCGTTCACTCACCAACCACTCACTGACTCACCCAGAGCAACCTCCAGTCCTGCAAGCTCCATTCATGGTAAGCGCCTTACACAGGTGTACCATATTTTTATTTTTCCTACCATATTTTGAACGATATTTTTCTATGTTTAGATACACCATTGTGTTGCGATTGCCTACAGTATTCAGTACAGAAACATGCTGCACAGGCTTGTGGCCTAGGAGCAACAGGCTAACCCATATAGCCCAGGTGTGCAGTAGGCTATGCCATGTAGGCTAACACGTATAGCCCAGGTGTGCAGTAGGCTATGCCATTGTAGGAACCCTACAATGTTCACACAATGAAACTGCCTTACAATGCAGTGTATTAGCTGGGAATTCCAGTATGATATAGAAAGGACTGGTGAGAGAGAACATCCTTGACTTGTTCATGATTTTACGGTAAAACATCTAGTTTTACACCATTAAGTCTAACGTTAAATGTAGGGGTTTTTTGTAGCTGTTCCTCATCAGGTTGAGGGAGTTCTTCTCTATTCCTAGTTTGCTGAAGATTTTGGGTTGTATTTTTATCATGAATGGGTATTGAATTTTGTCAGATGCTTTTTCTCCATTTATTGATGTGATCATATGATTTTTCTTTTTGAGCCTGTTGATGTGATGAATTATGTAAATTGATTTAAGAATGTGAGTCAGATTTGCATACTTGAAATAAATCTCAGTGTTGGACAAATCTGACATTATTGAAAGATTTGTTACCATTTCATTGAGGATTTTTGCATCTTCAATTCTTTTAAACATGTTTATGTTCCATATATGGCACAGAATGTGGTCTATTGTGGTAAATATTTCTGGTAAGCATGAGAAGAATGTGTATTCTACTGTTGTTGGATGAATTTGTTTATAAATGTCTATTATGTCCTGTTGATTGATGCTGCTGTTCAGTTCAGCTATATCCTTATTGGATATGTCAGCTACTGATCTCTTATGTTGAGGTATCCAACTATAAGAATGGATATTTTAATTTGCCTTGCAATTCTACTAGTTTTTGCCTTACATATTTTGACATTGTTAGGTACATATATGTTAAGAATTATTCTATTTTCTTGGGGAATTGATCCCTTTATCACTATGTAATGTTCCTCTTTCTCCCTTATAATTTTCCTTGTTCTGAAGTCTGCTTTATCTGCAATTAATACAGTTGCCCCACCTTTCTTTGATTAGAGTTTGTATGGTACGATGCATCCCATTACTTCTTTCATTTATTTACTTTTTAAAAGTTAGACATTCTTTTTGTGGTGAAATATAAATAACGTAAAAATTACCATCTTAACTATTTTTAAGTGTATAGTTTAGTGGCAGTCATATTGTTGTGCATCCATCACCACCACCCACGATGAGTTCATCTGGGAGACCGATCCATACTAGAGTGCCTCAGAACTCTTTCACCTGGGAAAACTGAAATTCTATAGCCATGAAACAAAAACTAATTATACTTTTCATCTCTGTGAATTTGACTACTCTAGGACATTGGAGAAGTGAAATCATACAGTATTTGTCTTTGTGTGACTGGTGTGATAACAAAACTATCACAAAAGGCTCTGTAAAAACCAAAACCTTGCACAAAAGCCATTGTAACCTTACACAAAAAAATACTTCCGCAAGGAAATCTGCCCAGCAAAGCTAAATGTTCAACCTTGGACAGGCATCACCTTTGTTACTGACTCTTGTAGCCAAGGATAATCATTTCAAAACAATCATATTGAGAGGTGACAGCGTGCTGGCAGCCCTCGCTCGCTCTCGGCGCCTCCTTGGCCTCTGCGCCCACTCTGGCCGCGCTTGAGGAGCCCTTCGGCCTCCCGCTGCACTGTGTGGGAGCCCCTCTTTGGGCTGGCTGAGGCCAGAGCCGGCTCCCTCTGCTTGCGGGGAGGTGTGGAGGGAGAGGCGCGGAAGGAGAGACGCGGGTGGGAACCGGGGCTGCACGGGGTGCTGGCGGACCAGCGCGAGTTCCGGGTGGGTGTGGGCTTGGCAGCCCTGCAGTAGGAGCGGCCGGCCGCCACCACCAGTCCTGGGCAGTGACGAGCTTAGCACCTGGGCCAGTAGCCACAGAGAGTGCGCTGGGTCCCCCAGCAGTGCCGGCCCGCCCACGTTGCACTCGAATTCTCGCGGGTCCTCAGCTGCCTCCCCGCAGGGCAGGACTCAGGACCTGCAGCCTGCCATGCCCGAGCCTCCCCACCTCCGTGGGCTCCTGCTCCGCCCGAGCCTCCGTGGCTCTGGGTCCCATCACCGCCCAAGGTGCTGAGGAGTGCGGGTGCACGGTGGGACTGGCGGGCAACTCCGCCTGTGGCCTTGATGCAGGATCCACTAGGTGAAGCCAGCTGGGCTCCTGGGTTTAGTGGGGACTTGGAGAACCTTTATGTCTAGCTAAGGGATTGTAAATACACCAATCAGCACTCTGTATCTAGCTCAAGGTTTGTAAACACACCAATCAGCACCCTGTGTCTAGCTCAGGGTTTGTAAATGCACCAATCAGCACTCTGTATCTAGCTAATCTAGTGGGGACATTTATGTCCAGCTAAGGGATTGTAAATACACCAATCAGCACTCTGTGTCTAGCTCAAGGTTTGTAAACATACCAATCAGCACCCTGTGTCTAGCTCAAGGTTTGTAAATGCACCAAGCAGTGCTCTATGTCTAGCTAATCTAGTGGGGACTTGGAGAATTTTTCTGTCTAGCTCAGGCATTGTAAATGCACCAATCAGCATGCTGTCAAAACGGACCAATCAGCTCTCTGTAAAACAGACCAATCAGCTCTCTGTAAAATGGACCTATCAGCAGGATGTGGGTGGGGCCAGATAATGGAATAAAAGAAGGCTGCCCAAGCCAGCAGTGGTAATCCGCTGGGGTCTTTGTTTCCACTGTGGTAACTTTGTTCTTTCACTCTTTGCAGTAAATCTTGTTGCTGCTCAGTCATTGGGTCTGCACTGCCTTTATGAGCTGTAACACTCACTGTGAGAGTCTGTAGTTTCACTCCCGAGGCCAGTGAGACCCTGAACCCACCAGAAGGAAGAAACTCCAAACACGTCCGAACATCAGAAGGAAGGAACAAACTCCGGACATGCCTCACTGCAAGGGTCACCGGCTTCATTCTTGAAGTCAGTGAGACCAAGAACCCACCAATTCTGGACACAATATAATCCTCATTCTTCCTCCTTGAATATGCAGTTTACTGTGGCACACACATTCCCACTGCAATGCTCTATTCCTGAATAAATATCTTTTTCTTTTAGAGAGCCTTTCTCTGTTATTTAGGTTGACAGTTTTTAACTGTCTTTTAGTATATCTTTGAAATTTTGGTTGAAAGCTGGACATGATGTATATGATAGTAGGACCTGAAGTAAATCGGCCTTATTGTGTGAGGTTTTATGTTAATCTGACTAGTAGCTGGGCCGTGTTTAATGTTTCCTATAGCTGTAGGTGCCAGAAACTTTAGTTTCCTCTAGTTTCAGGTATTTTTTTTTCTCTTCTGTTTTGACTTTCCCTGAGAACTCTTATTATTTTTTTTGAGATGGAGTTTTGCTCTTGTTGCGCAGGCTGGAGGGCAGTGGCGCCATCTTGGCTCACTGCAACTTCTGCCTCCCAGGGTCAAGCAGTTCTCCTGCTTTTCCTGAGTAGCTGGGATTACAGGTCCCCACCAACATATCCAGCTATTGTATTTTTAGTAGAGACAGGGTTTCACCATGTTGGACAGGCTGGTCTTGAATGCCTGACCTCAAGTGATCACCCACCTCAGCTTCCCAAAGTGCTGGGATTACAGGTGTCAGCCATTGTGCCCAGCCAAGAACTCTTAAATAACGTAAATATCTTAAATAACTCTTTCCGTTATAGTCTACTTTTATTATGTTGGAGCCTGTTGATGTGGGGTGGGTGTCTCCCCCAAATTCCTGTTCACCTGGAAACTCAGAATATGAGTTTATTTGGAAATAGGGTCTTTGCAGATGGAAGTAGTTAAATTAAGATGAGGTCTTGCTGGATTGGAGAGGTCCTTAAATCCAATGACATGGTCTTATAAAAAGAGGGGAGGATACATGGAGACAAAGACACAGAGGTGAAGGAATTCAGAACATTTCACCCCAAAATGTGTCACTCTGATGCAAGGATTATTTTGCACTAAAGGCACTTAACTAGCAGGTTTAAGAAGTTACTCTGGCCCTCCCTATTTTTTTTCCTAAAAGCAGGAGATAAAACCCTCTTGGAAGGCAAAACCCTCCTGGTAGGTAAAATCCTCCTGGAAGGACGATAAAACCTTCAATATGGAAGATGTCTTCCCTATACCAGGAGGAAAGTAAGGTTTTATCATCAAGAACAAAAAGTTGAAGCTGAGATAAATCTACACAAACAAACTTTGTTAACCTGACCCTTATCTTCCTAGTCACTTTTCTACCCAATTAACCACCCTAGTACAAGCCCCTTTGCCTTATCATATTTTCACAGTTTTACTATTCTGTGCCCAACTCAGCATATAAATGTTTAACTCTGATTACTTTTTTTGAAAGGTCTTCATGTCTGTTGTCCCCAAAAATCATATATCGGAAACATAATTCCCAGTGCAACAGTGTTGGGAGGTGTTTAGGTCATGAGAACTCCACTCTCGTGAATGAATTAATGATGCTATAAAAAGCATCACCTACTCTGCTTTCCACCGCATGAGGACCCAGCGTTCATCCCCTCGGGAAGACGCACCACTCAAAGCACCCTCTTGAACTCAGAGTCTGGACCCTTACCAGACAACGAACCTGCCGGTGCCATGATCTTGAACTTCCCAGGCGCCAGAACTGTGAGAAATAAATTTCTATTCTTTATAAATTACCTGGTCTGTGGTATTCTGTTATAACAGCACAAAATGGACTAAGACAATTTTCTTATGAAGGCTCCCATGACACATAAATCTTATATTAAATACATTTGTATACTTCTCCTGTTCATCTGTCTACATCTGTTTAATTCTCAGGCCCCACTGAAAGCCCTAGTAAGGTAGAGGTCAAATTTTGTCTCTCCTCCAGAGAGAAGGCCATGTGATGGTAGAGGCAGAAGTTGGAATGAAGCAGCTCCAAGCCAAAGAATGCGGAGAATTGCCAGCAACCACAAGAAACTAGGAGGCAAGGAAGGCTCCTTCCCAGCACCTTCAGAGGGGACATAGCCCTGACAACTTCCGGGCTGCAGAACTGTGAGACAATACATCTTTGTTGGTTCAGCCACCCAGTGTGTGGTATTTTATGGCAGCCCTAGCAAACTAATACCATAAGGTACTGGGGAGGGGAGGCATTGTGTAATCTTACAATTAAATCTCAGTGGGCCAAGTCCCTGCTGTGGCCTTTCTCTTTTTCTCCCCCGATGGAGACTGGAAGGCTAGAGGGGGCCTGAAGTTATCTCATTGCCCTTCCCCTAGGGCAGATAAGGCCCTGGTAAGGCAGTGTCCTTTGATGAGAACACTTAAGGAGAACAGAATGCTCTGGGCTTTCAAAATGGTTACTTTTCGGCTGGGCATGGTTTTAAATGGTTACTTTTCCTCTCCTGTTGCCTGAAGCCTGGGGATTTTTCTCCTGTCTTCACAGTGAGAAACTGGTGACCTTCCTGGAGGTAACCCCAGGAAAATGTGGGGCTTCCCTACTACAGGGACCCCAGGACTTTATGACACTTAAGCTAGCCCAAACACTCAGCCTCCAGCAATTCGTCAGGTACCATGTAAGTGCTCCTACAAGTTGCCGGCTCCTGGGTGGCTTCTGCTTCTGGAAGGTAAGTCGTGGTTCTCTGTATTCCTCTGTCTCTTCTATTTTTAGGGTGGGTGCTTTGCCTGTGACTACCATTCTCTGCAGAATCTAAGAAAAGTTATTGCTTTTCAGTTTGTTCGCTTTTTTCCTTGTAAAAATGGAAGTAATGACGTCCAGGCTCTTTACTGTGAGAGCTGTCTTACGGTGATTTTTTTTTGTTGTCATTCAGAAGTATTCGTGGTTTTATACTGGGATTCTACCTCCCTACTAATTCTTTTTCTCCTTCCCAAGGTATTTTTTTTTCCTTGCTAAAGACTATAGGAAAACATCTGAGTAACAAAAGTAAGACACAGGAAAGTTACAGAGGCCCAGAATCATAAAAACTCAGAGTACTGGCTTTCAGGTCTATGATTCTGCCTTCCCTTTTAGAAATTACTGGAAGCCTCAGTAACTTCTGTATCTTACCTTCCTGGCTGATGGTCAGTCCTCTTATACTGGTACTGCACATTTCTTATCTTGTCAGTCTAAAAAGTTGTTTCCTGTATGTTTCTTTGTCTTGAGCTCACTTTGTAAGCAACTTGAGGTCCAAGGCTCAGCCTTCCCTGACCTTGACAGCTTCCTGGAGTCTTGTGCAAAGCCAGTTTGTGATTAAGGCTCTGGGACAACGGGTCATCAGTTGAATTATATTCTTTCCTCCAGTTGGTTTGGTGTAGAATAAGTCAAATATATTTCTAAATTGCTTCTTGCCAGCACCTAAGCCCAGGCATGTACTGGTGGGTCTACTCTATGATCCAGGCTCTGATAGGGACGGGCAACCCCCAGGGAGAGCTTTTCTGAGTCTGACTTCTATGTCAAATATATGTCCAAACCCCTATTTCTCTTTAAAAACACTTCATATATCTGTCTCACAAAACCAATGCATGTGCATTGTAGATAACTTGGGAAATACAGGTAAGTGTATAAAGACAAAAATGAAAATGATCTATAAACCCATAGTCACTATTTTGATGCAATTCTTCTGGCCTTTTGCATTGCTAATACTCAGAGAGAAGGATGAAGGGTTGTTTAGCAATCAACAAAAATCAAGAATTACTGTTGCTCTGATTGTTTTCTGTGCATACAAAAAAAAAAATAATGCAGTGCTTTAGGAATGTGGCTGGGCAGGAACATGACTTTCGAAGTCAAATGCATCTGAGTTCAAAGGTCTGTCACTCACTGGACGTCCTTGGGCAAGCTGCTTCTCTGCGCTTCAATTTCCTCATCTGAAAAATGGGCCTGCTATCACCTACCTCATAGGATTGCTGGGAATAACTAAATGATTTTATGTATGTAAAGCAACTTTTTTTTTTTTGAGACAGGGTTTCACTCTGTTGCCCAGGCTGGAGTGCAGTGGCGCAATCACAGCTCACTGCAGCCTTGACCTCCCTGGGCTCAGGTGATCCTCTTGTCTCAGCCTCCTGAGTAGCTGGGACTATAGGCATGCACCACTACACCCAGCTAATTTTTAAATTTTTCTTCTAAAGACAGGGTTTCACCATGTTGCCCAGGCTGGTCTCCAACTCCTGGGCTTAAGTGATCTGCCCACCTTGGCCTCCCAAAGTGCTGGGATTACAGGCGTGAGCTAGGTGCCTGGCCTGTTGGAAGCCCTTAAACCACAACACTGGCAACAAAGTATTCGATAAATGGAGCAGCTGGAGGAGAAAAAGTGTGAGGAGGAGGAAGAAAAGTAGGAACCAAAGCTATGCTGATTTCCATTTTTGGAACTGCTGTGACCTCACACAGCACACTGTACTTCTCATTGTATTTCCAGTGGGAGAGTTCCTGCTGCTTGAAATGTGATTTATGACAGTTATAAACCAAGATTTCAGCTTGTCTTCATGGAAGAATGCCGGCTAATAAAGATAGAAAGAATGATAGAAATAGATTATCACTATTTTGTAAAGACCCTCGTTATAACTGATTCAGAAAATATGGTCAATGGGTGCTAAGGCCATAGGGTGAGAGGTCCTTGGGTATGGGATATTTACACATTACCAAACTACCATTTTGCAGATTATGTGTTAATTACAGTGGAGAGATCTTTTGGACATCACCTTAACTAAATGATCGAAATTAGGTTTATAAAATAAAAGACAAACATTGCATGTTCTCACTTACTTGTAGGATCTAAAAATGGAAACAATCGAACTCATGGAGGTAGACAGTTAGGATGGTTACCAGAGTGTGGGAAGGGGAGTGGTGGTGGTTGCAGGGGTGGGGGCACTGTCAGAGGGAGGTAGGAATGGTTAATGGGTACAACAAATAGAAAGAATGAATAAGACCTACTTTTGATAGCACAACAGGGTGACTATAGTCAATAATAACTGAAATGAACATTTAACAATAACTAAAAGAGTATAATTGGAATGTTTGTAACACAGAGGATAAATGCTTGAGGGGGATGGATACCCCATTCTCCATGATTTTACAATTGCATGTCTGTATCAAAACATCTCATATATCCCATAAATATATACACCTACATTGTACCCATAAACATTTAAAAAAATTTTTTAAAGTTAGGTTTACAAATAATGAGACTAACATTATATGCCTGCTGATGTGATAACAGTAGTACTCTCTTATGTGTGGTTTCACTATCCTGAGTTTTAGCCACAGCCTGAAAATGTTAAATTTAAAACTCCACAAATAATTCAAAAATTTTCTTCCTTTCTTTCTTTATTTATTACAACTTAAACTTTATTTACTTGATTGAGAGCTTATTGTACATAAAATGTTTTATGTGGTTGAGCTTAGCTTTGTTCACACTGACTTCAGGGAGTCTGATTTCTATGCTCAAGATTGTTCAATTGCTGCTGTTGCCCTTGGTTTCTTTTCTTTCAGGATCAAGATGGGTACTTTCACATAATATCTTATTTTTAATTCCTTCTCTGGCAATTCTTTCCTGGATTCTTTGCTTTGCATAATTATACCTACAATGAAACCAGCATCCCAAAGTCACCAAGATAAATCCTCCTACTCCAACATCACATGATTTTCTAATTCTACTAGTTAACAAAAAAAAAGTCCAAAGCCAGCCACAACAGATCCTAATGAACCATACAATATTGAATCCCGGGCACAGGGAATATTTTCAACACCTGAAATGCCTAGGAGCTTAAAGAGCTTCCCCTTCGCGGGCTCGCCGGGCTCCGGAGCGGCGGCCACGGGGACGACTCCCCGCCTCCACCCGCCCAGCACCGCCGGCGCCGCGGGAGAAGGAAGACCGGCCAGCCGCGCCCCTCCCCGTCCCGCCCAAATTCACAAGTTTTAAATCACGCGCTGTTCTGAGCAGCGCAGTGAAATCTCTCGCTGTCCCGCTCCATCCTGCTCAGGAGGTGAATCATCCCTCTGTCCCGCGTATCCATGCTGGAGACACCACCGGCCGTCAGTGATCGACTGTCATGGTATCGCAGTGCCGGTGTTCAAGGAACCCTTATTTTACTAAATAATGTCCCCAAAGCACAAGCGTAGTGATGCCAGCAATTCGGATATGCCAAAGAGAAGACCTCAAGTGCTTCCTTTAAGCGAAAAGGCAAAAGTTCTCAAGAAACAAAATCATTTGCTGAGATTGCCAAAAATCTATGGTCAGAATAAAATTTCTAATTCTGAAATTGTAAAGAAAGAAAAAGAATGTGTGCTGGTTTTGCTGTTGTACCTCAGACTGCAAAAGTGATGACCACAGTGCGTGATAAGTGCTTAGTTAAGACGAAAAAGGCATTACATTCGTGGGTGGAAGACCTGAACAGAAACTACTTCTGATTGGCGGCAGTCAGGCTTGGTACTCTCTGCAGTTTCAGGCATCCACAGGGGGATCTTAGAACTGAAAAAAAAAAAAAGGTTAATCTGAATTACATCATGAGGCAGTAATTAGGCAAATAGAGATTCCAGAATAGTCCGTTAGGCTCTCCAAGAATGTCAACGTCATGAAAGACGAAAAAAGGTAGGGAGACAGCTCTAGATGAAAAGGTATTAAACAGTCAAATACAACACATGAACCCTGATTAAATGCAAGATAAAGATTTTTTTAAAATACAGATTATGAGATAATATTATTGTATCCATGTTAAATGTTAAATTTCTTCATTGTGATCATGGTATTGGGTTATGTAAGGAATGTTCTTCTTTTAGGAGCTGCAGGTGAAGTATTTAGGGGTGAAGTGAGCATATGTCTGCAACTTACTCCAAACGCTTCAGCAAAAATGTATATATATTTAGTGAAGGGTAATTGGGTGTTTGTTTAACTGATTTTCAACTTTTCTGCAAGTTTGATATTTAAAAAAATTAAAAGATTGCCAGGAGTGGTGGCTCATGCCTATAATCCCAACACTTTGGGAGGCTGGAGGCGGGTGGATCACTTGAGGTCAGGAGTTTGAGACCAGCCTGGCCAACATGGTGAAACTGCCAACTCTACTAAAAATACAAAAAATTAGCTGGGTGTGGTGGTGCATGTCTGTAGTCCCAGGTACTCGGGAGGCTGGGGCAGGAAAATTGCTTGAACCCAGGAGGCAGAGGTCGCAGTGAGCTGAGATTTCACCACTGCACTCCAGCCTGGGCAACAGAGTGAGACTCTATCTCAAATAAATAAATAAATAAATAAATAAAGTAAATAAAATAAATTTGGGAATAAAATCCTGCTTTCAGGTAAATGTTAGAACAAGACCTCCCACTGTCCTAGCTATTGGGATTCTCCTAAGGAGAATTAGGAATCCTCTAGTTTAAAGACACTGGTGTAGTTGGGCATGGTGGCTCATGCCTATAATCTCAGCACTTTGGGAGGCTGAGGAGGGAGGATCACTTGAGGCCAGGAGCTTGAGACCAACCTGGGCAATATAGTGAGACCCTGACTCTACAAAACAATTTAAAATTAGCCAGATGTGGTGGCACACGCCTGTAGTCCCAGCTACTCAGGGGACTGAGGTGGGAGGATTGCTTGAGCCCGGGAGGTCAAGGCTGCAGTGAGCCGTGATCACACCACTGCAGGCACACTCCAGCCTGGGCAATGGAATGAGACCCCGTCTCAAACAAAACAAAACAAAACAAAACAAAAAGACACTGGCATAATCTTTTCTGGCTGTGTTTTCCCATATGAGTCTCCTTTATGGTCTACCATTTAAGTGTAATCCTTCTCTACATTTGAATTGTATTTGATTTGCTTTACAATTCTAAGAAGTTTCCATTGAGCTGATGTTTAATAGGCCCTTGAGTAGTGATACTGCTAATGTGCTACCAGATTTAGTCACTGGAACTGTCTTAACAGGCTGGAGAGAATGTAAGGTGAGAAAAGCCTGTGTCTGTGTTGTGGGAATTCTGTACAGTTATGTTAAGGTGAGCAAGGAATCTGTGTGAAAGCCACTTTCTTTCCTGAGAGCATCTGATGCACTGTCACGTGTGCCCATAACAAGGACTCAGATATGCTGTCACATCAAGGAGACATGGAAAATAGGAAGTCAAGACCTTTCTACTGGGTAAAAATGAGGAGAAATTTCCTTAAGGAAATAACACAAAATAATTAGACAGCTAACAACATTTGTTGTTTGTATTATCTGACAAAATTTCAACAGTGGATTGTGAATTATTCTTTTCTTTGCCACTCAAAGTAGATGGAGATCATAATTTCACAGAAATGGTATATGAGTTGGGATGCTAGCTCTTGGTGACAGATTACTGTCACATAGTAAAGGGATAAACATAGTGGGAGGAATTCAAAAGATGACTCTGTCCCTAACTGTAATTGCATCAAGGGATGACATGTTAGTTTCTTTTCACTTGCCAATTCCAATTGTTGGATGAGGATTGCTTAGAAGACTATATTAAGGATTCCTGGGACACTCCAGGCTCAGGGAGAAAGAGTACAGTAATTGATTAGTGATGTCTGTCATGACTTTTTTGAAAGAGTGCAAGTGGCATGGAAGCCATATTTGCTAACTTTGAATTCCAAACACAAACTAAATTGAATGCTTAAAAAACACTAACACCTTCAAGAAAGCATTTATTAAAGTAATGATCATTGGCCTTGGTTAGTGGGTACAAAAAAACAGAAAGAATAAATAAGATCTAGTATTTGATAGCACAACAGGGTGACTATAGTCAATAATAATTTAATTGTACATTTGAAAATAACTAAAAGAGTATAACTGGACTATTTGTAACACAAAGGATGAATGCTTTAGTTGATGGATACCTCATTTACCCTGATGTGATTATTACACATTGTATGCCTATATCAAAATCTCATGTACCCCATAAATATATACATCTACTATTACCCACAAAAATTAAAAATAAAAAGTTTAAGGCCGGGAGGCTTCGGCCAGTGGCATGGAAAGGAGGGAACTAAGACTGAAGTCTGAAAGCCAAGCTTTAAATCCAACAGAAAATGAACTAGAAGAGAGTTAAGCCGAGTCCTCTTCAGGACACAGAATGATAGCCAGCCCAGAGCAGGGGCTTGGCTCTGTCACTGTGGAAACACAGAGAAAGTTCTGGCTTGGATGGGGTGTTGGCAGTGCCATCTACACTGTGTCAGGGGAAGGGGCAAGGAGACCAGGTGCAAGGATGCACGTGGTCCACCTGATGCCAGGGGCAGCTGTTGTGGGCACGATTACGGGGCTGCATAGCCAGGGCTGTGAAACCTTTGCATCTCGGAACTTGCTCAGAAGCCCTCTGTTACGATTTGGCTTCCTGGGCAAGACAAGGTCCGTTGATCAGAAGCCAGTGGGAAGCTGTGGTTTCCAGAATGAGCTCAGCTAACATAAGCTTGCTCCACAGGCCTGCTCATCAGACCTTGGAGCCTCTCAGGCTGAGGACTCGCCTTGGGGATCCCCCACCAGGAAGGTGGTTCCAGGAGACCGGGGAGGTGGAGGGGACTGCCAGCCTTCATCTCCTGGCCGTGTGCAGACTCACACCTACTCATGCTCCTGGTTTTTAAGAAGATCCACACTGGACAGATGTGTATGCTGGATGCTTCCAGCCTCTCCAGTTTCCTAGGAGATCCTGCTCTTTAATGCCCTCCTTATAATCAGCTGAGGGACACAGGATGTACAGGGTTTTACCAGGTTCTTGTCCCCTGATAGTGTCTGGGAAGATGTGTTTATTTCCCCTTCCTGCTGTAACACATTGCCATATATTAAGTGGCTTAAAATAACACAAATTTATTATCTTACAGTTCTGTAGGTTAGAAGCCCAACACAAGTCTCACTGGGCTAAAATCAGGGTGCTGGCAGGACTGTGTCCTCCTGGAGGCTCTAGAGGAGAACCTGTTTCTCTGTCTTTCCAGCTTCCAGAGCCAGTTCTTCCTGCAGCCCTTGGCTCATGGCCCCTTCTTCCGTCTTCAAACCCAGTAACAGTGGGTTGAGTCCTTCTCACATCCTATCCCTCTGTCTCTTCTGCCCTACTCTCTACCTTCAAGAACTTTTGTGATTACATTGGGCCTATCAGGATAATCCAGGATAATTGGCAACCTTAATTCCATTGACAACCTTAATTTGCCATGTAATTTAACATACTCACCAGTTCTTGAGATTTGTACCTAGACATACTGGGACAGGGGAGATTATTCTGCCCACCTCAGAAGCCCCTAACAATGCTCCAGGATCCACACAACCACCACCTCCACCTGGTTGCTGCTGGTCACTTTAGCCAGCCACCTCTCCTTCCTTCCTTCTGGCCACCTGGGAACTAGCTTTTCTGGGGTGCGCATGCTTCCTTAGCCACTGCACCCAAGGATGGACCCAAGTATCACTCTAATTCCCCAAGGCCCAGCTGAAACAGAGGAAAACATCATGGTGACAACTGGCAGCAGAGGTCCTCATAGCTGGGGAAACACCTTGGCAACTGTTAGGGCAAATGGCGGAGCAGAGGACGCAGACATCGGCCAGCACCTGGGCCACCATGCAGAGGCTTCAGCTGCTGGAAGGAAGGAAAGAGGAGGGGGAGAGAGAAGGGCCAGGAAGGCAGAAGGTGAGAGAAGCCTGCCTCCAAGAGGCTGGCTCCTGTGGGGGCCGGCCTGAGGATGTTCCCTGGGGACAGGGTGGCCGTGGGCCATTTCAGCTGTGCAGATGCCCGATGGAAGCTTGTGTTTCTGTGATGTGAAATCTCCCTGTCTCTCTGCAGTCCCTGAGCTTCAGAAACGCCCATGACACCTTGTGGGCAGGGGTTCTCTATAGGACTCCTGGAAGAGTAGACAAGTAACTGACAAGCGGCACCATGGGAAAAGCAGAGGCTGTAGAGGTGTCAGCAGCCCTGCCCTGGGAATGTGCAGAAAACTTGGGAGGGCATTGGCCATCCCCAGATCACACAACAGGACATCCCACGGAGGGCTGTGGCCTTCCTTAGCCCTCTGGGCTCACAATGAGCCAACCTCATGTAGAGTTCAAGGCACGGCCAGGCTCCAGCTGACTTCTGGATCACACCTGCTAAGACCAGGTAGTACCTTTTAATCCAATATTATTACTGAAGGCTTGGGCATAAGAAGAGAGCACTTTAGCATAGAAGGAGCATTCCAAAGTGCTCACCAGGATTGTGGCTCCTGGCACACAAGCTGCGCCCGCCCTCAGGCTTTCCCTGTCCCTATAGGCCTTGGCCTGCTGCCTGCAGGAGGGTTTGCCCACATGTCCTGATGAGAGCTCAGGTGACCATGTCGTCTCTATCTTTGAGGTCTAGTAACCCCCCCTCCCTCTCCAAATGTACCTTCTCTTGCTGGATGTGGTGGCTCACACCTGTAATCCCAGCACTTGGGAGTTTGAGGCAGGAGGATGGTTTGAGTCAGGAGTTTGAGACCAGCCTGGGCAACATAGCAAGACCCCCGTTTCTGCAAAAAAATTAAAAAAAAAAAAATTAGCCGGGCCTGGTGGTATGTACCTGTAGTCCCAGCTGCTCAGGAGGCTGAGGTAAGAGGATCATCTGAGCCCAGGATGTTAAGGTTGCAGTGAGCCATGATTGTGCCATTGCCCTCCAGCTTGGGCAACAGAGCAAGACCCTGTCTCACAAAAAAAAAAAAAAAAAACCCCAATAACAACAAAAAACCCACAAATGTACCTTCTCTGGGCCTAATGAAAGGGAAAAAAATCCCTGCTTACCCTCAGTTGTCAAGATCCCAGCCAACTCTAAGTTGTGAATGGTACAAAGCGGAGCTGTCAGCCTTTTGAACTCCTCTGGGTCAAAGGGTAGGCTATTTTTAAGGCCCCTGGTATGTGTTGCCAAGTTGCCTTCTAGAAACCACATAGGCTGCCCTCTTCCCTAGACATCTGCCAGCACTAAGCATTGCCATCTAATAAATCTCTGCCAAGTTGGTATGAAAAAATCTCATTTTCATTTTTAGTTCTTTGATTACGTGTGTATATTTTAAAAATATGCATATTGTTTCAGGGAAACACTCCCAAACCATGTTTTTCCTCTGTTCTCACACCACCACGACAACAATCATCAACACAGAAGGAGAATTCTGGGACCAGATGTGTGGGGGGTTGTCCCACTAAGCCGCGGACAGCAGCGGGGTGTCCTCCAGTTCAATTCCAACACTGTCTACCTGGAGATAGTCTTACAGCCCACAGGTTGAGGGCTCAGTCCCAAGACTATCCCTGACCCAGACACAAGTCTGGCCCTTCGGAACTTCTGACCGACCAACTTCAAGTTGGGGTTCCCACAACGCCCTCTTTGGGTTTGATCAATTTGCTGGAGTGACTCACAGAACTCAGGGAAACACATTAGCCCGTTGATTCTAAAGGATGTTACAAAGGACACTGATGAAGAGATGCACAGGGCAAGGTATAGGGGAAGGGGCATGGAGCTTCCAGGAACCTCCGTGTGCTCAGCTCTCCGGAAGCTCTCTGAACCCTGTCCTCTTGGGGTTTTTATGGAAGCTTCATGATGTCAGCGTTCCTTCTCTCAGGGCATAGGACAGAACCCTCTCTGGGGAGAGTCTTAAGACCCACAATCAGAAAGGCGGGGGAAGATACGAGTCCTGCCTTGCGGCAGGTGAAAGGAGAGCTGGAGAAGGCCAGAGAGATTCTGTTTCCTGAGGCCTAACACAGCCACTGTCATAACACGAGACTGTAACAGGGACTATGGGGGTTCCGAGCCAGAAACTGTGGACAAAAGCCAACACGTGTGTACTTATCATAACACCACACATGTCACTTCTTGTGAATGATATTAGTAATAATGAAAAACCTATTTCCAGTGTCGCGAATCTCTATTTAGATGTGAGAAAAAATGTTTGACTTATGTGAAGCAGAGAAGGTTTCCTTATCTGTGCAGCTCTCGTTATGAGGTCTGAGGCTGGAGTGCGGGAAAGAAGAGCAAAACGAGAAAAACAAAAAAGAGGGGAAAGAGAAGATGAGAAGAAAATAAAAGTGGCAAGAAGAGATAAAAAGACAAAAAAGCCAATTGCTCTAATTGCTCTGCGTCTTGTCCTGGGTGCCATGCCTGGGAGACAGGCAGGTAGGCGATGGGCTGAACAAGGTCTGTCCAGCACACTCTGCATTCTGCCACATCATGTGCAGGCCAGTGGTTCCCAGACAATGTGGCTTCAGGACCCCTTTACACTCTTAAAAAGTGTTAAGGATCTCAAAAAGCTCTTATCTATGTAGATATCTATCAGTGTTTCCTGTGTTAGAAATTAAAACAAAGAAACTGGCTGGGCGTGATGGCTCACGCCTGTAATCCCAGCACTTGGGGAGGCCGAGAGGGTGGATCACGATGTCAGGCGTTCAGCCTGGCCAGCATGGTGAAACCCCGTCTCTACTAAAAATACAGAAAAATTAGCCAGGCGTGGTGGTGGTTGCCTGTAATCCCAGCTATTTGGGAGGCTGAGGCAGAGAATTGCTTGAACCCGGGAGGCGGAGGTTGTAGTGAGCCGAGATTGTGCCACTGTACTCCAGCCTGGGTGACAGAGCGAGACTCTTGTCTCAAAAAAAAAAAATAAATTTAGTGAGAAGAGAAGCATTATTTTTACATTTCCACAGATCTCTGTGATGCTGGGCTTTATGAAAGATGGTTGGCCTCTCCTATCTCTATTCAGTCTATTGTGGTATCACACAGCATACAGCCTCCAGAAAACTCCACTGTACACTCACTAAAGGAAGACAGTGGAAAAGGAAATACTAACAACATTTCAGTATTATTATGAAAATAGTTTTGACCTTGTGGATCCCCAGAAAGTGTCCCAAGACCACCCTTCCCCACAGAGTGCCTGAGCCACACTTTGAGAAGTGCTGATCTAGGCCGGGGAATTGATGGAATCCACCCCATTCTTCCCAGGAAGGCAATCTTACAATAGCTATCAAGAACTTTAAAAGCAGGATGGGCGCGGTGGCTCACGCCTGTGATCTCAGCACATTGGGAGGCCAACGCGGGCAGATCGCAAGTTCAGGAGTTCGAAACCAGCCTGGTCAACATGGTGAAACCCCGTCTCTACTAAAAATACAAAAATTATCTGGGTGTGGTGGCAGGTGCCTGTAATCCCAGCTACTCGAGAGGCTGAGGCAGGAGAATCGCTTTAACCCGGGAGACAGACGTTGCAGTGAGCTGAGATTGCGCCATTGCACTCCAGCCTGGGTGGAAGAGTGAAACTCCGTCTCAAAGAAAACAAACAAACAAACAAACAAAAAAAGAGCCATAAAAGCATTAGGGCCTGTTGATGTAGTGATTCCTCTTTGGGGACTATATTTTATATTTATTAATTTTATTTTTTGAGACAGGGTCTCAGTCTGTTGCCAAGGCTGGAGTGCGGTGGCACCATCCCAGCTCACTGCAGCCTTGACCCCCCTGGCTCAGATTATCCTCCCACCTCAGCCTCCCGAGGAGTTGGGATTACAGGCGCACGCCACCAAACCGGACTATTTTTTGTAAAGATAGGGTCTCCCAATGTTTCCCAGGCTAGTCTCAAACTCCTGAGCTCAAGCAATCCTCCTGCCCCTGCCTCCCAAAGTGCTGGGATTACAGGCGTGAGCCACCTCGCCCAACCCTCAGGGAATATATTTTAAAACAATAATTCCCAAAGGAAGGAAAAACTTCCTAAATGACCTATAATTGGGGAATGGTTAAATAAATGCTGGCATATACATTTAATAGAATATTATGTGGTTTAAAAGGATAATGATGAAGACTCTGCACTGGCATGGAAGGAATATCTACAGCTCTAAGTGAAAAAATCCGAATTATATAACTGACTCTTCACCATGCCTGCCAATGTCATGCTGGCTCTGCCTGGAAACAAAGCCTCAAAGGCAACGAGAGAAAGTAGGTTCTATTCCATATATAGGGTAGGGACTATGGGAGAATTTTTCCTTCTCTTTTTGGTTTATTTTGATTTATTTATTACTATTATTATTATTTTGCAATTAGTGAAAACAAAAATCAGGACTGTTGAATCTGTCTTGCTTCCCCAGGTCAGTGCGGTTGGGAGGTGTGTGGAGAGCAGCCACCCAGACCCAGAGGTCAGGAGATGGGGAGGGAGGAAGGAGTGGGGGAGGCTCTGAGTGGGGAAGTCAGGCCTGGAGGGGCTGATAGCTCAGCTGGTTCTAAGTTCCCTTTCAGTGCTGACTGAGAAAGCTCTCCTAAGCAGCTGTTGTCAGAGGCCTGCGGGAGACACAGACCAAGCATAGGGGCTGTGCTTTGCCTCACCAAGGGAGGAAGCTGTGGGGGCGGCCAGGGGGTGGGCGGCGGTGGCAACTGCAGCACCCAAGACCTCTTGGAGAGAACTGAAGTCAGTGGCCACACCCATGTCACAAAGGAGCCGGGCGGGCACTGCAGGCTTCATCCACTGATGGGGAGCTTGACAGACACCAAAGCCACCGTGGCCTGGTGAGGCGGGATGCCGAGTTTCTGCTTAGGTAGGACAGGGCCAGATTTGTATTTTAGGAAGCCTCGCTGTAGCTGGGTGCAGGCTATGTTAGGAGTTGGAGGGGGGGCACCAGCTGAAGTTGAACACAATGGTACTTTAAAAAATAGCACTAAAAGGCTGGATGTGGTGGTCGACACTTGTAATCCCAGCACTCTGGGAGGCTGAGGTGAGAAGATTGCTTGAGCCCAGGAGTTCGAGACCATCCTGGGCAATATAGTAAGACCTAGTCTCTACAAAAGTTAAAAATTAGCCTGGCATGGTGGTGTGCCCCTGTGGTCCCAGCTACGTGGGAGGCTGAGGCACGAGGATTGCTTGAGCCTGGGATGTCGAGGCTGCAGTAAGCTATGATTGGGCTACTGCACTCTAGCCTGAGAGACAGAGTGAGACCCTGTCTCAAAAAAAAAAAAAAAAAAGGTCATAAAGTTGACCAACAGACACTCCCTACTGGAGTGGAGAGTATGGGATGGGCTTTATTCCCCTGAGCTAAAAATGTAACCAGGGTCCCAATTATACCTTGCAACTTAGATGCAATCTTCTAGGATTGCAAATGTGCTCTTTCATCGTGCTCTTGCCCTTTGCATTGGAGCCCAGTTGGCTGGTGCACGTCCAAGGTGCAGCTGGCAGGCTCCAGCTTTGCTGCTGCAGCACACCTAACCAACTTCAGTAAGATCGCCCCATAACCAACAAAACTCTGGTGGTGCTGACCAAGGGGAGACTGATACACAAACTGGGTTGTTGGCAGCCAGGCAGGTTCCCACACCCATAGTGGAAAGGAGCGATTTGTCAGCTAATGGCTCTTTCTGGCTTGGGCATGATGAAGGAATGGAAGGCGTGGGTCTGTGGTGTGGCCAATGTGACAGGGCCGTCAGAAAGTTGAATACACTGAAGTCAAACATAGGAAATGAGCAATAGGGTTAGTTCAGCATGAACCTATGCCAATTCTTATTTACTTTTTGGGGTTCACTAAAATATGATGTGATTAAGATGTTCTGCTCTCTAGTTTGGTGTGTGTCTCAAAGAACCTCAGTGGAGTCCTAAAGAACCACATGAGCACCCCCAGCCACAGCTGCCTTGCCCTGGCCCCTGCCCCAGTTAGGCCCTGGAGGTCCCTAAAAGGTCTGATGGGCTGGGCCTGCTTTCTTCCAGCTCTGCCAGAGTGGAAACTTGGCCCCAGCTATGGCCTGGTCCAGGTGTGGGCTGCAGTGGGAACTTGTCCCATGCTACTGGGACACCCTGCTTCCACAACCATCAGCTTCTGCCAGCGTCATTTCACTGATCTCTAGTTCATTGATCTCTACCCTCCACCACTTACACTGACCTCGTGGCATCTTGGCCTAATACTACAGGGTGCATCTCTTCTGATGAGGACACTTTTTTCTCCACACTCTCCGGTCCTCAGCTTTGTTAAGGTACACGTGACAAAAATTGGATATGTGAATGATGAACAGTGTGAAATTTTGATATATGTATACACTGGGAAATGATTAAATCAAGCTAATGAACACATCCATCGATCACACAGTTATCTTTTTTGTGTGTGTGTGGTGAGAACATTTCAAATTTACTCTTGTAGCAATTTCCAAGTTTACAATACAGAACTATTAACTACAGTCACCATGCTATTATATACAATAGATCTCCAGAACGTATTCCTCTTAACTGAAACACCTTTGACCAACATCTCCCCCTTCCACACCCTCCCTAGCCCTCCAGCCCCTGGCAACTCCCATCCTATTTCCTGCTTCTGTGAGTTTTGACTTCTTTAAATTCCACATATAAGTGAGGTCATGCAGTATGTGTCTTTCTGAGTCTGGCTTATTTCACTGAGCATGATGCCCTCTGGGTTCATTTATGTTGTCACAAATGACAAGATTCCCTTTTTTAATGGCTAAATAATATTTCATTGTGTATATGTTTTTAATCCATTCATCCACTGATGGACACTTAGGCTGTTTCCCTATCTTGGTTATTGTGAATAAAAAGGACACTTTTTAATGCAACTACCATGCCATTATCTTAGCTAACACAATTAAAAGTCAATCTGTAGACCGGGCGTGGTGGCTCAGCCCTGTAATCCCAGCACTTTGGGAGGCGAGGCGGACGGATCACGAGGTCAGTAGATCGAGACCATCCTGGCTAACACGGTGAAACCCCGTCTCTACAAAAAATACAAAAAGTGAACCAGGTGTGGTGGTACCTGCCTGTAGTCCCAGCTACTTGGGAGGCTGAGGAAGGAGAATGGCGTGAACCCGGGAGGTGGAGCTTGCAGTGAGCCGAGATAGTGCCACTGCACTCCAGCCTGGGCGACAGAGCGAGACTCCGTCTCAAAAACAACAACAACAACAAAAAGTGAATCTGTAATATCGTCCACCACGAAATCCATATTCAGATTCCTCCATTGTGTCAAAACTGTCTTTTTATGGCTGGTTTGTTCAAATCAGGGCTCAAATAAGGGCGCGGGTTGCATTCTTTCCAAGTCACCCCTTTTTTTTTCCCCTTTCCTTTTCATGTCATTGATTTGTTGGAAAAACTGGGTCATTGGGAGTGCATTCTCAATGCACAGCAAATAATTGGAATCCTCTATCCAGCGCTTGCCCTTGGAAAGGCCTCCATGCAGGAGGCAGCTGCCTCCCGGAACTCAGTCCTCTCTCAGCCTCTTTCCACCTCAAATCCCAACCACACACTCGCCACCCACGTCCCCGCTTCATTCTGGGAATTGCCTTTCCTCTCCCCCGCCGCCATCTTTTTGCGCAGATCACCTTAGCCTGTCTGTCTTCTGTAGTCTTCTATCTGCTTTGTCCACCACCAGAATTTGTTACTACCGAGGAGGGCCAGCAGACACAAATCCTTCCCCTAGAGGCTGGTGGGAGGAAGGAAGGCAGCTCCCAGCCCCGCAGTGAGGCTCCTGCTCCTGCTTCATGGAGGGCGATGTGCGGGAACCTTACCTGGTTCTTCCCCCGGCAGCGAGTGTGGGTGGCTGGGACAGCATCTACGTTCGTTGTCGCATCTGCAGGGCCTAGCGCAGCGCCTGGTATTTGCAGGGCATCAAGAATGATTCTTGGAGGGCTGAACAACCAGCATGAGGGCAGGCAATGGGCCTTCCTTGTCTTTGATACCGTGGCCAGGCCTGAAGAATCAGGATGAACAAGCGGAATGTGAATTTGTTATTTTTATTTTTAATTTTTCTGGTACATAGTAGGTGTCTGTATTTACGGGGTACATGAGATCAAAGTAAATTTGTGACAAAGCATTCAGTTATATTCTCTCCACTCCTGAAAGATTCTCTTCACCTTCAGTTAAAGCAAATCATGCTGTAGGACGTCACTGTTGAGTCATTCTCCGGGGGCTCCCAGAGACACGGCATTCTCGTTTTCACTCTGAGAATTAAATCTTGTGCCGGGTGTCACAGTCATCTCTGTTGTGGACATTTCCCTCTGAACTAACCAGCGATGGTTACTGGAAACCACGGCTCCTCCACCTCCCTCCACAGGCTTTCTCCCCTTCCCTTCCACACTTCTGGGGTTTGCCTGGGGATCCAAGTCTCTACACTGGTGAAGCAGGCACAGCTGTCAGGTCACAGACTCACGTGTGCAGGACCATAGCTTCTGGGTCATCAAGCTCATGGAAGCCCCCGGGACAGTCATGTGGGCACACGTTGGAGGGATGTGGATTTGCCCCTTTCCACACCACAGCTTTGCCCTGTCCAATGTCCAGTGGTGGGTAATTTCCTGGGAAGTCTCCTTGAGGTCCTCTCTGGGACCCGGCATCTGGGACCAAGATGCTGTTGTGTGTGTAATGAATGGCAGAAGGCATCTTCATGGAGAGGCTTCTCACTTCACTACTCTTGCTGGTCCTCCTCCTGGGCTAGGGCCAGGGAGAAGAGGGACAGCCCGAGGGCCCCTTCCTAAGACAGACCCTGTGTTAGGCCATTCTTATGTTGCTATAAAGAAATACCTGAGGCTGGATAATTTATAAAGAAAAGAGGTTTAATTGGCTCACTGTTCTGTAGACTTTATATGAAGTGTGGTGCCGGCATCTGCCCTGCTTCTGATGAGACCTTGCTTGCAATTTTGGCAGAAGGCGAAGAGGAAGCGGCATCTCACATGGCCAGAGTGGGAGCAGAGGAGGGGTGGGGAGGTGCCGCACACTTTCAAACAGCCAGATCTCGCAAGAAGGAACTCGCTGCTGAGAGGACAGCACCAAGGGGAGGGCGCAAGATCATTCATGGGAAATCCACCCCCATGATCCAACCCCCTCCACCAGGCCCCGCCTCCAGCACTGGGGATGACAGTTCAACATGAGATTTAGAGGGGACAACACCCAAACTCCATCAGACCCTGGACGGGGATAGCTCTTAGCTCTCCAGGCTCTTGCTCCGTGACCTACTCTGGCATTGTTGCCTCTCTTGCTTGGCCCCCCAGCTGGGGATGCCCGGAGACAAACATGGGCACTGCTGCTCCTGCCAGGAAATTCCTGAGCCCAGACATCTCTTAGCACCCATGCCCAGGGCTGGCTGGGCTTCTTGGCCCTCCACGGAGGGGCTGGCTAGTGGGAGAGGAGAGGAGGTGCACAGGAAGGAGGGGCTGCTCTGGAAGGCAATAGCCAGCCAAGCTCTCGGGCAGTCTGGGGGCGGGGAGCCAGCCAGGATGCTGTCCTGCTAACAGGGGATGGCTCCGGATGTAGATGGGCCTTGACCTGGCTCTAGTCCAAGCACTGCCCGGGATGGCCTCTGCTGGGGCCTCAGTTTCCACCTCTCTACAATGGGCACAGTTGTGCTACAGAGAGCGCTCTCTCTCTCCTCTCTCTCTCTTTCTCTCCTCTCTCTCTCTTTCTCTCCTCTCTCTCTCTTTTCTCTCTCCCTCCTCTCTCCTCTTCTCGTCTCTTCTCTCCTCTTCTCTTCTCTTCTCTTCTCTTCAGGTCACAAGGACAAATCCTAGGGGAACAGAAGCAGGATGGAACTCTGACTTCAGAGCCCCAGGGTCGTGCTCTCACTCTGTTCATTGGCAATGATGAAGGAAAAATTGGTCTGCTTTCACCCAGCTCTCCCTAGCCTGCCCCTTCTCCTGCCCCTTCCGTGTCTCTTCCCCCTTACCCCATTCTTGTGGATGGGGGTGGGGGTGGAGAGTGGGGGGTTCCTTCTTCTGGGTCTGGTGCCCACCCTCCCCATCGGGCCCTTCTCAAACAGCCAAGCTCCCATCTCCCACTGGCTGCCCCTGGCCTTTGGACCCTGCCACCCTGCAGCCCCCTGAAGTCCCTTCCCCCATGGCCCACCCTCCCTCTGCTCTTTTGGCTTGGCCTCCCTCTCTGCTCTTCACTCCTCCTGTGCCATTGACCTCCCTTTTGGCCTTTCTCTGGCCTCCAGCCACCAGGGCAGATGCTCTACTGCCCCCTGCCGCTCTCCCCCCACACCTGCCTCTTCCACCTGCCCTCCATTGGCCCTTCCTGCAAAACGTCCTGGGGGCCTGAGTGGGGAATGGAGGCTGGAGGGCAGTGGCTGGGTCCCTTGTGGGGTTGGTCTGGGACTCCTGCCCCTGAGGACTAAGTAATTCTCTCTCTCAGCTGCTCTGCTGGGGACACTCCCTGAGGGAGGCAGGGCCAGGAGGCCCGGCTGAGGCAGGAGAAGGAGGCAGAAGAAGGAGGCAGGCCCTTGCCTCTGTCCTGGGCCCCCTTTCTGTGATCTTCTGGCATTCTCAGGGGTCTGCCCAGCCCTGGAGTGTGAGTGTGGGGGTGGCCCCTCTGAACGTATTCTTGCTGTTCTGTTGGTTCTGACAGTGTCCTTCCTGCCCCTTCTGGTCTGTGTCACATTCACTTTAATCTCAAAATGTTTTCTGAAATTGCTCAGAAAAGAAAAGGCCCAGTATAGCCCCCATCACAGGGAGGGTAGCTCAGAGGGGGCCACTACCCCGGGCATCAGGCTCCCCTGCACTCTGGATCCCAGAATGTCCAGGACCCCTGGGCTGGAGAACAAAGGGCCATCTCTCAATGATCAGTCAATAACTCATCAAATATTTCTTAAAGAGAGCAGACAGGATCCCTTAGATCTTACAATGTAAGATGCAAATAGATATCAAACAAATACTTGAAATATTTTAATGTTTAAGATATTTAAAAAGCACAACTTTTGGAGGAAGATGAAGGCATGACATGAGCTGATAAAGGGGACCCCGAGTTGAGCTGGAGATCAGGGAAGGCCTCCCTGGGGGAGTGACGTTCAACCTGAGACCTGAAGGACAGGGAGTCACTGCGGATGTGACCCAGAGCCAGAGATGAGACTGGGACCTCATTTGTCCCTGAGCTTCCTCCAGCCACAGTCCAGCTCTGCTTGGTGACGGCATCGCAAATAGGAAAGTCACGAGGTGGTAGGTGGTGGTCCCAGGGAGGGAAGGCCAGGAGACCGAGTGTGGGAAGTGGTGGGCACACAGCTCACCATGGCAGAGGAGGCAGAAACACATGTGGCCATGGGAGAGCCCAGGTTGAGCGTCCTGGGTCTGGGAGCGGGGGCAGGCCCCCCAGGATACCACCCTGGGTTCAGGTTCAAATGCTATGCTCAGTCTGGGGGACTTCTGGTGCTTGTCTTTCTTCCAGCAAAGGGCCCTGCTCACTGTGGACTCTGGGCACTCAGAGGGCAGCTGCGCTGGCCACCAGCAGCCAGCCAGGTCAGGACCGCACTCCTGCAGCCTCCCTGGGAGTGGCCGTGGGCTCCTGTGGGGTGCTGGACAGAGCATCTAGAGGGTTCTCTCTGAGCCTGGAGGCACCCAGGCATCAGGCCCTCCAACCCCTTCTTTTCTTTTTTTTTTCTGGAGATGGAGTCTTGCTCTGTCGCCCGGGCTGGAGTGCAGTGGTGCCATCTTGGCTCACTGCAACCTCCGCCTCCTGGGTTCAAGCAATTCTCCTGCCTCAGACTCCTGAGTAGCTGGGACTACAAGTGCACACCGCCACGTCCGGCTAATTTTTTGTATTTTAATAGAGATGGGGTTTCACCGTATTGCCCAGGCTGGTCTAGAACTCCTGAGCTCAGGCAATCCACCCGCCTTGGCCTCCCAAATTGTTGGGATTACAGGCATGAGCCACCATGCCTGGTCTCCAACCCCTTCTTAATTCCTCCCTGCAGGCCCCGGTGCAGCCAGGGATACTCCCGTTTCCCACCCAGGGCAGGCAAGGAAAGCCTGGACTGGCCAGAAACGCAGGCAGCACTTTCATACTCTTCGACCTGCCCAGCTGGGGCGAGGCGGCCACCCAGCAGCAGCATGGGCCCCCAGGGAGGCAGGTGCTGTGAATCCTGGCCCAGTGACCCCTGAGAGCTCACAAACAGGGCACAGGGTGCTGCCCACTCTAAGGAGGCACAGTGTGGACTGGCTCCTCCCTAAGCACAGCCTGGTGTGTGTCAGGGTCCAGAATGACGCTGTCTTCGGCCCCTGCAGACTTCTCAGTCTTGATAAGCGCCTTCCTGCAGGACGAGTTCATGCTCTGGAGACACCTTCCACTATCTTCAGGGGGCTGCTTCAGAATTCACAGCAGTTTTGGGCCTGGGGAGCCTGGACCCCTCCCACTGATGGCCTTGAATCTGCAGATGATTATGAAGAGAACGCAGCCTGTCAGGAAACCCCAGCCTTGAGCTCTGAATTTTAATGCCAAGGGTGGGTGCCAGGAGGGAGGTGGCTGTGTAAGCGCCGCCCCCACTGAGACCCCATGAGCGGTTAGCCCCCTTCCTCGCTTTCTCCATCTGGCTGCTGGGCTCTGGTCCAGGTGCAGGCTGAAGGGCCTCCCGCCTGCCCCTGGGAGGCTGTAGCTGCCCCAAGCCATTTGCATCCACCCTTCAGGTCCCAGCATCGCAGGACTCCAGGGGGGCCACGTAGCTCAGGGATGGGAGGACTGGCTCTTTCTGGTGCCTGGCAGGACACTTTGGGCCTACTGGGGGTGGCAGTGGCAGGCCAAGGAGATGCCTGGGGTGGGAGGATTAGCTGTCCCCGCCCCCGCCAACACACCCCTGTCTCCCAGGGGTATGATGTCTCTTCAGCCTGTGACTGTCTCTCCCCGCTGCAGCCTGCTTGCCCCTGGGTGGGGAGGGATGGTGGCACTGGCTTCCTCCCGAAACAAGGACTTCCTCCACCCATCGTGCCTGGGGATGCCGGCTGGCCGTTCAACTTCCACACTATCTCCTCACCTGGTTCTACCCGGGCTCCTTGTTCCCTTTAGAGCAAGCACTGGCCTGCACGCCAGGCTCTCCCCCTTCTCCAGTGTTACATGGACACGGCCCTGTTATTGCCAGAGACCCACAGACACCTTTCCTTAGGGGTTGTGAATCCTCTGGCCTCCTGCTCAGGTGCTCTAGAAGACTCCCCCATGCATGTCTAGGGAGCCAGTGGTATGAGATTCCAGCTCTTGCAGCCCAGGGAGCTGGGCAGCCCAGGAGATGCCAACTTCTCAGGGCAACAAAATGGGCCACTTCCGAGAAGAACACCCCCAGACCACTGTCACCCCTTCTGGTTTGGAAACTTCCCTGGGAAGCATCTAAGGCTTGTCATTGCCTGGCTCCAAACTGCCCCACCCTTGAAGACCCTCCCTTCTTTCTATGGCCTGTGACATCTCCCAGCTCCCCCAGGCACCAGCATCTCAGACAGGGTTGACTGCGGGCAGAGCTGTGCCATGCCCACCCCAGTAAGGAGATCAATGGCACAGCTCCTCGGAGCCACCGGAAAGAGCCCTGCCCCCCCAGAACTCCACAGCCCTTCTGCCTGCTGGGGGCAAAGCTGAGCTCTTGGTTCTCTGTGCTCAGCCTAGGCCCCAGGGCTGCAGGGACAAAGGAGAAGTCTAGGGTAGGTTGCGGCGAGTGCTCATTGTTGGCTAGTCGGCCTCTTCAGTCTCCATCTCGAGAACTGGCCACACGGCAGGAGCCCTCTGTGCTAGATGCTTCCATGCCCCAGGCGGCGAGGTGGGAGCCATGCTGCAGCTGACTTTCTTCTTGAAGTGCTACTTGGGGGCGATATTTAATGAGCTCTTTAAAAGGCCAGGCCCTCCTGGAGTTGTTTACCGAGACCCAGAAGAGATGCAGCTAGACTCGAGGCTCTCATGAACAAATAATGAGGTTTAGAGGCTTTTTGTCTCCTGCCCTAAATGACATCCTTCATATCAGGCAAGGTCCCGAGATGCCACGGAGCCCACATGGCTGCCCCAGTGCCTCTGCCAGTGGCTGGACAAGAGGCCCTGGCTCCTTGAGCCTCCTCCAGCCTTGCCCTGCCCGCTGCTCCAGCCTCCAGGACAGCCTCGGATTTTCCGGAGCTGGTGAAGTTAAGCCAAATGAGCACCTGGGATCTTCATTTATTCTCTGATCCCAGCATCCTCAGCCCCAGTCAAACTGCCCCAGTCTTTCCTTCAAGTGAAGAGACATCAGGAAATACCAATATTTTTCTAAGCAATATAAAATATTTGTTAAAACCATCTCACAGAAAAACACGGTAAAAGACCAGGTTCTGTAGGAATGGCTCAATGATTTTCTTTCTTTGTTTTTTTTTTTTTTTTGGTCATCTGGTTACAGAAAGAGAACTTTGATTGTATTTCTTACATAGTTTAGAAGGAGTGAAAGGTATTACATCATCTTTTAAAGGAAATTGATTCCATATAAAGCCCACTCTGATGGCCTCACTTCCTCAAATGGCAGTTAAGGGGGCCCTTGCCTGGCCGGCTTCTTTTTATGTGATGTTTTACACAAACCCCCAATTATTAGTATGAGAATGAGTCTAAGCTTTTTTTTTTTTTTTTTTTTTTTTTTTGAGACAGGGTCTTGTTCTGTCTCCCAGGCTGGAGTACAGTGGTGCGATCACGGCTCACTGCAGCCTCAATCTCCTGTACTTAAGTGATCCGCCCAAGTAGCTGGGACCACAGGTGCACACCACCATGCCCAGCTAATTTTATTTATTTTTTTTGGTAGAGATGAGGATCTCAATATATTACCTAGGCTGGTCTCAAACTCCTGAGCTCAAGTAATCCTCCTGCCTCCGCCTCCCAAAATGTGAGGATTACAAGCATGAGCCACTGTGCCCCAAATTTTAGATTTAAATATCTTGTTCTACTGAGTAAATTTTCTCTATTCTGTTTGGTGGTTGTGGCAGCATCTGTGTTTTGTAGTTTGCAGAAATTAGCATAAACATTCTTCTAGATGAGGTCTCTACTACTTGTCTTTTTGAATGAGCCAGGGCAAGACTTTTTTCTATGGTTTACATTTTTACCCCAAATCTACAAAACAAATAATCACAATTTATCATCTAATAACTTTTTTTGGTGACTGTTGGAAATAAATGCTCCGTGCCACAAAGAAGAATCAGCACTCCAGCAAAAAGCTCTCTCGGCAAGGCAATTTACTTCTGCAGAAGGGTGCAACTTGCACCAGTCACGATCACAAGAGCACACCAAGTGGGGTAGGGCAGGGTTTTTATCCCTAACGCAATTAGTTCTTATTGCTGTGTTTTTTCCCCAGGGACCTAAAGCTTTTTGAAAAAGAATTTATCTCTGAGAGTGACAATGCCTCACTCTCTTGCCCAGACTGGAGCACACTGGCACAATCACGACTCACGGGAGCCTCTAACTCCTGGACTCAAGTGATCCTTCCATCTCAGCCTCCCAAGTAGCTAGGACCACAAGTGTGCACCACCACACCTGGCTAATTAAAAAAAATTTTGTAGAGACGGGGTCTTACTATGTTGTTGACCAGGTAGGTCTCAAACTCCTGGCCTCAAGCAATCCTCCCACCTCAGCCTCCCAAAACGTTGGGATTACAGGTGTGAGCCACTGTGCCTGGCCTAGAATACATTTTTACTTAATGTTTCCAGTCGTACAGCCCAACTGAAAATCAGAATCATTTTATTCAAGGAAGCCTATTGTGTTTTAAAGTTTATTAATAAACTTAGGAGACTAGGGAGGTAAGAGGAAAACTAGGGAAACAGGATTTGACATAGGAAATCTGGCTCAGGTTAGATCAAGAGTCCTGACTTCTATTCCTTTGTATACAAGCATAAAAAGAAGAATCATAAATATAAATTACTTTCCCCTTAGCCTCCAGCCAAACAACTTAGTCAGCTTTTGACAACTTGAGTAATACCTCAAGGGAAATTCTAATAATTCATTTTTGTGTTAAGACAACTGTCATCAGACTTATCTCTGGGGATAATCCTGGCCTCAAGGGTTTTATAGACAACTACCTTTCATGAGCCTAAATCCACATATTGGATGCTCTCCTTGGTCCCCTTTGAGCCACTCCTGCAGGCAGAACCTCTATGGACATTGCTGCTGTCCAACAGGATGTTCGTATCAGTCCATTCTCATGCTGCTAATAAACACATACCCAAGACTGGGTAATTTATAAAGAAAACAGGTTTAATTGACTCACAGTTCAGCATGGCTGGGGAGACCTCAGGAAACTTATAGTCAGGTGGAAGGGGAAGCAAACATGTCCTTCTTCACATGGCGTCATAAGAGAAGTGCCAAGCAAAGCGAGGAAAGCCCCTTATAAAACCATCAGATCTCATGAGAACTCACTCACTATCATGAGAACAGGATGAGGGTAACCGCCCCCATGATTCAATTACCTCCTACCAGGTTCCTCCTACGATCCTACGACATGTGAGGATTATGAGAACTACAATTCAAGATGAGATTTGGGTGGGGACACAGCCAAACCATACCAGTGTTCTTGGTTTCCTCTGCCAAAATTCAGTACTGGCCACTGGCTTACCTTCAAGGCTCCTTCACATACTGGCCAGCCTTTGTCTGGAATCTCCCTTTGGCTTTTGCAATTCTCCTACCCCTGACTAACTCCTTTCCACCTTTGTGCATTCCAGTCTCTCTGCCAACCTCTTTAATATTCTCTTCCCCACAGTTCACTCTTTATTTTCTCACACTGCATGTTATTTCCTACAAACTCACAAGCTTCCTCCCTCATGCTGATACTGATGACTCCTCAGTATATACAAGCTGGGCATCCAAAGTCCAAAAGTCCAAAATCTAAAATACTCCAGATCTAAAACTTTTTGTGCGCCAACATGCACTCAAGGAAAATGCTCATTGGAGCACTTCAGATTTTGGTTTTAGGATGCTCAGCCAGTATAATGCAAATATTCCCAACTCTAAAAAAATCCAAAATCCAAAACACTTCTTTTTCCAAGCGTTTCTGACAAAGGATACTGAACCTGTATCTCCATTCCCCTGTGTCGGTATTCCGTACCCTCCGGTCCAAAATGGAACCCCTCTCCTCCCAGCCCAGTCCCAGAGCCCAGGGCTGCATTTCCTTTAGAATTGCCCCATGATCCATCTAGGGCATGCACATGTGAATCTCTGGGTGTGTTGTGTGTGTGTGTTGACATCTGGATGGGTGCGCACAGTTCTGGCTGTGAGCCTGTGAAAGCCTGAGGGAAGACCACAACACACAGCACAATTGTGTGAGACCCTAGGACTCAATCAACTGGGCAAAACCCCTTTTACAGCCAAAGCAAGTCACTCACTCAAGGCCCCCTAGGAGCTTCAGAAGGAAAGACTTCCTGGTAATAAACAGGTCCATGGAGCCCGTCAGCCTTCGCTTCCTGGGCCCCTCATCCAGACAGGAGGCTGCGCTGGGGCTGGGAGTGGCTGCCGGGCTGGGACCACACACTCTAGTTCCTAAGACGTGCCTGCCTCTGTGTAACCTGAGGCCCCTTTTCTGATGTGTTCCAGGCAGCCTGAACTAAAACACCGCCGCTTTGTCTGACCACAGCGCCAGGAGCCTTCTCTTGGAAATGTGGTCACGATGGTGCTGAGGCTGCGGGTCCTGCCACCATCTCTGAGGGAGAGGAAAAGTGCCCCCCACCCCAGGCGTTTCCTCTGAGACCCGTGTGTCTCTGGCATGAAGGGGCCTGTGTGTCACTTGTCCAGGTGGTAGGAAGGAGGTAACCCATGTGTGTCCTGGCAGCCAGAGAGGCTCTGGGCACCCTGGGCGCAGTCAGCAGAATGTAGGGGTCCTGGGTGGGGGTGGGGGAAGCCCAACCCAACAGGACAATGCCCTTCCTTGGTGGGTGGAGTCAGGGTGGGAAACCCCGACTGAAGAGAGGGCTTAATCCCCAAAGCTCCCTTGCCGACCTGCAGTGACGGCTCTTCACTCTTAGGGACTATCTGGGTTTAACACTGAAGGTCCAGAGTCCCCCCAGGAGTCCCATCCATTCTGGGCAAACCAGAACAGATGGTCATCCTCACCCCACCCCAGATAGCAAACAGGGCCACCCCGAGGCGTCCGGATGCTAATCTTCCCCAGGGGAGGCTGACTCCTGCCCAGAGGTTACCAGGAGTCAGCATGGAGTGGGCCCCGGGGAGGGAGGCGGCCGGGCTCTAAGCATTTTGCTAAGCACTTGGGCTGGGTCAGGCTGGCTGTCCCTGGTTCTTCTGACCTGTGTCCTCCTTCCCCTGGGACCAAGAGCTCAGGGTTGGGGCTTTCAGTGGATACTTGTGCTGTTCACAGAGGTGGTCATCTCACATTTGGTCCTGGGAACTAACCCCCATCCCTGAGGGGCAGAAAGAGCAGCTGTGCTGGGGTCGGAGAGAGGCCGGGGACCAGAAACCTGGAATCAGTACTCGGTGCTCGTTCCACAGCTTTTGGTGAGAGAGGTGCAGAGAGGTGCTGGCCCTGATGCAGACCTAGGTTTTGTGATTCCAGGGCCAGGGCTGGGTTAGAAATCACCATATTCTGTCAGCCTTTTGTGTTGTAGGGGCAGGTGGAGAAACAGCCAGTGCAGGGAGGGGTCTCTCCAAATAAGCGGCCCATATACCTAGGCCAGTGCCCCTGGGGGACAGTCCAGTCTATTAGCACTGGAAAGGAGGGTTGAAAAGGTGGGCAAGGAAAGCACCCTGAGCCCAGGTGACAATAGAGGCGAGGAGAGGGAGGCAGGAAGTGACCACAGCCTGACCCAGCACCTCTGGGGTGGTCACCGGAAGCTTTGGGGTGACTGCAGATGTGGCCTCAGAAACTGAAGTCAAGAACTTCAGAGGCTGAGCTCTTGGGGAAGACCTGGTAATGCCTCTCCTAGCGGACACATCCCCTGCATCCTGCATCTCCCACCCCCACAGCAGAGCTTCATCCCGCTGCTGTCACTGCCCCCACCCAGGCAGCCTTTGCCCTGCCAAGGGAGCCCCCGCCCTGCCTCCTGGAGACGCTGACTTCCAGGAGTGGGGAATGCTGCCGGCGCAGGGGCTGCTGCTCCTGGATAAGAGGCAAGCCCTGTAAGGAGAGAGGCCCTGAGTCCCCTGAGTCCAGCCACCACCTCTATGGCCGCTCTGAAAGCCTAAGGGGACTGAGGGTGGACATGAAAGGAGGTTGCTCTAGTTTCTTTGGCCTGTGGACCAACCTGAGGAGGGACAGCCACCCACTGCCACAGGCCAGTCCCCAGGTGGCTGAGAGCTCCCTTGGAGATGGGGGCTTCCTGGAGGGCCTGCCAGGCTGCCCAGCAGCTGCACACCATGGGCTGCCCCGTGTGTTCAGTAGGTTCCTGACTTCCCCTAGCAGGGACATCAGGGTCCCAGGAGACGGTTTGCAGGAAGGGCCAACGGAGGGCAGGTGGAGGATGCGGTGGACGGATGGGAGGGAGATGGGGCAGTGGAGCAGTCTGCCCAGGTGGCTGGAGGCCAGAGAAAGGCCAGAAGGGAAGTCAAGAGCACAGGAAGAGTGAAGAGCAGAGAGGCAGGCCAGGCAGAGAGGGCGGAGGGAAGGGGGGAGCTGGGCGGGGCAGGGGACTTCAGGGGCTTGGCTAGGCCCACAGGAGGCGACAGGGCACAGGACCAGAAGGCAGTGATGGAGGGTAGCAGGGAAGGGGGAAGAGGCAGGAAGGGGCAGGGAAAGGAGTGGGCTGGAAGCAGCCGGGTGAAAGCAGACCCATTTTCCCTTCATCGTTGCCAAAGATCAGCGTGAGAGCACGATCCTGGGGCTCTGAAGTCAGAGTTCAGTCCGGCTTCTGTTCCCTTAGGATTTGTCCTTGTGACCTCACATGTAGAGAATTAGAGAGAGCGAGCGCATGCAAGAGAGAGAGAGAGAGAGCAGCAGTCCTGCCTGTAGCACAGCTACAGGGATGTGCAGACTGAGGCCCTGATGGAGGCAGTCCCAGGCCGAGCCTGGGCTAGAACAGGGTGTGCCTTGTCACAGGAAGCGAGGAGGTGGTGCAAGAGTGGGAGAGAGGCCTGGTTTAGGATGACGGCCAGACACGAAGCAAGAGATTGGGGCTCATGCAGGCACAGCTGGGCAGCTGGAAGAGGCAGGACCTGGCCAGTTTCGAGCCCCACGTGGAGACTGTCCTTGTAATGAACATGTCCTTCTGTTCGGAGCTTTATGTACCTTTATCATATAAACATTCACAGCCATGCTGTCTTCATTTAGAAGAGGTGTAGATCCAACTATTTTAATGAACACTGAAGACTTTCCTTCCATAGTAGCTTCCCCTTCATGTAACGTTATGTGCATTATGTAACAGAATGCAATGTACCTTTACAGAAATCTCTGTAATTTCAAAATGATATAATGCACAAATTAAGACTTCTAGTCACCTTAGATGATAGAAACAATATCCATCCAGCCGGTGGTAATTTTCTGCCTTCAGCACCAATTATGTAGGGAATGAGTTTTTAATCTTGTGAATTCCTCTAACATGTTTCCTGCCCTCTGGATGCCTCCCACAAACAGCTGCAACCACCTGACGGGCAGGCGCCCAGAGAAGGTCGGCGGGCTGGTGGCGTGGAGGTGTTTCTCTAAGCAGCAGAGTACCTTTGTCACTTGGTTGGGTGCAGACCGCGGCTGGTTTGTAGGACAAGGAGCTGGAGCTTCACGCCTCAGAACCGAGATTTTTTTCTGTGAAGTTGGAGGCCAGGCTGTCTGGGGATGGTGAGGAGCTGGAGGTGAGGCCTTGAGGTGTGGAGTGGCCTCGACGGGACCGGGCTGGGGTGGGGCTGCCCTACCACCAGGGAAGGGGTGAGGGGTGCTGGTGCCCTGAGACTGCCATTTGGATGGTTCCCTTTGGCTCCAGGAGCATTGTCCATGGGCTAAAGGGGCTGGGGTGGAGTGGGCAAGCAGGCGAATGGACTGGGCCAGGGGTGGCCCGGGCAGTGGAGTGGGGCACCACTCAGGGTGTGGAAGGAAGGGGAGCAGAGGGGCCCCGCATGCTCTCATGGGGATGGGGCTAATGGGCAGGGGTGAGAGCAGCAGGAGGTCGCACCGTGAGGCCAGACTGTGAAGTGGGGCCCTCGTGGGTGCAGCGGTCGGGGCCTGTGGCAGCAGCAGGTGCACTGTGTTCCTGCTCAGCGTCTTAACAAGTGGGCTTATCAGGCGAGTTGCCAAAACCTCTCAATGCCTCCATTTCCACCCTGTAAAGTGGGAGTGCCTGTGGGTCCTGCCTCATGGGGTTGGTGAGGGTTCAGCAAGGTGGGACAGGTAGAAATCGGCCTCTCTAGGTGCCATCTCCTAGGCCCAATCCCAGCTCTGCATCAAGCTCGTGGTGCACATTTGGGCACAGGGCTCCAGCCCTCTGTGCTTCAATTTCTTCCTCTGTCAACAAGGCTGTTGATCGTTTGCACCTCCCAGGGTGTTTGGAGAATGAACAGACTTAATTTGTAAAGTGTACTGCCCTCGGCGTGGTCCTCAGGACAGGCAGGGTCAGTGTTGGAGGGAGCTGTCACCATTGGCAATGACGTCTCCTTGAAGAGTCGGGAGGACTTGGGGTGGAGATGAAGACTGAGCCAGGTACTGGAGTGTGGTGTGCCCTGGAAGATATTTGATGGCATTAAAGAGCAGAGGTGGTAGCTCTGCATGTGGGGTAAGGCTCTCAGGACAAAGCGTTTTGCAGGAGAATAGGGTGTGAGTGCTGGCACAGTTCCCGGGGGAGTGGCGGGTAGGTAGGGCAGGTGGGGACCTCCCCATAGCCTTCACCTGTCAGCCCCTCAGTATTGGAGAAGATTTTTTTACCTTCCACCCCAATATATACTTTTTAAAAATCAGAATTAAATAAAAGACTTTCAGGAAGGAAATGAATGTCCTAGTTACTCAAACTACAGAAGGGTGAAGATAGGTTCATTATTAAAGTGCTACAGGATAATTCATGGAGACGAACGACACAATTAACAATTTCCATGCCGCAAAACAAAGATAAAACTGAGCCAGGCGCAGTGGCTTAAGCCTGTAATTCCAACATTTTGGGAGGCTGAGGTGGGTGGATTGCTTGAGCTCAGGACTTGGAGACCAGCCTGGGAAACATGGCAAAACCTCTCAATGCCTTTGTATTTTGTACCAAAAGTACAAAAATTAGCCAGGCGTGGTGGCACGTGTCTGCAGTCCTGGGAAGTTGAGAGGCTGAGGTGGGAGGATCGCTTTAGCCCAGGAAACGAAGGTTGCAGTGAGCTGAGATCATGCCACTGCACCCCAGCCTAAGTGAGACTCTGTCTAAAAAAAAAAAAAAGAAAGAAAGAAAAGAAAAACAAAACAAAAAACCCAAAGATAAAAATGTCTGTGTGTAGGGGAGGTGGGAAGGGGTGAAGTAGGGAGAAAAGACTCAACACGTAAGAAGAATAGGAATTCAATAGCTAAAGTGGAAAACAGAATATTAGGCTCCTGATGGGCATGTGGGCAAAGGAAATAGTACACTTTATGCAACAGGAAACATAAAAGAAAATAAGTATTTCAAAAGGGTCCACCATCTGCTCACACTCCTATCCCCGTGTCCCTGAGAAATAAACAAGTGTAGCTCAGTAGCTGTGACCTGGTGGCCTGGACAGGGAGCTGCTGGGAGGCCAGAGGGGGTACTCAGAGGTGAGCAGAATCCCCTCATTCCTTGACTCCTGGCCCCAAGGCCCAGGTGGGAGGCGGGGGGGTCCTGGCTGCCCGGCGGGAGTGGAGGGAATGCTGGGAAGCTGTTGCCAGGGTTTAGCCCAGGACTCTGCTCCCTTGAGCGCCAAACCTCAGGAGGGCCTCAGGAGGACCTGGATGAGACAGAGCCAGAGGTGTTCACTTGGAAGCATTTGTTTAATGTTCACAAGACATTCAGTGGCTCCATGTGCCAGGGGAGCCATGGGACAGGGTGGGCTTCCAGAATTCTCTCCTCCCCTGCATTTGGCAGCAGGGGAAACTTGGGACGTACAGAGACCTGTGCTCTCTGTAAACTTCGTAGTAAAGGGCCTCCTCTGGATGCCGTGGGCTTTCGGTGATAAGACAACCATTGCATTTGAAGACCACCTTTGTCCAACTTCTGCACATTCTGGGGGCTCCAAGCCCCATCAGGGCCATCAACAGCCATGGGCAGGATGACTGCAGGGAGAAGCTTGGTGGCTCTAAAAGAATTGGCTGGATCATGACAAGAACAGAAGGCACAGATATCTGAGCATCTGCAACCTTCTCCTGTAACCTTGATGTTACATTTCCAGTGAGTGACAGAGGGGCACGTGGGGTGACATGGGAGGGGAAGGCTGCATTCTGGACAGTTGCTGCCCCCTTGCGTGTTTTACTCCCTTCTGCCTTGACATTAAGCATCACTGACCTCAGCCACCATGGGCCCACTTTCAAGGAGACATCTTCAATTGCTAAGGGGGATTATCAGGGCCCCGAGTTGGGGGGCTTGGGGGCACGCACCTTCCTGTCTTTGTGAGCACCTAGGGGGCAGGGTGTCAGTCCTCAGGGACTTGGCAAAGGCTCCAGGAACGGGCTTCGTGTGGTATAGCACCCAGCTGACCGTGCAGGGGAGTCATCCGGGCTCAATGTTTAAGTGGGGCTTGGTGGCCGGATGCAGTGGTTCACACCAGTAATCCCAGCACTTTGGGAGGCCGAGGTGGGGGATCGCTTGAGTCCAGGAGTCCGAGACCAGCCTGGGCAACATGGCAAAACCCCATCTCTATTTTTACAAAAAATAAAATAAAATAAAGAAGTGGGGCTTGGGAACAGAAGTGTTCCCGGCAGAATGGGAGGGGAGAGGCCAGATGGGGAGCCATAGGATGGGGCCTGGGGCAAGTCCCTGCCTAGCCCAGCTCTTGGAGCTCAACCCTTTGAGTCTGTCTCCAGGCCGCACCTGGAGGGTTGGAGCAGAGGGTGGGGGCAGGTGCTGCTCATCTTCCTCTCTTTGCCTCTTCTTCCTGAGTTCCCCTGCCTTCCTCTCTCTGTTGGGGCTTCCTCTGATTTTTAGGACCCCTTTTCCTTGGATCATGAGGGTCTCATTATCAATGTTCCTCCTTTTTTTTTCTTTTCCTTCAAATAGACCCAGCAGGGGAGACAAAGGCAGGCATAAATCAACGAGGAATGGGGGCCTCAGTCACTGCTTGAGTACCAGGCACTTCCTGGGTACACTTACCCCTGTTACCATGCCGACTCCTAAAACAACGTTTTCTGAGACAGGTACTGTCATCTGTCTTCACCACCACTGCCTGGTCCCTAGGAGATGATCCACAAACATTTTTTGATTGAATGGATGTGTAACTCCAATTTGCGGCTGGGGAAATGGGCTCAGAGAGGTTAGGCAACCAGCCCAAGCTGACAGAGCTGCTTTGTGGGGAGTGGCGGCCAGAGACCTGCTGAGGCTATCTTCAGAGTCCGGCTGCCTCAGATGCCCTGGATCCTTCTTTCAGACACTCTGACGCCCCCACTCCTGCCCTCATTCCTTCTTGTTGCTGCTGGTGCCCTCATCCCAACCCAACCCCTGCTGCCCCAGTGGGTCTGTCACATGCTGCCCCTGTGCCAAGCGTGTGTTCCCTGGGACCCCGGGGCGGCCCGTGCCCCTGGTTCCTGCCTGGCCAGCTTCCAGCCTCGGCTCCTGCCATTCCCCCCTTACCCTGGTGCAGAGGGTGCCCGGGCCCTCACCAACCCCGTGCCCCTCCTGCCTGTGCCTGCACCTGGGCTGCCCTCCTCCAGCATCCTCCTCCCTCCCCGTGTCTCTTAGGGTTCAGCTCTTGCCCCTGCCCCTGTTCCCTGACCAGCTCTCTGGGGCAGGCTTGGGAGCACTTCTTGCACAGCTCTGGGCCAAGTGGTCACCCTGCAAACCCCCTGGTGGGCAGGTTTCCCCCCTTGGAGGGAAAGGATGCCCCACGAGGGCAGGGCCAGGCCTCTGGCTGCTGAAGGAGCGAATTTCACCAGCGTCAGGGGAGGATGTGGTGAGCGCCCAGCTATCCTGGACCCGCTCTTTGATAAACACAGTCAGATTCACTTGTTCCTTGCCCTAGAAGAAGCTGGTTCCTGAAGCTCCGAAGCTGCTCCACTGGTGAAGTCGAAGGTGTGTGCCCCCAAACCCCCCAACTCGGGGCTCCCAGCCTGGAAGACAGGCAGGGACCTGCCCAGGCTCCCAAAACCTCCAAGTGATTCTGGATGGTGAGAGGGTGGGCAGGACTAGGGGGAGAAGTTTCAGGAGGCTTAAGGGAAATTTTCTGAGAAAGGTCTTCCTATTTATGACTCCCCAGGCCTGTGGCAAGGGGAGGCGAAAAGCTCGAGGGACAGGCCTGAGCCTTAGGACGGGGCCTTGGGCGAGTCCCTGCCTAGCCTTGCTCTTAGGAGCTCAAACCTTTGAGTCTCTCTGGAGACGTATCTTGGCAAGGGATCCCCCATATACCTTGGATATCCCCCAAGGTATCCAAGGGATACCCACAGGAGAGGGAGGTGGACAATGCCTTCTACTGCAGAGCAGCTCGTGTGGTCTCTAGCTTCTGTGTCAAAAGAGGGAGAAAATAAGAGCTCAGGTGTACACGGGCGGGCACAGAAACTCTGGAAGAAACTTAACAGTGGTGCCCTGGGGGGTAGGTGAGAGCTGGATTTAGGAGTGGGACAGATATTTTCCTATATGTGTTTACATATGTATTTGAATCATGTGCATGTTTTCAAAAATTTAAAAATTTAAAAATTTTAATATTGCAACAGCAATAAAGTAGAAATATTCATTTCTTAAAAGAAGGTAGCCAGGGCCGGGAGCGGTGGCTCACATCTGTAATCCTAACACTTTGGGAGGCCGAGGTGGGTGAATCACGAGGTCGGGAGTTCAAGACCAGCCTGACCAACATGGTGAAACCTTGTCTCTACTAAAAATACGAAAAAAGTTAGTCGGGCCTGGTGGCACAAGCCTGTAATCCCAGCTACTCAGGAGGCTGAGGCAGGAGAATCACTTGAACCCGGGAAGTGGAGGTTGCAGTGAGCCAAGATAGTGCCACTGCACTGCAGCCTGGGCAACAGAGCGAGACTCTGTATCAAAAAAAAAAAAAAAAAAAAAAAAAGAAGGTAGCCAGAATGGGAGTAGACAAGGCTCCCTTTGAGAAGGGGCTGAGCAGAGACACTGCTCCCTGCAGGCCACTCAGTGTGGATGCCTTCCTGGGGCCTCACATTGCAGGCTCTGGGTATGGAGGTGGGTGCCAGACACCGGTGTGTTTCCTCCCTGCTACTGTCCCAGCAGGCTCCTGGCCTCCTCCCGCACCCAGGGTGCGGGCCTGGCTGCCCCCCCTTGCCCAGTAGCCAGCCTTTGGCTTAGATTGGGCTGGTGGCCCAGTAGGGGGGCCTCGCTGGGGGCAGGACTGCCCTGTGCCCTGTCTTGGCACCCAGGCCAGCTTGGGGCTCCACGGCCTGGAGCAGGCAGTGGACTTGGCACTGCCCATCGCACAAGCCCAGGTGAGAGCTTAAAAGTTGTCATGGTTCCATCAACCTCTTCACCAGACAGTGGGAAGACCCAGCTCCAGAGGGCCAGGTGGTTCCCCTGCAGTGACTTGCAAGGTGTTATTTACAGAGGGGACCCATGTGTTGGATGAATCATCCAAAAAACCCAGGAGTAGTTTCTATTCCTGTAGACACCTGAAAGTCCCAGCACGCATAGCTTTTAAAAATTGCTTGTGTTTGGTCCTCCGACAGGGCCTCCCAGCACCTCCAGGGCATGAGAGCTGCATCTGCCGGGGTAGTTTCAGCCCAGACTTTCCTGATGGGCTGGAATCTATGAGGGCTCCCAGCTAAGAGCCACCCAGGCCCACGGGTGAGTCTCAGCCCTCCCAGCCCTGAAGGTGGGAGATGCCAGGGAAATCTCTGCTTGCAGGGCCCTAGGAAGCCACAGGCCCAAGGCTGCCCCAAATCTCTGTGCAGGCCTGGGACAGAGAAGCCGAGGCTGGGGAACCTGTGGGGCCCCACTGACCATTCTTGCAGACACACATGCAGTGGCTGAGGTCTCCTCCGACGCTAGGCACGCAAGTCCTAACCTGCAAGTACTAAATAGCACCACCTTCCTTTCCTTTCTGTGGGCAGCAGTTTCAAATCCTAAACCCCCAAAGTGCTGGAAGCCACGACGGCCCTTGGCAGGTGCTGAGAATGGCTGCCCCTGTGTGGTGCCCCTGTTAGGGTGTCTGGGGTGCGTAGGAGGCTTCCTCCTCCAGAGGCTTCCCAGGGCTTGACACATGCAGTGTGATTTTTGGCTTTTTGGTTTTTTGTTTTGTTTTTTGGAGCTGCGGGAGGGGGGCGTGCAGATCTTCCAAGAGGGCGGGAGAGTGTAGACCCTCCTCCTGGAAACTGCTCCCCATGTCCACACTCTAGTTCCACACAGCCTCTCTGTAGACCCCAGAGCAAGAGCCCCTAAGCCAGACAGGGTGACACTGGAGCGGCTCAAAGAGCATCTGGTCCCACCCCTTTATTTCACTCACAAGGAAGTCGAGACCCAGAGAGGGGAAGTGACTCTCCCCAGAACAGGCTGACAGCCAGGCCTGGAGGAGAAATGACATCTCTCAGCCCTCTCAGCTGCACCGGACCACCAACAGGTAACAGCCTCTGGGCCATTTAGAGAAACTAAGGCACGGAGCCTCCAACCTGACCTTGCTCTTGTGGACTGCAGGTAACTCTCCTAAGATCAGTGGGGCTTGTGTGGGCCTGGGCTTTGTGCACACCTGTCCCAACTCAGCGAGCAGTCCCAGGTGTCAGGGCAGCGGCAGCCTCCAGGCAGCCTCCGTGACAGCAGCAGCGGCAGGCAGACCTGGTTTGTCCCCGATTACGAGTGACATTTTTCTACGAACCCTCAACTTCCTCCTGATCTGACTCAGGGTTGCAGCATCATGTCGGGTCGGGAAACCTCCCCATAGGCAGCCTGGGAGCCTTCCCGGGGCATGTAGCTCACGTGCCACCGCCCTCCACCAAGCCCGCCGCCCATTCCCCAGAATCTTGTTGGGAAACCACCAAGCGCCCGAGATGACACACTCTCAGGGATCATCCTGCAGCCCTGAGCAAGTGCTTACTGGGGACCAGAAGGAGCCTGGGAGCCCAGGCTCACCCACTCACCAGCTGCGTAATTTCTCTAGCCTCCGTTTACCTCTCTGGGGCATGAGGCAATACACGGTTTCTTCCTCACGGGGCGCTCAAGGGCAGTAAATGATGGAGAGGAAAGCCCTGGTTGCTATCCTACATTATAGCTGCATTGTTCTCTAACCCTAGCCAAGTGTCTCTTGGAGAGGCTGGGCGGGAAGACACAGCAGCACTTAGAACCCTGAACATTCTAGATTCTTCCCTGAGAGTGAGAACACAAAGTCAGGACATGTCTGGCTGGCCTGGCTTCACCTGGGCTTTGTGCTGCCCGAGGCAGTGGGGATGAGAGGACAGGGCAGGGCAAAGTGCCGCCCACAGCTCTGTGGAAGGCAAGGTTTGCCTTTGGTTCTGAGCGGCTGTCCCAGCTGTAAAGGGAGCACCAGTCACTGTGGAGCTGCAGCAGACCTGGCCATTTGTTCCGTCATTTCTTCACCCCCTCTTTCATGCAATAAGACCTTCCCAACGACAAACTGTATGTGAGGCTCGGTGATAAAGGTGAAAGGGACATGGTCCTGGTCCTGGGGTTGCTGGAGGACAGCAGGGACACGCTCCCCCTGGGATACACAGAGGACTTTTCAAGGCACCCACTCAGGACTGCACTGGGAAAACCACATCAGATGATGTGGGTGAACCTGGGAAGTGGGCATTTCAAGGAAGAGGTGGGATTTTTAGCAGTGGAGGAGAGAGTCCAAGGAGAAAGAGGAGCATGAGCATGCAAAGAAGTGAGGAGGGGGCTTGGCAACTCCTGGATCCCAGATGCTCTTGCTTGTGATGCTGATGGGGGCCAGGGTGAGCGAGGAGGAGAGACTCAGAACATGAGTTCCAGCTGGTCCCTCACGGCCTTTTTGACCTTGGGTAGAATCTTTAACATCTCTAAGCCTTACTGTCCTTATCTGTAAAATGGGCATAATTAGGGCAATCTCCTAGGAGTGTCCTGAGTTCCCATCGTAGATCACTGAGCACACTGCTGGCCACCTTTCACGTCCCCAAGCCGGCCCCTCCCCTCTCCCAGCCCCACTCCAACCCCCCAGCCCAAGCTCCAGCAACATTCAGGCATTGGGGAGATTGTGGTCATGTGCTCTGTCCCCTCTGTGTCCTGTTCCTTCTTCTATCGTGGCCCCCAGAAGCCCAGCTCAGGCACAGGCGGATGACTTTATTCACACTATGGTGTTACTGGTGGATACGCTGTGTATTCTAACTGCGGCATTTTTGGGGGAGTATTCCAGGGCTCCTCAAATCCATCCCTGCGGCTGTGCCAATGCTGCTTTTTTAGGCTCTGGCCCTGCCATCTCTGAGGTGGCTCACGCTGCAATGCTCTGTGCAGATAACAGCCTGGCAGCTGCAGGAAGGGCCACCTTCTCAGTTGCAACCCTCCTTAGGGTTGTGATCTTCTTGTTGCTTGTGTTCTCTGGAAAGTCCAGGCCACAGAGGGAAGAAAGGTAGGTCTGGTGTGGAGCCACATAGCTGGGTTTCGAGGTCTCAGCTGTGCAGGCAAAGCCACAGGGCTGCCGCAAGTGGGACACTGGATCCTTGAGGGTGTGGGCGGATGAGGGTACCATGGACCACTGGCAGTTGCGGGAATCCCAGCTGCAGAATGTGTAGAGTCAGCAATTAAGAACCAGCACAGGCCGGGTGCTCGGGCTCACGCCTGTAATCCCAGCAGTTTGGGAGGCAGAGGCAAGAGGATTGCTCGATCCCAGAAATTTGAGGCCAGCCTGGGCAACACAGTAAGACCTTGTCTCTACAAAAAATAAAAAATTAGGCCAGGAGCGATGGCTCACACCCGTAATCCCAGCACTTTGGGAGGCAGGTGGATCACCTGAGGTCGGGAGTTCGAGACCAGCCTGACCAACATAGAGAAACGCTGTATCTACGAAAAATACAAAATTAGCCGGGCGTGGTGGCACATGCCTGTAATCCCATCTACTCAGGAGCCTGAGGCAGGAGAATTGCTTGAACCTGGGAGGCAGAGGTTGCAGTGAGCCGAGATCACACCATTGCACCCCAGCCTGGGCAACAAGAGTGAAACTCCATCTCAAAAATAAATAAATAAATAAAAATAAATTTTAAAATCAAAAAATAAAAAATTAATTGGGTATGGTGATGCATGCCTGTAGTCCCAGCTACTCGGAGGGCTGAGGTGGGAGGATTGCTTGAGCCTGGGAAGTTGAGGTTGCAGTGAACCTCAATTGTGCCACTGCACTCCAGCCTGGGTGACAAAGCAAGATGCTAACTTAAACAAACAAACAAATCAGCACATTGAGGCCAGGGCTCCGGGCTCGGGGCTGAGCAGGGCCTTGAGGATGGAAGAAATGAGACGGAAACCCCCAAGCAGAGGGAGCCAGGAGGAGAAGCAAGGCCTCTGTGCTCCACCCCAGTCCCTTTCCACACGTCACATACTTTCTCTCCTTTTCACCAAACATTGGAAAACAGCCTTATATTGAAAGGAGATTCTACTTCAGGGTTAAAAATCAACAAACAAAAACACCCTTCAGTAAGACACGGCTGTGTGCATGAATTCCCTCTACAGCACCCTGGATAAGCACATAGCCCTGCCTTTGCTTGCATACCTCTGGTGACAGAGAGCCCTCCACATGACGAGGCTGCTTTGCTTTGTCTACTCTCAGACACTCTGGCTGCGAGATAGGTTTGCTTTCTGCAGCACCTGGAACCCATTCCTTTTCTGACCCTGTGAAGTCTTATGGTGGAACACGTCACGATCACTGGAGGATGGATGACCTTGTGCCTTTCCCTCTAGGGATTAGGAGCATCTCTAGGCCTTTCTGCATCTTCTCCCATGCTGTGGTTCCCTAGCCCCTCCGAGTTCAGCCCCTGCAGACAGACAGCCTCGGGTCCTAGGGTGATCAGAGCTGTGCATTGGCCATGGTCACTCCCATTCCACTTCCAGGATCTTTGAGTGTAGCCTTGGCTCACCTCGTTTCTCCCTTTCATGTTTAAAAGAACACTTAGGAATTCCCACTTTCCTTAAAGTGGTGACTGCGTTTGTGTTTTGTGTATAAATATTGTTTCTTTACAATATTTCAGCAATGTACGTCTGATTTTGTCTCTGACTCACACGTGAAGAGCCTGTGTAAAAGAATGCATAGAAATGCCTGTATTTTTAATATGGCACTGCAGCTAAGTGGTCAGGACCAACAAACAGCTATTTTCTTTGTGGTCCGAGAATGAGGAGTGTAAAATTGCCATTGCCTGTGCTCGGGAATGGGGTAAATTTTGTGAAAGACACTTCTATTCTTCTAAAGAGAGCATAGACCCTTGATTTATGATGTACTTCTCCCTGATCTGCTAGTCTACCTTATTAGTTGGGTTGTTCAGAGCTCTAATTTCTGTCTATTTTGATCATGGGTATTCCACAGGAGGGGCACTAAGGGCTCCAGCTACATTATATTTCCATTTTTTAAAATTTCTTTTGCATTTCCTGCATGGTCCCATTATGTACTTGTTTGCTGTGCTAATTGGAACAGAAATTGAGTGTTTTAAGTTTTCATTATTTATTGTAACTTTCACTCTTGTGGAGTCTCCATGTTACTTTCTCAATTCTTTTTACTAAAAAAAAAATTACTTTGTCCTATTCCCTTCCTTTCTAGCACAAAATGTGCCTGATAAACCAAAGATTATGCTATCATTTTACTCTGTGTCTTTTCATTTTCTTAGTGTTTTTCCTTGACAAAAGATGATTGAATTTTGTTTTTTTTAAATTGATGGTTGGTTTTAATAGATTAATATAGGGAGTATTAACAATTGTTTATAAATTTGCATAAACCTCTGTGAGGTTGCCCCTCTGTTTTCTATATTGTGATATTATAGTTTTTTCATTTTCAGTTTCTACTGTGAATCTTCTCTTCCTTTTGTCCCGTTAAGATAGACAAGGTGATTTAACCTAAATATTCAATTTGGAAAATATTTAAGTTCTTAACTTCTTGATGCTATTGATAGCTTGCCAAGCTTTGGGGGAATTATATTTTAAATCTCTTTTCTTACCTTCACCTACTCTTCACTATGAAGCTGGCATTTTGTCTCTTTTATGTCGTCTTTTACTGCTTATGTAATACACATTTTTATAATGTGATGGCTGACCTGTGAACAGAGGAAACTTGTTTATTTTTCAATTTTTTTTTAAAAAAATCATGAATCAGGTTCTTGTTGCTGTTCTCCCATCATTTGGGTGGGATTGCTGTCTCACTTGACACTCCCACATCTCTCTCTCACTTCATGCTTCGTTCCCAGCCCCATCTTGAAATGCTCATCTCTGACCCTGAAAGGTCATGCCTCATCAGCTGAGCTTTGGTGAATTCAATGCATAACTTTTAATTTTGTGTAAACCTTGCGCCCTGCCATGCCTCAAACACAAACCCAGACCACAAGTTGTTTCTCTGATACAGAAGGAAAAAATTGAAAGCTATCCTTACTGGTCTCCTTTTTCCCCACCAAGCATTATATATATATATTTTTTTAATCTCAGGTTTTCATATTATCATTAACTAATTAGAAAAGCACACACACACACACACACACAAAAGACAGAGATAAAGATAAAAGATTTTAAAAATCACCCACCTTCCAACTGCTAGAATGCAACCACTGGTTGGGATGTAGAAATCTTTTTTTAGGTTTTTTTTTTTTCCCCTCTATGCGTGGGTTTTTGTAATTTTAATCACAGTTGAAATCATTCTGAATGTCTAATTCTATAGTTTGTGGGGTTTTTACTCAACATAGTCAGCATAAACATAACAGTCAGACAGAAAAATTTTCCATTGAGTAAATTTACCGTAGTGAACTTAACCTCTTGTTGGCATTTACATGTGTGTATGTATTTTTTACTATTAGAAAAAAAGTAATGTGGTAATACAGTGAGGCAAAGAAGAATAAGAAGAAAAAATGCCAAGGTGGACATATTTTTGTACACAATTTTTCTTCTTTCATATAATTTACTTAAGGTGAATTCTCAGAATCACTGGATTAAAGACATACAATTTTCATGGCTTGTAATAGAAATTATCAAATCCCAAAAGTGGTGTGCTAATTTGTACACTTACTAGCATATTGGTGACTGGTTTCACAGAACCCTTGCCAAATTCTTTGTTAAATTTGATAAGCAAAAATGTTATCTCTTTGTAAATCCTCTTCTGGGAACTGCCTATGTCATTGGCTTGTTCTTCTATTGTTGTTCTTGATGTTATTCATTTTAATATTCTCTTCTCAGAGAAAGAACGTCATTTGTCTAACATTGATTGTGTTTTGTTTCTTCGAGTACATTATTTGATGTTAAGACTTTTTAGCAAAAAGAATTTTTTTTGTGCAGTCAAACCTGTCCTGTTTATTTTCTGTTTCTTTGATTTTCAGTTATGCTAAGTTGACAAAGAGCTTTTCCCTTTAGTGATTTTATAAGTTGTTTATTAAATTTTCATCTAGTTTTTCTATGATTTGATTGTTTTGAAATGTAATTCCTTGATGAATTTGGAATTTCTTTTGAGATACCGTGTAAGATGAGACTCTAAGTTGGTTTTTACTCCCAAATTGTTAACTGACAGTCTTAACATAATTCTTAACATAATTTCTTAACTAAGCCTTCCCTTTGTATTATTGATTTTTGTGGAATGCCTCATTTATTCTTGCTTCTGTTAAATGTGTTAGTGCATAGTCTGAGATTTTTGGGTTAGTAAATGTCTGATTTCAACAAGAATGTCCCTACTATTTTACCATTAAATACAAAGTTGTCATTGGTGTGAGCAATTTACTCTTTGTAAGAAGTACTTTCCTGTTCCATTAGTTAAATAACTCAAAAAACTATTTATACAATTGGATGACTTTTTATTTTTGCTCTAATGATGTGATACAAAACATTAATTGATTTCCTAACACTGAAACTATCTTACATTTCTATAGTGAATCTGATTCATCATGATGATTTATAATGTTAATGTACTGAATTCCACCTGGTAATATTTTAATTAGGATGTTTGCATATATATTCATAATTGTATTTGAGCAAGTCTGTCTCTTTTGTGCTGAGTTTCGCTATTTGGATAAGTTAGTTTAATAGAAATTCATTAATACTATGTTCTGAAATACTTTATAGGGCACGGGGATTATCTGTTGCTTGAAAATTTGAAATAAGCTAGAGCCTATTTTAAGAGTAATTCTTTGATAATATTCTGTTTCTTTTATGGTTATTGGTCTAGTCAATAATTCTATTTCTTCTTGTGTCAAACCTTGTATAGATTGTGGTAAATTATTTTTTGCCCCCAAATCAACAACTACATCAAGGTTTTTCAACAGATCAACACACACGTAACAATGCAGTTTCTTGCTATTTTTGCTCTCCTCTCTAACTCAGCTTAATGTCTTCTTTCTTATTTCTAGTTATGACCATTTGAGCCCTTTCTTCTTGATCATAGTTGTTAGAGATATAGGTATTGCTTCGTTTATTGCTTCTGTTCTGAAGGAACCACCTATTAAATGTGTTGATTCTGATATTTTCTCTTTTCTAATTCCTTTATTTCCACTTTTATCTTTATACTTTTTTCCTGATTTCCCTAAGACATTTTTTCCCTAAATGCTCAAGTTAAGTGCTTAATTCATTTATTTAATGTCCTTAAAGAAAATTAAAGCAGTTAGGGCAATGTGTTTATCTCTGAGAATAGTTTTGGCTGTATCCTGTGAATTTTTTTTTTTTTAAAACAACCAATCCAAAAAGTTCTTGCTATTCTTCACATGTATTTAGTTTTGTAGTTCTCACTTTATTTTTAAATAGTCATTATTATTTTTGTTATTATTTTGAGACAGAATTTATATAAACAGGGTCTTACTTTGTTGCCCAGGCTAAAGGGTAGTAGCATGATCACAGGTCACTGCAGCCTCGACCTCCTGGACTCAAGCCATCCTCTTGCCTTAACCTCTGCCTCTGAGTAGCTGGAACTATAGGCACAAGCCACCACATCCAGCTAATTAAAAAAAAAAAATTGTAGAGACAGAAGTTTCACTATGTTGTGAGGTTGATCTCAAACTCCTGGGCTCAAACGATCCTCCCTCCTTTGCCTCCCAAAGTGCTGGGATTACAGGCATAAGCCACTGCACCCGGCCAGGCTGTATTTTTATTTTCTAGGTCTTTGTGTATGAGGTCAGAGAGTATAGCCAAAATAATTTCTGAATTTTTTTAATGGATGGTTTTGTTCTTGTAAGGTAGATAATTCATTTTTGGCAAGTGTTTTTTGGCTGCTTGAGAAAAAAAATGGGTTACCTATTTGTTTAAAACCAAGCCCAAGGGCTATTAATTAAACTGTATTAATCATATTATTTATATAATTCTATGTCCTAATTTATATTTTGCCTATTTGTTTTGTTCTAATCTACAGTACATGAAAGTCTGACACTGCAGTTTGTTTTTGCCAATGGCTCCTTGAATTCTAAGAATTGTACCTGATGTACTTTTCCACCATTCGGTGTATAAGATTACTACATTTGCCCTCGCAATTGAGTTTTTATTTTATTCTATAAAAATAAGCTTCTTAATCCTGATGAGCAATTTTGTTCTGCAATTCTACAAGGCTAGTTATGAATATTGCCTCCCTGTCTTTCTTTTGTTTATATTTGTCTGTTCTATCGCCACAGAACTTTTATGTGGAACATTTCTGTGTCATTTAAGTGCACCCTTCATAAGAGCAAACAGTTATATTTTATTTTTGAATTGAGAATATTAATAAAAGTTGAATTTTTTCACACTTATTGTTGTAATTTCTATGCTGTTTCTTTTCCTATTATATTCACTCCTTTGCTATGTAGTTGGTTTTGTTTCTTTTCATCTTCTGTAGTAATTTTGAAGGTAGACATCATATTTTTAATAGTGGTTGCTTTTAAGGTTTTCAAGAATCTGACACATATTTCTGTAATTATTGAAGTAAAAAAAAAACAGAATAGAAATATTAGCAATAGAGCCTTTTGCTTCACCCCAGGCACTTACTATTACCCTCCATTGTCCCCACCCCCTACAACACAAGAACATTCTTCCTGCTTTATTAATTTATCCGCAATATTAAAACTTGTCTCTTTCTAGGGACACAGATTATCTCTTTTTTTTTTTTCTTAGAGAGAGGGTCTCACTCTGTTACACAGGCTGGAGTGCAGTGGCACGATCATGGCTCACTGCAGCCTCAAACTCCTGGGCTCAAGCGATCCTCCCACATAGCCGCCCAAATAGTTGGGGACCACAGGCACGAGCCACCATGCCCTACTAATTAAGTTTTTTTTTTGGTAGAGATGGGGTTTCACTATGTTGCCTAGGCGGGTCTCAAACTCCTGGGCTCAAGTGATCCTCCCACACAGCCTGCCAAATAGTTGGGGACTACAGGCACGAGCCACCACACTCTACTAATCTAAAAAAAATTTTTTTTTCTTTTTTGGAGAGATGAAGTTTCACTATGTTGCCCAGGCTGGTCTCAAACTCCTGGGCTCGAGTGCTCCTTCAACCTTGGCCTCCCAAAGTGCTGGGATTACAGGTGTGAGCCACTAGTCCAGCCAGATAATCTCTTCTGTTTTTTTTTTTCTTTTGATTTTAAATGTGTAACTATATTCATCATAACTTAAGTCTCTTTCCATAGTTTCCTGCTTTCAATTCAATGCTCAGTTCCAAGCTTTTCTACCTTGATGTTTTCATCCTTGCACTCTTCTTAGTGATGATCTCTTGGAGGTCTAAAGTTTTGGGGCGGTTGTTTTTCTACAGGCCACATCCACCTGAGACTTGCTTTCTGCAAGTCTGGTTCTTCCAACCAGAAGAACGCCTGGTTGGATACGAAATTCTTGCACCCAGATCTTCTCCCTCAAACCTCTTCTGGTGTTAATTATTTTTTCAGAGGTTTCCAAGGAACTTGGTTTGTTTATTCATGGATGTTTGTGAGGCTGTATCTTGGTGACATTTAAACATGTCAGCGGGACATTCAGAGGTGTCAGCAGGGCCTCTGGGAGTGGCTCTCTCCATAGCTTTTGCATGAAACATGGCGCTTCATCTCCTGTATTGTCTCATTTACTCCACGGTTCAATTCAGCCCCACCTCTCAGCCACCGTGCTGCTGTTGACTCACAATGGTTTGGGGTCCTTTCACTCCATTCACAGATGCTATTTGCTTGACCCATGACCTTTGCCCACTCAATGCTACTTCCTTCTGGAGGAGGCTGGGACTGCCCCATTCCAGTCCCCTAGGAGGCGAAGGCACCCACCCATCCCTGCTGCGGATGGTAGAAAGGCAGCACTCCACAGATGGTGCTGCTGGGGTGGAAACTGAGAACATCTCCACTGCTGCCTGTGACACAGATCCCAACATCAATGGCAGCACTGGGATGGCTCCTTGGCAGCTATGCAGGGGTGCTGCTGAGACCTCCCCGGAATTCCAGAGAACCCACTCCCAGGGTCCCTGACCACAGTCAGTGCAGCTCTGCTGCTTCAGGTCCATGGTGATGTTGATGCTGATGCCACTCTCTTTGGGCTACTCCTAGCCAGTGCCTGAACTGGGCAGAGGCACTAGCCTGGGGCGATTTCTGCGGATGTGGGGCTCCTCCAACAGGCAACCTTTGCTCAGAGATGCCCCATGGCTTGGCCAAGAAGGGCTGAAATCTGCACTGCTGTCTGAAGTCCTTCCCACCTTGTTGTTCCTTCCCTCTCTCCTTCCACAGAGTCAGACCTGCAGGTGGTCTGAAGGCTCACCCCACCTCCTCCTGCTCTCTCTCCCAACTATCCTTCATGGGAACTTCCCCTGTTTAATCTCTGAGTTGTCTAGCATTGTCTTAGCATCTGCTTCTCAGGGGACCTGAGGGGACTCAACCTCCCACCCAGCCAACTACAGTACCATTGCTTGATTGGGGTGGACCCCTGGGTTGGCCAGAACAGGAGCTGCTAATGGAATGGCCCCACACCCCACAAGTAGCAAATGGTGCTAGTTGCTGCCCCCCGCCCCGTTCCCCTCCCCCACCCACAAGTAGACTGGTTTTTATTAGCAAACTTCTTTGAGAAGGATGACTGTTTCATCTCTTGCTGCCGTTTGGAGTGCATTGATGCCTTTTTTTTATCTTACTACAGTGAGGCTTCTGATTTTTTTGAAAAAGACTCTAAAAAGATGGTTTCCTTGGACTTTCAGAGGGAATTCAAATTAATTTTTCAGATTCTCTGTTCACTCTGCCATTAGCCGGCAGTATTTTTTCAACCTAATTTCTTCTTGCCAGCCCATAGAGTGCCTTCTCTGGCTTCAAAGACTACCCTCTGAGAAGCTTCCATTTGAAGTCTGTCGGTAATTCAAATGTGACCTTTAGAATAATCCTACCGGGGAATACTGATGGCCAAATTGTGTCTATGAATATACCTGCTACTGTCAATGGAGACTCATCCCAGCACCTGAGGTTGTGTGCTTTCTGTCAGATCACTTTCCTCCCGTTGTTATTCGTTTGTTCCCCCAATTCAGCCACACACTGTGTCTGGGTTTGGGTTGGACTTTGAGCATCACCGATTGTTTTCTTGGCCACTTTGAACCACCAGCAATACGGTGGATTCATCCATGCAGTTGGCCGGTAACAGCTGACAGTAAGGGCCTCTGAGTGTTGAGCTTTTGTCATTGGTGGCTCCTTTTTCTTAATTGGTTAGTGTGACCCAGACAAAGACAGATGTCCTCAGTTCCCTTTTCAAAATCTTATTGGATCTCTTTAAACATAAACTTGTATTCATTCTTATCTTTGTGGTTCTTGGTTTTCTGCTGTTTCTGGTCTTGAAGACAACTTCTCCAAGCCAATTCCATCTTCCTCTTTGGTGTTGCAACATTTTACATTTAGACTTGAACTGGGCTTTGACCTGCTTTTCTCATCATTTTTGAAATTTGCCTTGTGAGTTCCAAGCTATTCCAGTAATTTTTTGAGCTAGGCCTGTGGCCATTTCAGCATGTTTAGTGAGGAGGCGGCCACCCCACCTTGCAGATTCTGAGCATCCTGAGTAGGACCAGTTACTCCTACACACCCCTAGGAGGCACCATCCCCACAGACCACAGGACACCAAGGCTTTGAATAAGAGGAAGTATTTTTTCCTAGATCTCTCATTACATAAATCTGTGAGAAAAGTTAACACATTGGAAACCATAGAATCTTTGGAAAGCCACCAAATCAAGTAATGTATGTTAAATGTTTAGTGCGTAGTGCTCAATGGATGATATATATATGAACCTATAAACATCTATCTATATATATCGATTTTCTTTTTCATTAGAGATCAGAGAGGGCTTGGGAATGGTATTACATATAAGATCTTAAAACACACCCCAATTTTTTCCTCCCACGGGCGCCCAATAGTGATGAGAAACAATAGCAGAATGAGAATTCTGTTAGCAATAGCTGCACAGCAAAGAAATAAGTCATAGGAATGCTTATTGTGGAATTCATTGTTTCCTGGTAAAATACTGGAAACCTAAATGTTTATGAATAAGCTACTGGCTAAATGAGTTTTGGTATACCTACACAATGGGAGGCAAACAAGCCATTCATATATGCTGATATAGACCAATGTCCAAGAAACATTGATGAGCGAAAAAGCAAGGGACAGGGGCTCTAGGTATATTATTTCCAAATTTTAAAGAAGTCATACATGTATATGTATGCATGCATATATTTGCATATATGTATCTACTTAGAAAATGTCTGGGAGGAATATGCAAGAAGCTGTAAGCCATGCTGCCTTTGAAAAGGACAGTTGAGGCCTTAGGGTACAAGGAGGCTGACTTTCCTACGCTTGTTCTTTTGTTCTCTTCGAATATCTTATTGAGCGCCTGGAATACTTTTAAAATTAATAAAAAGCTATGAAAAATAATAACAGAAGCTTTAATTAATAACAGAAGTTTTAGGAACAGGTGCGGGGCCTCCCGCCTGTAATCCCAGCACTTTGGGAGGCCGAGGTGGGTGGATCACCTGAGGTCAGGAGTTCAAGACCAGCCTGGTCAACATGGTGAAAACTGATCTCTACTAAAAATACAAAAAATTAGCCAGGGGTGGTGAGCGTGGTGGTGCATGCCTGTAATCCCAGCTATGAAGGAGACTGAGGCAGGAGAATCGCTTGAACTGGGGAGGCAGAGGTTGCAGTGAGCCAAGATTGTGCCACTGCACTCCAGCCTGGGTGACAGAGTGAGACTCCATCTCAAAAACAATAAAAATAAAAATAAAAATAAATAGCTGCAGTGGTCACTAGTATGGGATTCTCTGGTGGGAGTCCATGCTGATGTCTCCTCCCTGATACATCGATATCTTGGGATCTCAGCACCTGCTAGCCAGGAAGTCATGGGAGGTGGGAGAGGCACAGGAAGGTGGGTCTCACGGCAGGACCTGGCCGCACTTGCTCACCCAGCTGCTTTCTGCCGAAGTGGTTAAGGAAGATGCCAGGCATAAATGTCCTTTCCATGCCATGCCCCTGTGCTCTAGTGAATGTGGCACATTCCATGTCTAAGGCCAGTCCAAGTCAAGTACACCAGCAGCATGGCCTCACATGTGGGGAGAGGGAAGAGTGGGTGAGAAAGGAGGGAGCAGGGAGGTGGGCAGAGGCGGGCAAGTGGGGAGAGGGTGGAAGTTGGGTCGTATTTGAGTCCTTCTAGCAACCTGGTTCTGGATGCCTGGATTGAACACTTGGTTTTTTCCTGCTCCAGGGCTACATACCTTGATGCAGAACCCCACAATGGCACTCACCCCCTCACCCCAAATTGACCAGGCTCGGACCACACCCCTGTGCAACCACACCTGCAGCCTTGGTCCTCCCGTCCCTGAGGCCACTTCTAATTTTCTGCCCGACAAAAGGCCTTTCCTTGCCCTGTGGAGACCTCAGGGCCCCGCTCCATTCCTTCTGGGAATGCCATTTCTCCCATATCTCTCCATTTTCTGTCTGGTTTTCTCTTTGGGGTACAAGAGGCTGCAGCAGCTGCAGACCTTATATCTTGGCAACTATGAATCCCTGACAAGGGACTCCAACCCTCTGCCTGGAAACCCAAGCAAAAGTTGTGTTGATTATCATGGCTTCTTGGAGAGTCAAATATCTGTCCCTGAACCAATGAACTAACCAGCTACTGTGTCCAGGGGAATGCAACGCTCTGGTGTCAATCATCCCTGGTTGCAGGTTGACTGTGTCCAACCATCAGGAAAGTGGGTGGGAGGAGGACAAAGGAGACAAAAGGAGCTGAGTCCTGGAAACAGCATTTGAATCCCTGATCCAGCTGCTCCTGAAGTCAGCCCTACCCTAGTTTTCATGTTTTCCATTATGTGAAACTGTCTCTTTGCTTCAGCCTGTTTGGGTCTGGGTATGTGCTGTTACTTCTTTCAACAAAAGGAGTTCTGATTTAAAAGACAGATGTCCATGCACAGCAGGTTCTATATTTGTCAAAGAAAAATGTGTGTATGGTAGAAAGAGAGTGAGAAAGCGAGTCTGGAATGATATACACAAAAAGTAACAGTGGTTGCATCTGGGCAGCAGGATTAAAGGTAATTTTTCTTTTCTGTGTTCTAGTTGTGATTCAATGGGCATGAATTGCTGTGTGATGCTGGGGAGGTGTTTGTGATTCTTGACAAAGTCATTTGAATCCATCACTTCAAGAGAGTGAAAGGAGCCCCGTCTGATCTGTTGGTGTTGTAGGAAGAAACATGAGTCAGCAAAACACCAGTGGGGACTGCCTGTTTGACGGTGTCAACGAGCTGATGAAAACCCTACAGTTTGCAGTCCACATCCCCACCTTCGTCCTGGGCCTGCTCCTCAACCTGCTGGCCATCCATGGCTTCAGCACCTTCCTTAAGAACAGGTGGCCCGATTATGCTGCCACCTCCATCTACATGATCAACCTGGCAGTCTTTGACCTGCTGCTGGTGCTCTCCCTCCCATTCAAGATGGTCCTGTCCCAGGTACAGTCCCCCTTCCCGTCCCTGTGCACCCTGGTGGAGTGCCTTTACTTCGTCAGCATGTACGGAAGCGTCTTCACCATCTGCTTCATCAGCATGGACCGGTTCTTGGCCATCCGTTACCCGCTACTGGTGAGCCACCTCCGGTCCCCCAGGAAGATCTTTGGGATCTGCTGCACCATCTGGGTCCTGGTGTGGACCGGAAGCATCCCTATCTACAGTTTCCATGGGAAAGTGGAAAAATACATGTGCTTCCACAACATGTCTGATGATACCTGGAGCGCCAAGGTCTTCTTCCCGCTGGAGGTGTTTGGCTTCCTCCTTCCCATGGGCATCATGGGCTTCTGCTGCTCCAGGAGCATCCACATCCTGCTGGGCCGCCGAGACCACACCCAGGACTGGGTGCAGCAGAAAGCCTGCATCTACAGCATCGCAGCCAGCCTGGCTGTCTTCGTGGTCTCCTTCCTCCCAGTCCACCTGGGGTTCTTCCTGCAGTTCCTGGTGAGAAACAGCTTTATCGTAGAGTGCAGAGCCAAGCAGAGCATCAGCTTCTTCTTGCAATTGTCCATGTGTTTCTCCAACGTCAACTGCTGCCTGGATGTTTTCTGCTACTACTTTGTCATCAAAGAATTCCGCATGAACATCAGGGCCCACCGGCCTTCCAGGGTCCAGCTGGTCCTGCAGGACACCACGATCTCCCGGGGCTAACGGAAGGACATCCTGTTCAGGGGAAGAAAGCCCTGGCCCTGAATTCTGGTAACGGATATCGCGTTCCAGGGTTTTGATGTGGTGGGATGATCCGCACCATCTTCACTGATGTGCTTCCCTTTGATGCCCATTGAGTGCCAGCTTTGCTCATTATACCCCAAAGACCTTTTTTCCACTGCCCAGACAGCTTATACCACCCAGTGTTCAGGGATCTCTGAAGAACCCACAGACCAGGTGAATTACTGATTTCTAAGTCCAAAAACTATAGAGCAGAAGAATTGAGAAAGAGAATGAGACCATGTCAACAAGGCTGTTTCCAACTCTCCCCATTTTCCTGTTCGACTGGGAGGTTCTGGAAAGAAAGAGAGAGAGAGAAAAGAGGTAAAGGAGGGAGCCAAGAGAGTCAGTTATTGGGGAGAGTGTCTTGGGCAGAGGTGGGGTGGTAGGGATGAGTGAAGTCCCTTTTTAGTTTGGGTGTCCCAGAACAGAGCAGACTTGCATTTTCCAGTCCCTTCTGGAACTGTGTTGCCAAAAGCCTCACTGAGATGACAGCAAGAAGGGGTGGTGTTGGGGCTGGGCAAGTAGCATGGATCACCCCAAGTTTCCAGTGAGCCTCAGAAAGGTGAAGGAAGCCAGCCACACCTTTCCGTGCCCGTGAGAAGACTGCAAAATGACTGAGTGGGGTGTTGATGACATCCAAGAGCCATGAGGGGGGAGAGGAAAGGACACTTCTGGGGAAGGAAGAAGACAGGCCCAGGGCTGGAAGCACACAGCCCCTCCCCTATCACCATCAGGGTGTCCACAGCACGGAGTGTTGGTGCTGGCCCAGGGTGAAGAGAGACAGTGAGAGACGGCCTGGGAGCGGGGAGACCCCGACCTGCTTTCTATCTTAAACAGACTGGGAAGTTGCTCATTACAGCTAGCTTCCTTGAAAACAATGGCAAAGAATCAGGCCTGCCTTGGTTCCACCATAGGAGGGTGGAGGAGGTGCTGTCTTACTCACCTGCATCCTGGCTGGGCAGCTGGCACCCGTGGCACTGCCCATGGAGCCGTCCCTCCCTGGCAGCTGGGAGGGAGATGAGGCAGCTAGGCACAAGGGTGTGGCCTTGAGAAAGAAGGCAAGGGGGGGTCCCTGCTGGTCCCAGGAAACTGTAAACAATTGAGTCACGCCTGGATGGCTTCTCAACGGATCTGGAGGAGGAGTGCAAGTGACAGCGGAAGCCTCCCAATGACTCAGCTGCTCCGGAGAGTGAAATGATGAGAAGGATCCATTGTGGGGTGGTTTTGCATGACAGAGCGAGTGGGATGAGGAGTAACTGATGAGACTTCATGTGAGCAAGGTCTTCAGGAGGAAAAGCAACTGAGGTCTACTTGTAGGATCTGGGCTCAGTGGGGGCTGAAGGGCTTGGGAGGGGTGGTGACCTGAGGGGAAGAAGAGAAGCATTTGGATAAACCTGGACCTGTGGGGAGGAGGAGGAGGAAGAGGAAGAGGAAAAGGAGGGGAAGCTGAGCCGTGGCCCTAGGCTTGAAGCCTGCAGGGAGTGCAGGGTGGGTGGGGAACCTGGCTGAGCTGCTTCCTGCCTGAGAGCTTTCCCAGCTGGCCTAAGAGCCATGGACGGACAGGAGTCGCCTTCTCAGGAGCAGCTCCCGCTGTTGCTGTGTTCAAGTGGCACCCTGTACACCTCCTCCTAGGTGGATGGAGGGAAGGGTGAGGAAGAGAGCGTCAATGAAGGGGTGGAAGTGGATGTGGAGGAGTGACCAGACCAGACCAGACCAGACCAGAGGGATCGGAGGCTCAGGCCCCCTGAGCTGGGCCTCTAAGAACCACAGCCACAGAGTCAGGCTCTGCAGACCCAGAGGTAAGGCTGCCTGGCTGCCCCAAACCCCAGACACTCCTCTCCTTGCCTGCAGGCTGCCCTCTCCCATGGCCACCCTAGACAGAGACCCACCCGTGATACTCTGAGGGAGCCAGACTTTCACATGCAACGGGGCATTTGGGGCTGGTTCGGGTCAGTGTCTACGGGTGGTGGATTTAGTGACCACCCTCCTCCCACTTCTTTCTCTGCACGAGGAGTTGGGAGCCTGCCTGGTGGAGTTGAGTGATGCCCGTCATGTGCACTTGGGTCTACCAATGTGCTTAAGGCCAGATGGGCTTCCTAAGAGACAAGGGTGGGTGGACCTAACCAACTATCATCCCCAGCGATGTTCAAACATAAAATCTTATCTATGTGCAGCATGACTCTCTCCAGGTGACAGAAAGGGCTCTAGACAGCTGAGAGGACCTGATCATGTAGGGAGGGACGGGGAGGGGAGCCAGGACCCAGGAGCTGCATGGCTGTAAGAGGAAGGTCCTTGGAGGGTATCAGCAGTCTCAGTGTGATGTGACAACTATGGACCTGTGGGTGTGCCCTGGGGACCCCTGACCCATCCCAAAACACTGTGGAAAGAAGGGCCTCTTCTCCGTGGGGACCCGTGTCTGTGGGAGCGGGCACAGGTCCATGCTGCAGGCCACTACGGCTGCTCGGCAGGAGGGCCGAGAGTTTGGACCCACATAGCTGCAACCCAAGCTGGCCCATAATCAGCAGTGGGGCCCAGCAGCACAGGAGGGGCGGACGGTTAGCTTTGGAAAAAATGACTTGATTAATCTGATTCGCCAAATAAATAGATTCATGTGATGCCTTGTGACCTTGTCTTGGACTAAGCTTACTGGACCCGGAGAAGAGCAGGCCCCAGATGGCCCCTGCCAGGTCACCCAACAATCTTGGTCTCTTCAGCAGCCACCTGGCCACCAAGTGTGGGGCTGCAGGGAGTGGCCCTCCCTGCTCAGGAGCACAGCTGGGCCTGTCCAGGTGACCAGGAGCCAGACCCTTTGGGGTCTAGTTTCCACTCCCCCACATCCACACGGGTGCTTGGTTCTCTGTGGTAGCAGCCAGGCTACACAGACCCCGCATACTCGGCTGCAGTCGACCCCACCCTGCCCTTGCCACCTTGTCCCACCACCACCTTGTCGCACTGCCACCGTGACACTGCAGCTGCTTCTACAGGCCCTGGCTTCTCTGCATACACAGGGGTGGGGGGCCCAGTATGAGAAACCTGCTGACCGACTGAGGGGCTGAAGAACTGAGGGGCTGAAGACACAGGGCCAGTCTCTAGAGGTCCTCCTCGGTGGCCCTTCCCTCCCTTCTCTGACCTCCTGTGGTGGGAATCCGACTTTCCAAGGGTGGATTCTCCTAGGTTCTTTTCCGCACTTCACAGTGAATTTTGCTAGCCTTTGGAGAGCTCCCAGAAGCTGTGCCCTGCTAGGCTCTGGCCTGGGCCACTCTCTGTCCTGAGTTCCCCACAATCCCGAGCGCAGCTGATCATGGCGTGGGTGCTGAGGGCCAAGGGGGACATCTTTGCTCCATCTAACCATCTCCTACTAATCTAGGAGCCACCCCCCATGTAGGCCACGTCCCCTAGGGATAGTGACCACCTCCGCTTGGCCCCAGGGAGGATTTGACTTGGAGAATGTCAGTTCACAAGGTGCATTTGTCAACTATATTCCTCTTGAGTTACCTCTCTGGGGACCCTCGGAAGCTGAAAGTCATGATACTAATACTATGTAATTGCCACAGGATACCAAAGACCTCTGGAAGCGTAAGATAACACCCTTGTAGCAAGACCACAAAGGGATGGAGATTGCAAAGGTGCTTGAAATGACTGAGGCCTGATAACAGTTGTAGAGATTCCTAGAGGTTAAAAAGGATTCAGTTAATAGACCAGTGCGGAAAGAAATTGGGCAGAGCCACTGTGTGGGTGTGAGGAGAGGCTGGCGTGCAGAACAGTCAAGAGGCAAGGGTGGGGACATCCCCATAGCAGGAGGAGCTGTGTGGGGATGCCCACGCCAGACCACCCTTCAACTGTCCTCAAGAGTCAGTTGTACTGTGGACAGCGACTTTCCAGGGCCAAATAAAGGCTGGCAGGGACCACTTGACAACCTTACCACTGCGGGGGGACAGAGGACTCAAAGACATGCCAAAGGTGCCTTTTCTGGGTGAGCACTCCCCTGAAACTACCATCACAGGCCCCACTGGCTTTTTCCACCCAGAGCTGGCTTCTCTAGTGAGCCGAGGGCACAGAGCCATGAACAGCCATTTGAGGGGGTGTGGATAGCAGGTCAAGAGGGACTCCAGGAGCTTGAAGTGGAAGGACAAAACAGACGTCCCTCTGCCCCACTGCAGGCCTGAGCGCTCCCTCCCAGGCCAGGAGCCTGCAAGATATGACCTCCTTGCAAAGCTGTTGCAGAAAAGGCCACATGGTGCCTCAACCATGAGTCACGACAGAAACGTGGCCCTTTGTGCTTTGAAGTCTCGTGAGGTAGGATCAGAAGCACTGTCACTTCAAAGCCAGACGCGGCTCTGGTTCACTTTTGAGGCTTCAGATGACAGCTTTATTCCGGAGGCCCACGCCTGAGTGAGTGTAACAAAGACGCTGCCTGCAGGGGGGACCTGCATCTCCACCGGGGCCAGCACAGTTATGCAAAGGCTGCTTAGGGTGCAGACAGATGTCTCCAAAAAGCCTCTCTTCTCAGTAGGTGGCTTTGGGCTGTGCGTAGTGCAGATGAGAATGCATACACACGTGTGCGTTTCTCGTTCAAGTGGTGTCTCGGAGCGGCTTGCCGGTGGAGGCCACACAGAGTTTAGGAAAGTTGTGCCAGAGTTGACTAGATCTGGCTAAACCCAGATTTTCCAAACAGCCGATTCCCCAAGTCAGTGCCTAGTGCATTTCAGACGGAATGACCCTGACTGGGGAAAACTGATGTCCAATGACCCAGTGATCGCTGTGTGAGCCCCCAGCCAAAGCACAGTTCTGGGAGTGGGTGGAGGGGTTTCCCTGAGGGCAGTGGAGAAGCCTTGAGGCCAGTGGGCCTGGAGTGGTTAAGGAGGGCTCCAGAGGACCGGCTCAGGGTGGGACATGTTTGTGGGGATGGGTCTCCAGACAGCATTAGGTAGGTGGAGAGACCTCTCCCTCCCCAAGATGGGCCACGCGTTGCTGGGCACTGGGCACTGGGCACTGGGTGTGGCCCCCTTCGGCAGTAGATACCAGCCTCTTTGCTGTGGATTTCCTTCAGTTTCCTAAATCTTCAGTACCAACTTCAAGTCGCAGCCAGGGCACAGCTTTCACCAAGGGGAATCAGTATGAGCTTTACAGCAGAGCATGAGACCCAGAGATGCCTGGAGGGGGGAACCCACAGAAAATAGGACTTCCCATATTAATGGAGTGTGAGGAGCAAAGTCATTATTCTCTGAGTATTATTAAAGGGTATATGACCCCAAAGACAGGACTATTTCAATTATATGAACAAAGTGGGATGAAATTGATGGTTAAGAGATCTGTCAGCTATTGATATTTCTTCCCTGGGACTTTACACTGCAAAAAACACCCATATATGGCAAGTATGTTGTCAGTCTACCTGAGCTGCCATAATAAAACACTGCAGACTGAGTACCTTAAACAACAGGAATTTATGTCCCACAGTTCTGGAGGCTGGAAGTCTCAGATCGAGGTCTGGCAGGGTCAGTTTCTGGTGAGGCCACTCTTCCTGGGTTGCTGATGACCACCTCCTCACTGTGTCCTAAGAGGCAGAGAGAGAGGAAACAAACTCTCTGGTGTCTCTTCTGCTAAGGACATTAATCCTACAGGATCAGGCCCCACCCTTACTTCATTTTACCTAAAAGCCATGTCTCCAAATACTGTTACACTGGGGGTTAGGGCTCCAGCATGTGAATTTTGGGGGGGACACTTCAATTCACAGGAACGGCTTCTAGGCTAACCTGGAGTAGAAGTCACACTTCTCTTATTTCTTCAAATTGAACGTAACTTGCCCTAATTCACCAAGGTTTACTGGAGGATGCTCCAGCTCCATTTCACTGGATCCCTTCCGCCCCCAAGATCCTGCGCGGGTCCTAGCTGGGGCATCCCTTGATGACTGCACTGTTTGCAGAGAACCCTGGGTTTCAGTCCACACTGGTCACAGCCATGGTGCCCATCGAGGACTGGGCCTTTCAACAGAGGCATCCGTATGACACTTGGGCACGCAGCTCACTCCTGCAGGCCCCAAGCCCTCCGCGTTAAATGCTCTCGCACCTTCATGTCTGAGGCTCCTTCAGCAGAATGCTTGTCTGGGCTCTTCTTGGGAACCACAGTAGCCCTGCACCTTCCCCGGCTGACCTTTGGACTCACAAACCTAGCATCCTTTTCAGGTAGGGCTTTAGGCAGCCTCTGAGAATGATGAAAGCTCTGGCACTAGGTCTTTTGTTTTGTTTTTCCGTTTGTTTGTTTCGTTTTAAGACAAAGTCTCACTCCTGTCTGCCAGGCTGAGTACAGTGGCATGATCACAGCTCACTGCAGCCTCAACCTCCTGGGCTCAAGGGATCCTCCTGCTTCAACCCCCTGAGTAGCTGGGACTGTAGGTGCACACCACAATGCCTGGCTAATTTTTGTATTTTTTGTAAAGACAGGGTCTCGCCATGTTGCCTGGGCTGGTCTTGAACTCCTGGGCTGAAGCAATCTACCTGCCTTGGCCTCGCAAAATGTTGGGATTACAGGCGTGAGCCACAATGCCCAGCAGGCCATGGGGTCTTAATTCATCTCGTGCCATCGATCCTCCTGCAGTCAGGAGGAAGCCTGTGGACCTTCCCCAGAAGGGCAGTTTCACATGCATCAAGTAAAAATGCATGGAATTAGAGAGGAAACCAGATATATGGAAATGTAGTCACCAACGTAGCAATATATGTTTCTTTAGGCACTGGATAACAAGATCTAGTGATGGGTTTAATGATTATCATAATTTTGAATTTATGATGAACTGAGAAGTTATTTTGAATTATCTGCAGCAACTGTAGTGGGATATGAGAGTATCTGTGATGTCTATTGGTGACAAGTCCCAGGAACCACACCATCTATCGTACTGTGGTGTGATGTCTACGTGCGTAATGGAAGGAAATGCTACCTTCAGTTAGTGATTAGTGAAAATAGCATGTAATGTTTTCCCTCAGCAAGTTCATGACACCCGTGAATTCTACTCCTGATCCCCAGGTTGAGAACTTTTGGGTTAGGCAGAGACATAAGGAACCTGGGCACAGGTGTTCTTCCTCTGGTGAAGGATCATTTGTGTGCCCGCTTTGTTATGCAAATGTGAGCCCCCAGGGTCCCATCCTCTTCCTCTTGGGGTTTGGGCTGACCCAGGACCTTTGTTTGTGGGGCTTAGAGAAGCTGGCCGGCCCTCTTTGTATGCCGCACTATAGGAAGCAGAGTCCCAGGGCCCTCTGAAAGCAAAGACACCCATATCCCAGTCCCCAATCTCAGAGATGCAAAGTCAGGGATACCTGTCTAGGAGTTGTAGGGCAATCCAAGAATCAGTGGCAGGGGCAAGCAATGAGGCCCCCAAAATAAATCACCTTGTGTTAAGGGGGATCTCAACTGATAACACTGTTCTGGCCAGCATGGAACGTGGCTGATACTGGACACCCCTTCAAACCCAGCCGCCCTGCCCCAGGAGCTATGCTTTGGGAAGGGATGGCCGAGTGTGAAATGATAACTAAGAAGAGTCTTAAGCCTGAACCTCAACCACCAAGGGCATCCCAGCGTCTGGGGCAGCAGCGTCCCTCCTTGAGACACCAAGCTGCAACAGTGTCACCTTGTGACAGCTTGGAGAAACAGCAGCAGGGGCTGATGGAACCCTGGCTCTCCTCCCTCAGGTGTGGAAGCAAAGGAGGTCCCTGGGGTCTTTGAGTAATTTGGGGGCAAGTCTTCTGCCTAAAAGACCCATAGGGAAAAATAAATTAAGCAATAAAAGAAATTTGACCATTTTGTAATCTAAGTTGGTGAAGTAGGTCATACCAGTTTCACCATCATCATCGTCTTATATGATATTTTATTACTATTACTGCCTCCTGGCATGTATCTATGTAGTAAGTTCCACTATCAGAGGATGACCTTACCTACCTTTATGGTTTTGTTTTTGTTTTTGTTTTGTTTTTGAGACAGAGTCTTGCTCTGTTGCCCAGGTTGGAGAGCAGTGGTGCTATCTCAGCTCATGGCAACCTCCGCCTCTCGGGTTCAAGTGATTCTCCTGCCTCAGCCTCCCGAGTAGCTGGGACTACAGGCACCTGCCACCATGCCTGACTAATATTTTGTATTTTTAGTAGAGATGGAGTTTCACCCTGTTGGCCAGGCTGGGCTCAAACTCCTGGGCTCGAGTGATCCTCCCGCCTCAGCCTCCCAAAATGCTGGGACTACGGGTGTGAACCACTGCATCCGGCTCCCTAACCTTATGTTATAAAAGTTCTCATGAAAGTACTTGGGGTCACCTAATTGTCACCCCATCAAGCATCTCCAAGGCCCAACCACTCCCAGCAGATTCTGCCTTTGACACGATTGTGAGTCCTTTTCCCAATTCCTAATCCCCTCCTGTGGTATCCCCTGTCCCCACCACTGCAAACTACCACCCTTCTTCCAGCTTGCAGCCATCTCTCTCCTCCTGCTCTTCATCACCTGCTCTTAGGGGTCAGTTGCCTCTGGTATAACTTCTTGGCCAGGGTTGTTCCTCCAAGGACTATATACATTGAAACTGGGAGCAAAGCTGTAGTTCAAACCAAGAGAGAAACGCTTTTATAAATACTGTATCTCCAGTGACTCTGAAATTGCGGCAAACAGGCTGCACAGGTGGGGTCCAGCACCGACTTCCCAAGGCTGCACTGCATCTGAAACCAACCAAACCAGGTGAGGGGGTGGCATAAGGGAAGGAGCACTCCCTTGGCAGGATGGGGCTGGGGGGTGTTTCTGGTTGCTGTGCATTACCATCCATCTCCGTCACCCCTGGCCTTCAGGGAAGTCTCCCACCAGTTCTCCCTGGAGTCAGCTGTCCTTTATTGGAGAAAGAAAGGGGGAATGTGCTCCCTGTGGGCTCAGATACACGTGGAGGACAGTTCCTGTAGGACTCAGGGCTCAGAGGAGAATTTGGCAGTTTCTACGACTATGATGGGAGATGCTAGGGTTCCCACTGAATGTGGGATAAAATCACAAGCCCTTCTGCTTGGAGATTTAAAAAGGGGGGGTGACCCCATAAAGCTGGAGGAGTTGGGGCTAGAAACAGGTCTGTAACAAGACCTTGGCTTGAAGGGAACTATTGTGCAGACGTGGAAGCTGAGGCCCATGGGGGCATGAGCAGCACCAGCTCTCTGATGCCCTTGTAAGTGATTTTTGCATGGCACCCCATGCTAACACCCACTCTGGGTCTCTGTGTCCTGGCCCACCGTACCCACTCCAAAATCCTCTCAGGGCTCTTCAAAGATCCTGAGCCATCAAGGGGCGACCCATCTGCTCCCCAGTAGGGGCTGTCACAAGCCCACCCACTGGCTTCCACTACTCAATTGCACCTGGTCGAGAACAGGCTTATTCTCTCCTTGTCTGTTACACCTCATTTGGTCCTCCCTTGCACCGGTGTCCTAAGTAGAAATGCTCCTTCTTAATCACCTCTCACAGCAAGGTCTCGTGGCTCCCGTCCACCCTGTGTGCCTGGCACAGGCTGGGTGCAGAGCAGAGCTGATAAATACCTGGTGATTGACAGCTGCAGTCATCACCACTGCCCCAGCCCTCGCTTCAGACCAGGAAGCAACCGCAGGCTCAAAGACCCTGGGTCCTGGCCCCATAGCACCAGCTAATAATAACAGACAGCTAGGGGCTTGCTCCAAGCCCCTTATACCTGGCTGTGTGCAGAAGCCCTCTGGTAGGATTGATGATAATGCCGGGGTTCCTGGTGTGCCCCAATCACCAGTTAAGAAGATTCTCATATTTCTCTTAAGGTTCAACTAACAACTTTAAGTCCCTCAATATTATGAGAAGGGGCACTTGCAACTTAGATACAATTTCCAGTGATAGCATCATGTGGGGATTTAAAAAGTGCTGAATCTCTGTAACTGAGAGGAGACGGAGGTGACGTACCCTGAAAGTCACCGGTGACTCAAACCGTGGCTCAGGGGTGATGAGGAGACAGACACTCAAGATGCTGGTGACAGGTTGAGATGAAAAAATGTTCCATGAAATGTGAAAGTGGAAAGGAGTTACCTTCTGTGGAATTAAAAGATGTCTTGAAAACCAAATGCATTAACTCCTACAGGAGACATTTAAACAATTACATGCACAACCCTAATAGTTTGTATATTCAAGCTGGATCTTCTCACTTGGAAAAACAATCTCTTCTGTATGCGCATCTTCTTAATGGCCCACTGGGAAATGCCGTATACTCAGGGGTGCCCTGGGTTTGGGCATAGATGATGTACACCCCTAGTTCCTGGTGAAACCCAGGTCTGGGTGAATGGAGCAAATCCAGATCCTTCTAATGGGATAGGGAAGCAGACTGGCTCCTGTTCCCTGTCACTGAGTGATCCAAAGGACCAAGGCCAGGGACCCTTGCACCAAACCGTGCTGTCAGATTCTGTCTGCCAGCGGGGGAGCCCAGGGAAGCCCAGGGCCGCTGCAGTCACCTCCAGGCAGTGCACGTTGCTCAGCAACCTCTTTGCAACTGTGAGCTGCTCCACATCCCTGCGAAGAGCCTTCTTTTGCTTGAATTAGCTGGAGCTGGTTTCTCTTGCAGGGAACAAAGAAGCTTCCTGTTAGCAAAATGAAGTTTCCTGCTTCAGCAAGAGAAAGGCTCCTTATGGGGAGATGGGAGAGGGGAGTGGGAAGACAGAGGCCCTGGGTATGGGTGCTTGGAGATTCTCTCTTTCCTGGGGGTGAAGGGGAAAGGGAGAGGGAGATTGTATGGCCAGACCTCTTCCACAGCCTTAAAACAGGGATGTAAGCCCTTTTGACAATTTCACTTGAATTCCTTGGGAAATACCAGGTTAGGGTGTTTTCTTGGATGAAAACTCGGGTGGTGCAGGCAGCAAAGCCCATCATCGACGGCCCCAGGGAGCCACGTGCAGATTCTTCCCTTTCCTGCAGTGTGCCCTGGCCTGCAAGGCCCTGTCTAAGGACGCTGGGGTGGACTGAGGCTGCCACAGGAGGGCATGGAGGGTATGGAGGAAAAGGAAAGCTGCTTGATTCATCGGCATCTGACAAAGTGTTCTGTCTACACCATGCCTGCTGCACGAGGCACCTGGTCAGATGTTGGCCCTTGCTGCCCACTAAAGGTCAAAGAGGTGATGGGGATCCCCCTTCCCCACATCATCCCAGGAATTCTCTGACTGTCCTTGGGTCTCTCTGGGAAGACTTCTCGGAGCCCCTGGCCCCAGCTGGGGGTCCCTCCTCTGTGATCCCATGGCACCCTAACTTTCCACAAGGAACTGGGGTGAGTGAGGGTCTCTTGAGTGCAGGGAGCTCATTCAGGTTTATTATGGAAGCTGGGTGACAGTGATGGTTGCATGGTTGCACAACTTTATAAATTTTCTAAAAATTACTGAATTGTTAAACAAGAAAGAAGGAAGCAAAAGCTGTTTTGTTGAAGGATGTACATGGAAATAAAGAAGACAGGACTCTCAGCTCCGTGCAAGCCTGCCCGGGTCCCAGGACAGGCTCACAGCAAGACCTCCCGGGAGGTCCCCATGGGGCCTGGAACACGGCTCAGGTTTGGAAGGGCTTGAGGGTCCAGGGAAGTCTATTGGCTCTGCTCTATCCTTCCTGCCTTTCGGTCTCTGTCTCCTACCACCGTTGTCCCAGCTGGCGGCCACTATCTCTGCTGGCCTCTCCACCCGTGTCCATCACTGGCAGCCTGAGGATGGGCTACCTGTGAATCACGTGCTCCTCCCTGGTCCAGTCAACCACGGCGGAGGAGATGGGGCCATGTGAGATGCCGCCTATGGGGCCGCCTGGAGCTGCTACCTTCAGCAGGGGCCTGGCAGGTGCTCTGAGGCTTTGTGTGTTTTTCTCCACCTCTGTGCCAGGAGGCTGCTGCCCTTCAAGTCTTGTGGGGACACAGTCATGTCCATTCACACTGTCTGCAGTGGCTGCTTTGGAGCTACAGCAGACCACGGTAGTTATGACAGAGACTGTATGGTTTGTAAAACTGAAAACACTTGTAATCTAGCCCTTTGCAAAAAATTTCCCTAATGCCTGCTCTGAACTATAAACTCTTCAGGGAAGGGACTAGGTCTTGTTCATCTCTGGATCTTCAGAACTTAGCAGAGTGTCAGACACATAGTAGAAGCTCAATAAATTGTAGGAGCTCAATTAAATAGATAAATAGATGGAGTCTGGGCTGAATCTGTGCAGTCTATGTCCTTTACTTTAAAAAGAGGCTTCCCGGCCGGGTGCAGTGACTCACACCTGTAAGCACTTTGGGAGGCCAAGGTGGTAGGATCGCGTGAGCTCAGGAGTTTGAGACCAGCCTGGGCAATGTAGTGAGACCTTGTCTCTATTAAAAATAATAATAATAATAATAATAACTGGGTGTGGTGGTGTGCTTGTCATCCCAGCTACTTGGGGGGCTGAGGTGGGAGGATTGCATGAGCTCGGGAGGTTGAGGCTGCAATGAGCTGTGATCCTGCCACTGGACCCCAACCTGGGTGACAGAGCGAGACCCTGTCTCAGAAGGGAAATAAATAAAAGGGGGCTTCTCCTAGACAACACTCTCCTCCTGCTCCTGCTCATTGAACAAGGTGACCAAATGTCCCAGTCTGTCCAGGACTGAGGGAGACCAAGGCTACTCAGTGTTAAAGCTTGGAAAGTTCCAGGCAAACTGGGATAATGTGGTTCCTTATATTGGATACCTGGCCTCTCTATATGTTGAAGCAGCTGCCTACCTCATTTGGGCAATGAATCCACTGTAGTTAGCCAGGTAGAACCATGTGTGCCTAGTAGAAATAGGAATACACATAATCAGCTGCATAACAGATTCAAACAACATAACAGTGTAAAGGAGCAAGGCAGTACCTGGTGGTAGCAGTTGTGCTGAGGATTCTGGGTGTTACCAGTGAAGCGGGTAAGATCTCGTGGGGCTGGGATGATGGAGAAAGGCTTTCTGGGAAGCTGGAGTCCACTCAAGTCTTGATTGGATGAGACAGAATCATCTCTGGCAGAGAAGGAAGGCAGCGACCTTACTGGTGCACGAGGTCCCTGGTGTCCACGTATCAGTCCCCAGGGAAAATTCGGATTGGTCACATGTCATCTCCTGAGCCAAGTTCTGTGGCCAGAGAAATAAGGCGCCGACTGGCCAGTCAGGATCACACGCCCATCTCAGAGGCATGTTGGGTGCTGACTGTGGTACTAAGAGGATCCCGTGAAGTGGAAGTGGAGCTCTGGAAGGAACTCAGCATGGCTTGGTTTGGGTTTCTTGGAAAGCAGAGCGGGAAACAAAGGCTCCTGTGCCCCTCCTTTGGTAGGGAGGTGACCCCAGGGAGCAGGTGTGAGAGAAAGGGGAGTGTAGCTGGGAAGGAAGTGGTGCCAACTCCAGGGTGTGTTATGGAGCTGGCCGAGGCTTGGTAACAAACATAACTGCTTGCTCGACCCCAAGGGCCATCCTCCGGGAAGCTGCACAAATGTTTCTCGGCACAATCCTTTTGGGAGAAAAGGAGAATAATTTGTGCACAGGCTCCCAGCTCGCGTTGGGTCGCCTGAAGGGTATTAATTGCCTCTACTTGCTGGTCGTGGATGGATGGATGCAGTGTCTCCCATCCTAGTATCCAGGCAAGCCTAAGGGGTGCATAGCTGGGACCTGAGGCAGGGGCTGCTGGGTGTGCCTGGGTGAAGCCTGTCTGAGTCCATGCAGAGTTGGTGGTCTCAGCTGTGGCTGGGGCCAGTGGCCAATGGCCCACAGATAAGTGAGAGGGTCCAAAGTAGCACATAAGAAGTGTCTCACAGAAAAGGAACTTGAGAGCATGGGGTCAGATAAAACTGAGTCACCACTGTCCTCCTCAAGAACACCTGGTGTCCACACCTCTAACCAGGGCTTCCTGGTGTTTGCACAAAGAGATTATCAGGTGGCCAGGAACGATCAGACTGGAGCAGTCATTGGGTGGAGGGAAGGTCAGCTGTCCTACTGAGATCCAAGGACAGTCCTTAGCCCCTGCTAAAAGGAAGAGGTGGAATTAGTTAGTCCCCTCTGTGGAATCCAGAAAACTCCTCTAAAAGTTGCTCAGCAAATATTTAATGAAGCTGAACAGAAGTCATAAACCCCAGTTCCCTTGTTTTCTTGCCTGTAGTGGAGTTTCTGACACAGCCAAGGGTGTGGATGTGGGTGGAGCTCCAAGGTCAATCAGCGTGGTTTGAAATTTTGCCAAAGGACCTGGAGAGGGTGGCAAGCTGCTGGGTGGCAGAACATCACGGAGGAACCATGTCCACCCAGCCCCAGCCCCCAGCCAGAGAGGGACGAGGAATGTGGCCTCAAGCCTACACCGTGCAGGAGTCTGTCCAGCTTACCGTGTCCTTGTCAAGCCCCAGTCCTCCTCTCTCTGCAGGAGCCAGAAGGTCATAAATCCAAGGAGCCCAGTCCCATTTCTTGGCCTTCAGGGCTGGGGAGGGAGAGGGTGACCCTTGGTGGCTGTTTATGGGGCCGGTCATCATCTACCTGAACGGGAATAGTCAATTCTTCTGCAGTCTGACGGGAACATTGCCAAGGTCAAAAAACCTGTGAAGACATTGGCCTTGGTGGCACAGTATGACATTTATTTATTTATTTACTTATTTATTTCTTTATTTTGAGATGGAGTCTCCCTCTGTCACCCAGGCTGGAGTGCAGTGGCTCTATCTCGGCTCACTGCAACCTCTGCCTCCCAGGTTCAAGCAATTCACTGCCTCAGCCTCCCGAGTAGCTGGGATTACAGGCGCCTGTCCCACACCCAGCTAATTTTTTGTATTTTTAGTAGAGACGGGGTTTCACCATCTTGGCCAGGCTGATCTTGAACTCCTGACCTTGTGATCCACCCATCTTGGACTCCCAAAGTTCTGGGATTACAGGTGTGAGCCACCACGCCCGGCCTAGTATGACATTTAATATGAATTAAACACATAAGTCCCCTTGTTTGCTTGGTTGGTCTGGGTATACCTGTCCCCACAGTGCCCTGGAACTCCCCCATCCTAACACTTAGCGCACTGTCCAATAACTTCCAGTTTCTTCTTCTACCCGACTAGACCATCAGCCTTGCGAGAGTAGGGTTCGTTTCTTGTTCGCCTTTCCATGCCCAGCACACAGCCCAGGGCCCACCACCCTGCCCAAGGCCCACCACCCTGCAGGCTCCGCAGCAATGCTCCAAAAGCCCGTTTTATGTCTTGGTCTAGACATCAGGTCTACCCAGACAAAGAGGCAGAAGAGTGTGGCCCATCTTGGGGATAGCAGGTCTGTGAGCTCCTAGAGGACAGGGGCAGCATGCTGCTCCTCTCTGTCCCCAGTCCCCAACAGGGCCCGGAACATAACGGGGCTCAAGAATATGTGTTGAATGCATGACTGACTCACTTCTCCTTACTCACTTCTGTTTTGGTTCCGTCCCAGGCTGCAGCCTGGGTGAGCTGAACAATGTCATGCACAAAAGAAATTCTCTTAACAGTTTGGAAAACTGTGACACCACCTTCTGTGCAGAAACGGAAGTGGAAGTGGTGGGGGGTGTCTTCACGGCTCCCAGCCTCGGGGCACGTGGTGTGGGGTGTTTGCACCTGCCGTGCACCCAAGACCCCAAGGAGCGGGGGACCGTGTGTGAAACTGGTGAACGCAGCCCTCCTGAGCCAGGGCATCTAATTTCCCAGGCTCTTGGCTGCCCAAGTGGGGCTACTAAAACCCTGAGACTTGGCACCAGTCACCGAAATGCTGTTCTTTCCATTCTGTTTGCCCCAATTCTGGTAAATGTGAGTTTTATTACCAGCAGCAACAACAAGAAGACAAAGTCAGAAGCGATCCAACTGGAAGCCTTCCTGGGTTTGGAGGTACAGCCTCTGCTCAGCACAGCCTGGCCTGGGGAGGCCTGGGGACAGCAGTCTCCCCGGTAACAGTGGACCGGAATCAGGAGTTCAGGGACAGCTCTGGTTGGGAGGGGTCACCTAAGGGAGAAACAACCTGGGTGGGCCTGGGTCTCAACACGGGATTGCAGGCCTGGGAGGTGGCTGCCCCCTGGGTGGTCAGGAGCTAGGATGCCCTCCATGACGCCTGGAGAAAGGGGCACTCCTGAGACAGGACGCATTTCATCCCCTCCCACCCTCCTGCTGTAAGGTCCCCCATCGCCACAGCTCTCTAGGTAGCCCAGGCCTGCCCCGGCCCCCATGAACCAGGCATTTCTGAACGCCTAGAAAAATCAAGTTTTATATTTTAAAATAGAAAGGAAGGGCTTTTGCTTCTCAGACCAGCTAGAGCTGCCCCATTTCCCAAATTACACAGTGCTCCATCTGATTGCTGCAGCTACTGCTTCTAATTGTCTGAATCCAGACAGGCCTGGGGACTACCCCAGGACGGGTAAGCCCTGCCCCCGACTTCCCACCGAAACTGCATGGTCAGGGCCTGGGCTGGGAGTCTGCAGATGGGCGCCCAGGCTCGCAGTGGCTGCTGTGCACTGAAACTGCAGCGGTTGTGGCTGCCCAGGCTGAGGCTGGGGCTGGGGCTGGAGCTGGGAGTGGCCTCCTCTTAGAAGCCTTCTCCTTTTCCCTACCTCTACCACAAAGGGGGGTCCTCCTGAAGCATCCAAGAAAATGAAGCTGGGGGAGTTCACCTGCATTGAGGTGCAGCTAGCGGTGAGGACGGGGACCAGAGACCCTCATGGAGCATGTGGGAGCTGTAGGTTTACAGCACTGGCTTCCAGTTAGTGGGAGCTGGTGTGGGGGGCTTCGGGTCAGGAGCAGAGGGTAATGCGAGCATTTTTCTCTAGGAGGGGGCAATGGGTCCCAACTTGGGAGACCCACCACCTAAACACCCTGCCCAGAGCCAAGACCAGATTCCTCTGTACTTGCTGCATCTCCAGGGTGACTCACAGGAAGAAGAGGAGAAAAGGCTGAGGGGATTTGGGGGGTGAGGATACTAGAGGCAGGGAGGGAGCAGAGATAGAAGAGGTGGCAGTGGCAGGTGCTGAAAGGACTTGTGGTGGGAGAAGTTTTCCACCATCGTCTGGATGCTGTGTGTGCTCAGGATTGTCTAAGTCAGAGTGAATTCTTTTGAGCCGTGGGCTGTACAGACACATGCTTCCGACTGTTGTGAGCTCCGCTGAGAACTTCTTTAATGCTATCAACAACCACGTGAGATAGATATTATTATTTCCAGTTTATAGAGTAGGAAACTGAGACTTGGAGAGATTGAATAACTTGCTCATGCTTGCTGTGGTAGCTAGTATCCAAAGATGGCTGCAGACAATCTTGCCCTCCCTATACACGCACGGCACTTCTCCCCTCGAGAGGTGGTCCTTATGTCCCCTCATCTTGAATCTAGGATGGGCCCACAACTTCTTTGGCCAAAGAATACAGGGGAAATGATGTCCTGGGACCTCAGAGCCCAGGCACTAAGTAGGCTTGACAGCGTCTGCCTCCTCCCTTTTGGGACCCAGTCTCCATGTTGTGGGGAAGCCCAAGCAGGAAAGAGGAGAGGACTATTTGGAGGAGAGTTGAGGCTCTCAGCTGACAGTCCCAGCTGAGCTCGGAACTGATAGGACACTGTGGTTGAAGTAGATCTTGCCTCCCTAAAGACAGCTCAGATAATGACACACAGGGCACAAAGAAATCATCCCTGCTCAGCCCTTCCAAACTGTAAAATCTTGAGCACATAATTACTCTTTTTTTTTTCTTTTTTTTTGAGATGGAGTCTCACACTATTGCCCAGGCTGGAGTGCAGTGGCACGATCTGGGCTCACTGCAACCTCTGCCTCCCGGGTTCAAGCGAGTCTCCTTCCTCAGCCTCCTGAGTAGCTGGGATTACAGGTGCCCACCACCATGCTCAGCTAATTTTTTGTATTTTTAGTAGAGACGGGGTTTCACCACGTTGGCCAGACTGGTCTTGAACTCCTGACCTTGTGATTCACCCACCTCGGCCTCCCAAAGTGCTGGGATTACACACGTGAGCCACCACACCTGGCCGATTACTCTTTTAAGCAACAAGGTTTGGGGTATTTGTTATGCAGAAATAGATAACCAAAACCATCATCCAGCCAGTCAATGGCAGAAATGAGATACAAACCCAGGTCTGGTGGTCCAGAGCCCACTGTCTTGCCACCAAGCCTCGGGGCTGTTCTACCACCACTGACGCATAGGGTATCATCCAAAGCTCTGAGCCTTCACCCCAGGTTGCGGCTGCTCAACTTCCTTTCACGTCCTGTTCCCTGAACTCCCAGCTCAGCTGAGGGTTAGGGGGGTGCAGGTGGCCTCAGGTTCAGACTCCCCGTGGCAGCCCCTCCTCCACTTAGAACCAGCTGCCCCAGATGCCCGCTGGGGGAACTGTAAGACCTAAACCATCTGTCCACCTAATGAGGCTTTCCTTTCCTTTTCCCTTTCCCCACATCTCCTCCCCCAAGTCTAGATAAAGACTTCACAAGTCCAGGGAAAAAGAAATCAGATGCTGGTGAGGTAGCAGGAATGGGGTGGGGGGTCCTTGGGTCCTCTACGCCCCCATCACCGGGGGTTAGCTCCAAGGAAGAGACTTGTCAGCCCCTCAGGGATCTGAGAAAAGAGGGGGATTGTGCCCATGAGTCAGACATTCCAAAATAAAGGACGTGCAAAGGAGGCGACCTCAAACCAACTGTGCAACTCTTGCCCATCCTCCACTCCTGGCTGCTAACTGAAGGCCAAATAGAGAGAACATTTCTTTTTTTTTTTCTTTTTTAGAGACAGTTTCACTCTGTCACCCAGGGTGGAGTGCAGTGGTGAGATCATGGCTCACTGCAGCCTCGAGCTCCCAGGCTCAAGCAGTCTTCCCAAGTAGCCAGGACTACAGGTACATATCACCATGCCCAGCTGATTTTTAAATTTTTTTGTACAGACAAAAAATTTAAATGGCCTGTGTTTCCCAGGCTGTTCTTGAACTCCTGGCCTCAAGTGATCCTCGTGCCTCGGCCTCCCAAACTGCTGGGATTACAGGGGGGAGCCACAGTGCCAGCCAGAGAGAACATTTCTAAGGAGAGAATGATCACAGAGTCCGGCGCACCACCACTCTGCCTTATGCCTAGTGAGAGGGGCTTCACTGAGACTGCTGGGAGACCTGGACATGGGGCCTGGGAGTAATTTGGAAGGGAGCCCTGTGGACTGGGTGGGGGCCAAGCCCCTGGGGAAGCAAGTAGTGAGAGGCTGTGGCTGGAGCTGCCTGCTTGTTGCTTGGAGCACAGGACAAGAAGAGGTGTGTGCCAGCAAATAACCCATTCTGCTGGATTCTGTAGCATCAAAGGGTGTGTGAATGTTTCAGAAGCTGGTCTGAGTTACTTAGATCCAGTCCAAGAAAATGAAGCTGAGGGAGAGTTTGCCTGCATTGAGGTGCAGCTAGTGGTGAGGACGGGGACCAGGGACTCTCATGGAGCATCCACCTGAGGGAGGGTGAACTGGTGATGCTAGTGCTACAGTTTGGATCAATGTTGGAGGTGGGGCCTAATGGGAGGTGTTCTGGTCATAGGTTGGAACCCTCATGAATAGATTATTGCCCTCCTACAGAGGCAAGTGAGTTTCACTCCGTTAGTTCCCACGAGAGCTGGTTGTTAAAAAGAACCTTTGCCTCCCGTGTCTCTCTTGCTTCCTCTCTCTCCACATGATCTCTGCGTGTGATCTCACGCCAGCTCTGTTCGCCTTCTGCCACGAGTGGAAGCAGCCCGAGGCTTTCACTAGATGCCCAGTCTTCCAGCCAGCAGAATCGTGAACCAAATAAGCCCGTTTTCCTTATAAATTCCCCAGCCTCAGGTGTTCCTTTACAGCAACACACACCGACTAAGACAACTAGTGACCTCTCCTGCTCCGACGCCCGACGCCAAGCCCTCACGCTACTGTCCCAAACTTGGAGGCGCCGAGGAGCCTAGTGAAGGGGAGGAAAAGTAGAAGCATGAGGCAGGGGCATGGAGGAGAAACCCGCCAAGCTCCCCACGCGCCTTGTAGGCTTCCCATGTGGGCAGGTCTGGGATGGGGCAAGGGAGTGGTTTTAACTTCAAATGCCATCTGGAGTTTCAACTGTTTTGATAGTTAGATGTTGTAATTACTGAAATTGGATTTGTGTGAATAAAAGTTACCCAAGGGATTTTTATTATCTTGGATGGACCAGAAAAACCAAGAAACCTACCTTCAATTTCATCCAAGGTCAGAGGAGAACCCAACCCACCGACCAGGCTTGAAAAGGTAGTGGGAGAAAGAATTGTTTTCGGATTACACCCCACAAGGCTCCCGTGTTCAATAAAACTGTGACACAAACACTGGGAACAATTCTGGTGAATTTAGGAAGAAAGGAATTGATTGACGGGACACTGGGTGGCTCAGAGTCACTGGGTGGGCTGGAGAAACCACTTCAGCAATTGGGAGACCACAAAGGGAACCGCGGGCTCCAGAATGTGGAGATGATGCCACCACCTTCCTGATGCCCACGAGACTCTGTGTTGCTGTTGTCCCCTCTACCAGGATGCATTTTTCACTGTCCCCCTTCCTGAGTCACTTGTCCCTATGGCATGGTCTGGGTGTGATATGGTATGGCTCTTTGTCCCCACCCAAATCTCATCTCACATTGTAATCCCCGCATCAAGGGAGGAGCCTGGTGGGAGGTGATTGGATCGGGGGGCAGTTTCTCCCATGAGTCGTCACTCATGAGTTCTGGTTGTTTGATAAGTGTCTGGCACTTCCCCGCCGTGCTCTCTCTCTCTCTCCTGCCACATGTGAGACTAACACGTGCCTTGCTTCCCCTTCGCCTTCGGCCGCGATGGTAAGTTTCCAGAGGCCTCCCCAGCCACGTGGAACCGTGAGTCAATTAAACCTCTTTCCTTTCTAAATTACCCAGTCTCAGGTAGAATCTTCATTGCAGTGTGAACATGGACTAATACAGAGAGGAAACATCTGATTGGCTGAGCCTGGTCACATGCTTGACTCCAGCCCCAAGGGGCACTGGGAAAAACAGATTCAGCTTAACAACAGGGATATGTCCTGAGAAATGCATTGTCAGGCAGTTTCATTGTGTGAACATCGTAGGGTGCACTTACACAAACCCGCATGGCATAGCCTACTGCACACCTGGGCTATACATGTTAGCCTACATGGCATAGCCTACTGCACACCTGGGCTATACGGGTTATCCTGTTGCTCCTAGGCCACAAGCCTGTGCAGCATGTTTCTGTACTGAATACTGTAGGCAATCGCAACACAATGGTGTATCTAAACATAGAAAAATATCGTTCAAAATATGGTAGGAAAAATAAAAATATGGTACACCTGTGTAAGGCGCTTACCATGAATGGAGCTTGCAGGACTGGAGGTTGCTCTGGGTGAGTCAGTGAGTGGTTGGTGAGTGAATGGGAAGGCCTGGGACATTACCGACCACTGCTGTAGACTTTGTAAACGCTGTACATTTAGGCTACACCACATTTACGGAAGATTTTTTCTTTCCTCAATAGTAATGTAACCTTAGCTTACTGTACCTTTTTTTTCCTTTATAAACTTTTCAATTTTTAAAAACCTTTGGACTTTTCTATAATAATACTTAGCATAAAACACCAACACATAGAGCTTCACAAAGTATTTTCTTTGTACCCTTAGTCTTTTGTTCTTTTTTTTTTTTTTTGAGGCAGAGTCTCCCTCTTGTCACCCAAGCTGGAGTGCAATGGTGTGTCTCGGCTCACTGCAACATCCGCCTCCTGGGTTCAAGCTATTCTCCTCCCTCAGCCCCCCAAGTAGCTGGGATTACAGGTGCGCACCACCACGCCCAGCTAATTTTTGTGTTTTTAGTAGAGACGGGGCTTCACCATGTCGGCCAGGCTGATCTCGAATTTCTGACCTCAGGTGATCCGCCTGCCTCGGCCTCCCAAAGTGCTGGGATTACACCACGCCCAGTCCCCCTTTTTTTCTATTAAAAATTTTTTTTTTAACTTTTAAACTTTTTAGTTAAAAACTAGACACTAACACACACATGAGCCTAGGCCTACATAGGGTCAGGACCATCAGTATCACCATCTCCACCTCCACATCCTGTCCCACTGGAAGGACTTCAGAGGCAATGCATGCATGGAGCTGTCACCTCCTATGATGACAATGCCTTCTTCTGGAAACCTCCTGAAGGATCTGCTGAGTCTGTTTACAGTTAACTTTTTTTTTAATAACTAAAAAGAGTACACTCTTATTAGCAATTAAAAACACAGTGTAGTAAATACGTAAACCAGCAACATAGTTGTTTATTATTATTAAGTATTAAGTACTACACATAATTGTATGGGCTATACTTTTATATGACTGGCAGTGCGGTAGGTTTGTTTACAGCAGCATCAACACAAACACATGAGTGATGTGTTGCACTCTGACCTTACAATGGCTGTGACGTCACTAGGCAATAGGAATTTTTCAGCTCCATTGTAATTTTACGGGACCACTGTGGTATGTGCAGTCATTGTTGCCTGAAACGTCGTTATGTGGTGCATGGCTGCATAATAGTAGGTGGCTGGTGTCTCCCATCAAAACTGTTTTGGAGGGGCAAATCCTGAATACAGGAACGTGATTCAGATGATTGGCCCCTGGTGGGGAAGGGAGGGCAAAAATTAATATCTTTGAAAAGGGCAAACTGAAGTGATGACCGAGTTTACCTAGAAAATATCAAGATTACACATTCTGCCACTAGACTAAGGGAAGGTTTGAAAACTAGATTATTACACAAAACACACTATTATAGAAAAATAAAGATACCAATAAAGATACTTTGGACACCTGAGTTTGTGGCTATGAAATTCATACTCACCCCAGAGATAACGCGAGACACGAACAAAAGTAATCAATGAAAAACTGCTGGCATACTGACTGCTTGAACACTGTGGGCACTCGCTCAGTGTGGGACAAGCGTGCTGGCTAAAGTCCCTCCCCTTCCCTCCCTCCCCTCCCTGTCCTCCCCACCTCCCCCTGCCTCCCACCCCCACCCCCCACCCCATTACCTCACTGCTGCCAGCCTTCCCTTTCCCATCAGTCCTCCGTTAGGCGCAGAGCCCTGGCTCCTGCGGGGCCAGGCTGGACGTGGCTTCCAGTGACAGGGCCCTTTGTCTCACAGGTGGGAGGCTGGCGTGCGACCTTCATCGGCTCCCACGTCTCTGCCTCCGTGCTCTGGCAGCTGGAGTGGGTGCAGCATGCAGCAAGGATACGGAGATGCCATGGTGGGCCACCGTGACTGCCGACCCTTCTAGGACTGCACCCCCGTCAGTCCTGGCTGCCCCAGGCCCTAGACTCAAAGCCTCTCTTCCAGTCCCCACAGGGAACAGGGCCCCAGGAGGAGAGCAGGCTGCCCCCGTGCCCCGGGCCCTCAGAGGGTGAATTTGGACCTTTCCTGTTGTATTTTGCCCACTCTCTGACATTCCTCTTCCCCACCTTCAAAGCTCAAATGGTTCCCCAGGAAGCCTGCACTAGTCACTCTGATCTCTCCCTCCTCTGAACCCTGTGCTGCCAGGTCACATGCAAAACACGTGTCATTAAAGCTGGAAAAGACCTTCAGAATGACTTGGTCCAAACTCCCCATTTTACAGAAGGGCAAGTTGGAGCCCAGAGATGATGTTAGCCCACCACAGCTGTACAGATGCACCAGGGGACAATGGCAGAGTCCAGATCCCCGGGACCTCGGGACACAGGACTCCCTCCTTACTTCGGGGACACTGCATGTGCTGCCTTGGGTGGTCTGCTGTGCCTCCCCATGAGGGCACGTCCCATGGAAATGGGCTCTTTTTCTTTCCCAGGCAGAGAGCTGGAGGTGCCCAGGGCCCCACACCTGACATGGCCAGGGTGGGCAGGGACCAGTCCATCATCATTCCCTAAGCAGTTATTGGAGCTCTGAGGTCCCTGATAAGTAACACTCCAGCACCAGTGGGTGGTAACTCCTTCAGGCAGAAGGCTGAGCACGGTTTCCATGGAGACCGCCCAGGCTCTGGTTTCCAAGACAACACTTGCACGAGGTTACAGAGCTTCCTATTTATGTCAACTTAACATTTCCAACTGCTCTATTCTTCTGGCCAAACCCGGGCCTAATGCAAGGCCTCCATTCTAGGATGGGTGACAGTCCTCGAGGGCTGGAGGGAAGTGGCTGAGACTCCGTGCAGTTAGGTGAAAGTGAGACATTGCAGCCAGCAGGGCCTCCTCAAGCCCAGGGGCAGGTGTACAGAGACCAATACATGCTCATGCTTATGAATTATAAAAAGGTGTAGAAAGAGACGTAGTCCTACAGCTTCCTGCCATCCCTGCTCTCCAGAGGGAACTGGTGTTACAAGGCTTTGAGTGCGCTTCCAGAAATAGCACATGCACAGCCATAGCGCTATCACTTAAAAAATTCACAAACGGGATAGAGATAAATATATATTCTTGCTCTTGCCACCTGCTTTACCCTAATTATAGATTTCGGAGAACTTTACACATCAGCACAAATAGATCTACCTCATTCTTTGTAATAGCAACAAAATACTGTACTTTTTTAAAATACCAAGTCTCCAACTAAAGGACATTTGTCTTTAGTTTCTTGCTATTATAACAATAAATATGCTTGTACATATACTTTTGCATATCCTATGGAGTACATCCATAGGATACATTCTGGGCCAAAAACATTGCATTTTAAAATTTGATTTTGTCAAACTAATTTACTCCCATTACAGGCCAATGTTACAAAAAACATATATCTAAAATTCCTAAACAAAATGTTAGCAAATGGAATCCAGTAGCATAGATATAAGAAAATACCTCATGACTAAATCAGTTAGCAATATTCGCCACATTAACAGATATGCAAACATATGAATAGATGCAGAAAAAACATTTGATAAAACAATTTAATATCAATCCTTGATTAAAAATAAAAACACTTTGAAAACTAAGAATAGAGAACTTCTTAAATCTCAAAGAGTATTCTTCTAATATTTACAGCTAAACTATATTCAAGGTGAATTTCCTTTTAAATCAAGAACAAAACAAGATTTGTGGCTATCACCATGGTGCCAGAGCTCCTACCCAGTAAGATAGCACAAGAAAAATAAATAAAAGTTTTAATTATTTGAATGGAAGAAACAAAATTTACTCATAATCAGTTACCAGAATTGCTTGTCTACAAAGCACAAGGCTGGGCACTGTAGCTCCCGCTTGTAATCCCAGCACTTTGGGAGGCTGAGGCAGGTGGATCACTTGAGGTCAGGAGTTCGAGACCAGCCTGGCCAACATGGCAAAACCCCGTCTGTACTAAAAAGACAAAAATTAGCCAGGTGTAGTGGCATGGGCCTGTAATTCCAGCTACTCGGGAGGCTGAAGCAGGAGAATCGCTTGAACCCTAGAGGCGGAGGTTGCAGTGAGCCTAGATTGTACCATTGTACTCCAGCCTGGGTGATAGAGTGAGACTCTGTCTCAAAAAAAAAAAAAAAAAAAAAAATTTCCTCAGAGAACTTTGTGGAATAAGAAAGACAGCCCGGCAAGTTTGCTGGATCAATACTCAAAAATAAATTATACTTCTACACATTGGCAACAAAGGTATAATTATTAAACATCATAACAACAAATATAAGGGACATAGGAATCAATGTAATGAAAGATTTGTAAGACCCCTACTGAGGAAAGTATAAAACTATGTTGGAAGACATTAACAATGCAGATTTTAAAAATACCATGTTCATGGGTGAGAGCACTCAATATCCTGATTTCAATTCTCCCCAAGTGGATCTATAGATTTCATATAAGTCCATTAAGAACCTCAACAGAAGGCCAGGCGCGGTGGCTCACACCTGTAATCCCAGCACTTTGGGAGGCTGAGGTGGGCGGATCATGAGGGCATTGAGACCATCCTGGCTAACATGGTGAAACCCCATCCCTACTAAAAATACAAAAAATTAACTGAGCACGGTGGCAGGTGCCTGTAGTCTCAGCTACTTGGGAGGCTGACACAGGAGAATGGCGTGAACCTGGGAGGCGGAGCTTGCAGTGAGCAGAGATCACGCCACTGCACTCCAGCATGAGTGACAGAGCGAGACTCCGTCACAAAAAAAAAAAAAAAAAAAAAGAACCTCAACAGAATTTTCCATGAAACTTGGCAGTTGTTTCTAAAATGCATATGAACAAAAAGGGCCAAGAATAGGCATGGCACTGCTGGAGAGAATCAAGGTAGGAAACTTTTAGTACCAGGTAGCAAGACTTACTTTAAGTGTGGTTATGGTCCAACGGATAGACCTGATGAACAAAACAGAAAGCCCAGAAGTAGACCTTACATATAGAGAAACTTGATCCTTGCAGACATATACTGTAACTCAGTGGGGAAGGAAAAACAAAAACAGAACAAATCGTTATTCCTACCTCACATCAGACCAGGGATTAAATTCCTGGGGATTCAAAAATGTAAAATACAAAACTCTAAAATGAATAGAAGAAATTGTAGAATAATGCCTCTTCAACCTTAGGATGGGAAAGATTTCTGAAATGATATAAAAGGCCCTAACCACAAGGAAAAAGATGAATAAATTTGACTGCATTAAAATCAATAATTTCTGTTCATCAAAGTGACCACAAAGAAAGTGAGAAAGCTATGTACACGTGATGCTGTTTGTAAAAAAAAAAAAAAGGTGAGAAGGCAAGCCATGAACTAACTTGGGTAAGATACTTACCACCCATCAATGAAAATATGTAAAATATAAAATGTATAAATATATAAATAACTCCTACAAATTAGTAAGAAAACAAAGCAACCAATAGAAAAATAGGCCAAAGAAAGCAAGTCGGCATTTTACAGGAAAGGAAATTTGAGGGTTCAATAAACATGTGAAACCGGCCCCACTTTTCTAGTAATCGAGGAGACACAACTAAAACCATAATGAAATACCATTTTATTTCCTATCCATTGGCAAAAAACGTATTGCTAACATGAAGTGTTGACAAGGATGTGGAACGAGTAGAATGTCTATGCGGTGCAGCTGGAAGTGTAAATTGGTTCAATGTCTTACAAAAAACAATCTGCTAGAATTTTATGAGTTGAATATTTGCACACTGTGTGACCCAGTGCTGAGGTGCCCCAGGAACCCCATCAAAGAAATGTTCATGAAAGCGTTCTGATAGTAAAAAAAAAAAAAAAAAATCAGAAAAAAATCCAAAGAGCCATGGTTAGTCATTGTTTCATAGGTATTAAGCTGTATATTCATACAATGAACTAATATACAACAGTAAAAATGAATGAAATATTACCATAGGCTTCAACATGGACACGGCTTAAAAGGTTTGGAGGGTGGGGAAGCAAGTCAGAGAATAATATGTGTATTTTGTTACCACTTTCACAGTGTTCAGATCCAAGCAAAACTTCCTCAGGGATTCTTGGATATATGGTACAATTAGAAAGCAGAACAGAGAAACCCAAGATAGGAATTACCTGGATTGGCTAATTAGTAGAGTTTAAGATTGGCTAATTTATGGAAAATTGACATATTTTCAAGATTGTCTTTGGTTCTAAGAATAGGTGTGTCTTTGCACTAATTCAGGCATTTAATGTCCCCCATGAAATACTGAGGGGAGAGGGATGGCGGGGAGTGCTCGGATGATGTCTGAGTTTCCAACAGTTCTTGGCATCCCTGAGCATGCAAGCTGCTCCCCATCTGCAGGGTCTTTCCCTCCCCTTGAATCGGAACTGGTTTTGTGACTTGCTTTGACCAACAGAATGCAATGAAGTAACATTCTGGGATTTGTGGTGCCAGGTCTTAAAGGATGGTCAGCCTCTGCTTCCCCTCTTTTGGAGCTCAATTGACAAGCTGTAAGGAGGGCTGGGCTAGACCATTAATGGTTAGAGGCCACGTGGAGCGAGGCCCTTGGAGGGTGAGAGGCCATCTTGGTTGCTTGGACCGCAGCTGAGCTCCCAGATGAACATACAGCAGAGGGTGCGGTTATCCCACGGGGACCCCTCGGTCATCCAGCTGAACTCAGGCAACTCACAGACTCGGGAAAAATAATAAACCACTGTGTCAGGCCACTAAGTTTTGGGATGGTTTGTTATGCAACAGGAAGAGGAGAAGAGCATGCAGAGACTCTCAGTGGTATTTGGTAGTCTTTTGTTTCATAAGTTGGCTGGTGGGTTTCCAGAGATACGTTGATTAATACATTTTATAACTTACACACTGACTTACACGTAGTGTTTTGTATACAGTACATGCTTCATGGCCGGGCACAGTGGCTCACGCCTGTAATCCCAGTACTTTGGGAGGCTGAGGTGGGAGAATTACCTGAGGTTGGGAGTTCGAGACCAGCCTGACCAACATGGAGAAACCCCGTCTCTACTAAAAATGCAAAAATTAGCTGGGCATGGTGACACATGCCTGTAGTCCCAGCTGCTCGGGAGGCTGAGGTGGGAGAATCGCTTGAACTTGGGAGGCAGAGGTTGCGGTGGGCCGGGATCGCACCATTGCACTCCAGCCTGGGCGGCAAGAGCGAAACTCCGTCTCGAAAAAAAAAATGCTTCACAAACATCCAACCCTAACTTGACCTGTAAAAACATATCTCTTGGGCAGGTGCGCGGTGGCTCACGCCTGTAATCCCAGCACTTTGGGAGGCTGACGCAGCTGGATCACCTGAGGTCAGGAGTTTGAGACTGGCCTGGGCAACATGGTGAAACCCCATCTCTACTGAAAATACAAAAATTAGCCGGCATGGTGGTGTGCGCCTGTACTCCCAGCTACTCGGGAAGCTGAGGCACAAGAATCACTTGAACCCAAGAGGTGGAGGATGCAGTGAGCCGAGATGGTGCCACTGCACTCCAGCCTGGGTGACAAAGCGAGACTCCATCTCAAAAATAAAATAAAATAAAATAAAATAAAGTATCTCCCTAGTTTTGATTTCTAGAACTGTTTATATTATTTGCTCATTTCTCTATTGGGTTGTTCCTTTTTCACAATGGTTTATAAGAACTTTGCATATTAAAAAAAAATAGCCCTTTTTATGCCTGTGTTTGAAAAGACATTTCCGTTTACTGCTTATAAACCTCTTGGCTTTGTGGTATACATTGCTGTATATAAATTCTAACTTTTCGTAACCAATTTTTTCCTGGTAGATATCATGCTTAGAAAGGCCTTTCCTCCTCCAAGATTACCTTTTAAATAATCTCTTCAAGTACTTTCATAGTTTCATTTCATAATTAAAATCTCTGATCCATCCAGCATTAATGTTGTTCTAGGGAAGTAGAATCCAGGTTAATTTTTTGTCAAAATGGCTAGCCCGCTGTTCCATTAAAAATAACCCACATGGGCCAGGCGCAATGGCTCACACCTGTAATCCCAGCACTCTGGGAGGCTGAGGCGGGAGGATCACCTGAGGTCAGGAGTTTGAGACCAACCTGGCCAACACGGTGAAACTCCGTCTCTACTAAAAATACAAAAATTAGCCAGGTGTGGTGGCACACGCCTGTAATCCCAGCTGCTCGGGAGGCTGAGGCAGGAAAATTGCTTGAACCCGGGAGGGGGAGATTGCAGTGAGACAACATCGCCCCACTGTACTCCAGCCTGGGTGACAGGAGCAAGACTCCATCTCAAAAAAAGAAGAAAAAAAAAACCAACAACAAAAAAAAGGCAAACCCACATGTCTCCCACTAACTGGAAATGCCGCCATAATCATATATTAAATTTCCGTGTAATTTAAGTCAATGTCTGGGCCTCTGTTGGGTTGCACTGGGCTCTGTCTTTGCTACACTGAACTCCTTAATTATTGTGGTGTATAACGCTTTATATCGGAGCCTGGGCGACAAGAGCGAAACTCCGTCTCAAAAAAAAAAAATGCTTCACAAACATTCAACCCTAACTTGACCTGTAAAAACATATCTCTTGGGCAGGTGCGCGGTGGCTCAGCCTGTAATCCCAGCACTTTGGGAGTTCTTTACCGTTTATAGGATCTACCTGACTATTCCCTGTTTACTTTCCTGAAAGAATTATTTGTGTCAAGTTAAAAAATAAATTCAGTTGGCATTTTAATTGTGATTGCAATGCATTTCAATCAGCAAATGTGAAAAAAAAAAAAACTGATGTCTTTGCATGATTGCCTTTGGATCTGGGAACAAGGTGTGTCTGCACTAATTTGAGTATTTTATGGCCCTCACTGGGTACTGAGGCTTAACAGCACCAAGCAGGTGGGCACCCATCCTGGTCCCCAGGGCAGGATATAGGTCCCACCTCTGGGGTCCACCTAGACATGGCTCTGGCCAGCTCTCCTGCCGCTTCCAGAATTCTCTGGAGAATGTGACCCTGTGATTATCACACCAAACCTCACTTCAGATCCTCCAGGAATGGTTACAAATTGTCCAGACGTGGTGGAGAATAGGACACCGCCCTTGTGCTTAAGGACATGCAATAATGATGTCATCTGCCAGGTAGAACATTACAGGGTGGTTTACAGGCACTTAAAGCAGCACGACCTTGGGCGAGTCGGTAAGCTCTCCCAGCCCTGTTCCCCTCCTCACCCGGAAAGTGTGAACTCTACCTGGCTCAGATCCAGGGTGCTACGAAGGGGATATCCTACACTCCTTGGCTGAATCCAGGATGCCCAGCTCTTTAGGGGCCAGATGTCAAGGTCTGCAGGCTTCTCCCTGCCTGCTGCTCCCGAGGTCCAGCTCCTCGACCCTGCCCGGAGCACCCCTCCTACACCCATCTCCCCTCCAGCCACACTCAAGTCAAGGTCAGAAGTAAAAGATTTTTATTGTTCTATAGACACTTCTGAAAAGAGATCTAATTGAGAAAATATACAAAGCATTTAAGAGTTTCATCCCCAGAGACTGACTGAAGGCGTTACAGCCCTCCTCTCCAAGGCTCAGGGCTGAGAACGGTTAGCATATCGAATGATCAGTAAAAACATGCAAAAGTGAGAAGGAAAGGGAAAAAGGTGCATTCCCCTAAGCTGAGGGGGATGGAATTTCAGAACAGAGGAGGCAGGGTGGACAAGTACCAGGTGGCTCTCCCTTTCCCTCTGTGTTATCTTTCAAAACAGTTCCAAGCTTGGAGAAAGCAATGAGCTCCACCTACTCAGCAGAACCCACGGCTCGTCCCCCGTGGACGTGACTGAGCAGTGACCTTGCCTGCCCCGTTCCTCAGCCGCCCATCCCACTGCCTTGACTGAGGGGACCCTGCTTGTGCTCCTGGGGGGCAGGACTGGGGGTCCTAGCTCCTTGCTTCTTTGGTTCCACTCAGAGAACAGTTGTGCTTGACGGACTCATCCCCACTCCCCAAACTCCAAGCTCCTGCTGGTGGGCTGAAGGCACTGACAGAGTCCCTGGGACACCCCCAGGTAGCCACCTTCTCTTGTGCTCTGGTGGGTCCCTCCCTGGGCACATCGTCCCATCCTCAGCTCAAGCCCCAGGTCTAGGAATAGGGACAGTGAAGAAAGTGTACCCTCCAAGAAAAAGCTTCTGAGGACTTTTCTAATTGTGCAGATACTTCTGAAGCCCATGCCGCCCCGCCCCCACAGCCCCATCCCCTTGCCCAGGGCCTCACATGCCCGGCTCCCCCAACCGGTCCTTCCCCTTGGGCTGCCGGTGCAGCTGTGGGCCCAGGCTTTGGCAGGCCCAGCTTCAAGACAGTGGGACACAGAAAACACTTTGCAGCATCGCCTCTCCCTCCGCCACACCCAGGTCAGCAGAGATGGGCCCCCCACCGAGAGATCACAGCTCTGGTACAGGGAGGTGGGCAGGGTTGGAGAGGAATGGAGAGACATGTCACCTCTATAGAAACGCGTCCAAAGTACAAGCTAAGCAGGGGGAAGGAGGAGGGCCAGAGAGCAGCCGGAAAGAAGAAAAGAGGAACACGGCAGGGGGTTCTGGGGGAGGAGGGCCTCACACCACCCCGCAGATGAGCGTCTCCACCACGAAGGTGTTCTCGAAGTGGCGGATGGCATTGCAGTTCTTGGCCCCACGCTTGTTGATCCCTGGGAGGAAAAAGAAAAACCCCAGTGAGCCCTGCATCCTGGCTGAGTCACAAAGACCACCAGCCTCAGCCTGAGCCACAGGAGGGCCAGGAAGTGACACCATTCACCCAGATTCACCCAAAGAGCACAGTGAGAAATGGGGAGAGCTCGAAAGCTGGAGTCAGCCTGCCCATGTCTGCCACCTCCCTGCTGTGTGACCTCCAGGGTGTTAACCTCTCTGCACCTGTTTCCTCATCTTTAAAATGGGCAGCAAAAATAATAATGAGGATGAGAATGACTTACACTCTTAAGAGGTCATAAAGAGCACACAGCATTGCCCGGCACACGGAAGTGCTCTGCTAATGCTAGCTGTTATTGCTGCTGCTATCTGAGCTCTCTGACAGCTGGGCTAGGCGTGAAGATAACTGTGGTCTGGGGCACGGGACAGGGGCTACTGTGGGTGAAGCCAGCCACTCACGCCTCCGCGTTGCCCGGCGCCGGAGCCGGTAGGTGTCTTTCCCGTTGCACAGGTGGTAGATGAAGGACCCCAGGGCCTCCTTGTCACTGACATGCTCCGTGACCACCATCTCCTCCTGGATGATGTACGTCTGCGGCAGGTAGGTCCCCCTCTGCAAAACAAGGTGGCCGCCACAGTGAGTCGGCCCCTCAGGCTTTCGTCCAACCCCTCGCCCGAAATGCCAGCCCACCTCCCTCCTCCAGAGGCCCCTGGGCTGGCCCTTCTGATGTCCTCAGGCACTTCCTGCCTGTGCCCGGTGCCTGCACCTGTGCTGCCAGGAGCAATGGCATGCGCACGAGTCCGTACCCAGGGTACAACCTTGAACACTAAGGAAGCCGGTCTCGGGGCATTGACTCTGGAGATGTGGAAGCAGGGGGATAGCAGAGGCGAGACCAATCTGGGTACAGGGCCCAGGTGCCAGCAATGTCTCTTGCTCCCCCAACCCCTGACACAGGAACTTCCTGTACCTCAGACCTAGCCTCCATGAGACAGGGGGCAAGGGAGGGACAGGATGCTGCAGACATCCCCCCAACCCCCTGCGCACCTTCACGTTCATGAGGAGCTCCCAGAAGTTGCGAGGGGGCAGCACAATGGTGGTGTTGAGTTCGATGACATAGCACTTGTCCAGGGAGATATCATGGTACGCAGTCAGACCCTGGCAGGAGAAGGGGTTGGGTCAGTCTCTGCAGGAGGTGACAGCTGACCCAGGCAGGGCTGCAAGAAGCTTTGGCCAGCCAGGCGCGGTGGCTCATGCCTGTAATCCCAGCACTTTGGGAGGCTGAGGCGGGCGGATCAAAGGTCAGGAGATCGAGACCATCCTGACTAACATGGTGAAACCCCGTCTCTACTAAAAATACAAAAAATTTGCCAGGCGTGGTGGTGGGCACCTGTAGTCCCAGCTACTCGGGGGGCTGAGGCGGGAGAATGGTGTGAACCCAGGAGGCGGAGCTTGCAGTGAGCCGAGATCGTGCCACTGCACTCCAGCCTGGGCGACAGAGCGAGACTCTGTCTCCAAAAAAAAAAGCAGCTTGGCCAGCAGGGGCAGGAGTCCCACCATGCCTTCCTGGGACCCTGGGCCTTCAGGAGCAGAGTCCTCTCCAGACTCCTCAATACCTGGGCGGGCACTCCCTTTTCCTGGTCTTCTCTTAGCCTGTTGTAGAAGGTGCCACATGATAGAGGAAAATAGCAGCTGATTGCTAAACGCCTCTGTTGTTATAAAGCTTCTTCTCATGTTTACAGAGCTGAGGTTTGGGGAACATGGTAACATCCCAGCTGTGCATTTATGAAACCTGTGAGGGCCAGCCATTCCTGGGACAGCCTGGACCCCAGCGAGAGATGCCCTGTCTCAGGACCCATGGGGGTTACATGAATACGCATGAGACCCACTCTGCAGAGACCCGCTGAGCTGTACACGCAATGCACTCGATGGTGAATGTACTACCCCTCGATACAACGCACTGGCCCTGCCATGACAGCCAGCGTGCAGCTGGCAGGAGGCTGAGGAGAAAATCAGCCTCGGCTGCTTCATACTCAGCAAGAACCATTGTTGCTAACAGGAGAAAAGCAGTGTCTTGAAGACCCTGGTAAGCCTAACCGTAGACACCTGCTGTACTCCGAGGAGTCTCCTTTCATCCCTGCTCCCCTTGCCCTGAGTCCCCGGGACACCCTCCCACCCCCCACCCCCAGGCCCTGGCCAGCCTCACCCGCTGGAAGTCATGGATGATGTCTGCAGGGTCACCGCCGCCAAACTGGGGCACAGGCACGTTGATGCGCTCGTAGTTCTCGTCGAGGTAGATTTTCACATCCTCTTCCAGCTCCATCTGAGTCCGGACCTGGGAGGACAGGGAGTCCTCATACAGCACACCACAGCGGAAGAAGTTATCTCGGGCCAGCTGAGCAAGGCGGAGAGACAGACAGACAGTCAGAGAGGCTGGTCATACACGCACTCCGTAAGGCCCCCTCTTGCCTACCCGTCCGCTACATGCCCCAAAAGCCTGCGGAAGCAAGAAGAGCAGGGACTGTGAGACCCATTTCGCAGATGGAGAAACTGAGACGGTGGGGCATCAGGTCAGGGTCTGGGGCTGCCAGTGAGGAGATGAGCTGATTCTTGGGCAAGGCGCTTCCCAGCTTCACAAACGGAAGGGAGGATGAGCTGGGTCTGCCAGGTTCTAGGTGGCAGACCTCTCTGGGCCTCAGTTTCCCCATCAGTAAAGCATGATGATCCCTAAGGTCCCTTCTGGCCTCCAAGTCCTTGAGTCGGTGACTGGGAAAAGGGGTGGCCCAGCAGGACTAGGACCTGGCCACCTCCGTGCCCTCCACAGAGGTGCAGACACCAGAGAAAGAGCCTGGGGTTGGCAGGGGGTCAAGGACGAACCTAAGAGTTGGGCACCTACGCCTGTGCACGACTGCCTTTCCTGTCACCTGCTGTCCTGGCCTGCAGACCTGGAGGGGCCTAACACGGCGGGTGGGGAGGTGGAGCTGGAGGCAACACTGTTAAGAGTCTTGTGCCCCTATCACGGTTACCTCCACATCCAGCCTCGGACAAGTGCCATCGCCCTTCCTGGATATCCCTGACCCCTGTCTTGGAGAAACCTTGACAGACACTGTGTCTGGTGGGCCAGTCCAGTCACTCCATCAGTAAGGGAGGCCAGGCAGCCTGGTGTGATCCCATCAACTGAATGGCCGGGCGGGCCAGTCTGCCCACTCTTACTTCTGGAGGGGGCTCCTGGAGGGGCCTGTAGATACATGCTTGGGACTGCCTGGCCTGGGATCGGCAGGATTCCACCGTCTGTTTGATTCAGTGCAAGTTCTCCAGGGAGGATGCGTCATCGCAGCATGGGGGGCTCCTGTGGGCTGTGCGGGGATGAGAGCCCAGGGAAGGTGAGGCTCCGGGGCTGCATCCCACAGTGGCTGGACACCCCGAATACTGTCCCAGGGCACAGACCCAGGGGCTGCTGGGAGGTGTCCACACAACGAATTGGGGTGTGGGGAGAAGGGTGTGAGTCGAGGGTGGAACAGAGGGGACCAGGAAATGCTGGCCCAGGTCCTAGGGTAGGGCCACAACAGGAAGAGGCCTGTGGGAAGGTCCCACACAGGACCCTGGAACGAGGGGGACGCAGGCCATGGAGGGAGTGGGGCGGGGCAGGGGGATGCTGCACAGAAAGGAAGGTGATGGGTGTATGTGAGCTGAGCTTTCAAGGGGAAAGCCCCGTGAATGCAAACTCTTCAGCAATTTCCATCGTGGAAAAACTGGGGGACAACAAAGTTAAACGCTTAGGAGTGGGAGGTCACTTGGGTCATAAATGACTGGCAAGTCCCACCTCTTTGTCACCCTGAGGTTCTCTGTGAGTTGTACGTAGGTTTATCCTTTTAATTTACCTACTTTCATTTCCAAGCACACAGCGACACTCCCTCCCTCCCAGGTCTGGGTTGGCCCAGCTTTGTGCCCAGGTCCCCCGGGGAGGGGGATGATAGTTGGCAGCAAGGACACACTCCTGCTTCTGGAAGGAGGTGGTGGAGACTCTCTGTACCCACCCCTCTCCCTCTCTTGTTTGGTAACCCAAATGTCCATGCACAAGCACAGTTAGGTCAGCCTTAAAGCGTGACCTGCAGGTGCAGGGTCTGAGCTGTGGAGGGGGATCACAGTTCCAGTTTCTGCCAGATCTGAGTTTCTGGTGAGAATTCCCCAGGGTGACCCTGTGGGGCGGGCCCAGTGCTGTCACCCGGATTCATGCTTGGCTCCCCAGGACAAGGGGCTAAATGTGGGACTGGCCTGCATCCAAGGAGGCCCCAAGGAGGAGGGGGCACCCCAGTCTTGTGGGCTGGCCGGGCACTCGCTCCCACCTGAGGGCATGTCTGGGGCTTCCTGCTGCCCCCTTGCAGACACTTCCCTCCATGCCTCTCTAGACATGACCCTTTCTCGAGGCCTTGCCCCTACCTGGCCCGGCCCCTCACCTGCGCAAGGAAGAAGTATCTGTAGATGTAGACAGAGGCGAACACGAGGCCCATGAGCAGCACGACCATGCCCATCGACAGGTAGCACACGCCGCCCACTGAGCCCCCCCTCTTGGATCGATGTTGTGGGGGCTGCTCCTCCTGTGGATAGCAATGCTGGGTCAGTGGGGGCCAGGGCCCCTCCCCTGGAAATCCCCCCTTCCCTAAGTCAGGCTTCACCTGCTGGCTGGGCCCGGAGGGAGTCTTGGGGGAAAGGGAGGGAAGGAGATGACACCTAGAAGGGAAAGGAAGGCCCACCAGGGTCACCCGGACTCGTCCTGGCTAAAGAGAAACCGAGACAAACCTCGAAAGAGAAAAGGAGACACACCTCGAAAGAGAAACCAAGACACACCTGGAAGCCACCGAAAGAGATGCAGTGGGTTCAGCAGGTGCATTTTGAGTTATCTGAGCTCTTAGGCCTCTTGCTTATACCAGCCGTGACCGTGGTATATTCTTTCAAACAGAAGATAGGGGATGTGCCGACCTGGCCTCGGTGACTTTAGGGACTTAGAAATCTCTGTAGGAATTGAGACACACCAGGCAGGCTGGGAGCTGCTGCTCTGGACGATGGGGAGCCCGGGAAGGCTTTTGAGCTGGGGAGTGACAAGATCCACTCTAAAACCAAGGTGCAGAGGGTAGACTAAAATGAGGACAATAGGAGGTGGGCAGGCTGTGTAAAGGCTGCTCAACTCCACCAAGGAGGCTGTGACTGATGGGGGCAGGGGCTCCAGGAGCCCCATGGGGTCTGGGCATGGGTGCTTGTCCCCAGCCAGGGAGCTCTAGGCCTGTGATCCACACTGGCCCCCCACAGGCACCGACCGGCAGTCAAGCAGGCTGTTACAAGTGGTGTAACAGCTACAGGATGAAGCCCGGAAGCTTCCATCCACCAGGGAGCTCCTGCCAGGAGAGAAATGTGGCTGTCCGGAAGGCCAGGCTAGAAGGATCCTGGAAAAATCTGCTCTGGGAGCCAGAATTGGGCTCAAGATCATAGCTGCAGGGCTGCCAAGAAGCCAACCTAACCCATCTCCAGGCCACACATGTGTGGGGTGGTGGACGTAGGTGTGTGAGTATAAAATTCAACAAAACTGCTTTACCCAGAGCACTGACGAGAGCCAGCCAGGTGAGCTTGGTCAATTTCCTGTCTCTTCTCCTCCCTACCTCCTATGCCTTCCCCCGGGCCCTTGCTCACCCTTGGAGATAATGCAAAAGCCCCGGGGCCAGTCTCTGCCTCCAATGTTCACCATTTAATCCTTCCTCCGTGGTGTCCACATACGGCCAAGAGTGAGGTTAGAGGTCAGTCCCTGCGGACTGCCGCAGTATTGGGGAGAGGAGGGGATCCAGCCCCAGAGCCTGAAGCTTCTCATTCTGGCTCTGCCACTACCTGCCTGCTTAGCACTTTCTGGGCCTCGGCTTCCCCATCTGCAAAATGAGCAGGTCAGACCAAGTGACCTCTCAGGCCCTTTCCGGCCAGGCGTTCTGGGATGGGAACAGATTTCCTTTCTCCCTTCCCCCTGGAGGGGGGTGGTTCAGGCCTAAGTGACTCAGGACAGGCCCTATCTCTCAGCACAGCACAGGGGTCCTGCCCTGGGGGCGCCTGCTTCGCTCCTCAGGTTTCACCTCCCACCCTTTTAGAGCACAGGGGAGTGTGGGGCCTGGGCCCTGGGGAGCTGAGGGTCTGACCCGCCCTGCTTAGGAAAAGGACAGAAAATGTCTGGAGGACCCCCCCTTCACTGCGGACATGCGTGAGCAGGTCAGCAGGCCCCCAGCATCCTCACCATGGGGTGCCCCTGCCTGTCCTGCACCCTCACACTCAAGTCTGCCCGCAAGGGAGCCTGCTGGGTGGGTGTGGGAGGTCAAACCACTGCCCGCACTGCCTGGCCCATGAGGAGGCCGGGGCCTCTCCCCACCTTGCCCTGCTTTAGGGGTCCCGTGATCATATGGACCACCTGCCCACTGTCATCTCCTCAGCAGCCAGGGGCACTAACCAAGGTCACCAGCAAGTGACGGGCATGGCCACAGTGCACAGGGCCCTCAGGAACAGCTGCTGGCCACAGGGGGTTGGGACTAAATGGCTTTGGTTTTCCAATGGACTCCCGGGAGCAGCAAGAGACGGGGGTGACACCTTCCGTTGGCATCTCCCAGGGATCGAACCACCCAGGAGCTCTTGCAAACCAGGCACCAGGGATGCCCTCCTGCCCCTCTGGCGCTCCTGAGCAGGTCTTAAGGAAAGGTGGCTGACCCTGACACAGGCCAGGCTGCCTACAGCAGCTGGGAAATCTGCCCTCGGGACACAACAAACACCAGGGCTCAGATTGTATTTAGGGGTCAAGTGGGGCTACAGGCCCAGCGGGGCCCTGCAACCTCCCCCTTCTCGGGTCTCCCATGCAAAATGTGGACAGACTCTGCGTGACAGGGGTTTTGCTGGGATTAAACGAGACAAAGAACCTAAAAGCCCTTTGTAAAGGATCAAGTGCTAGATAAAAATAGCAGATCTTTATCAGCCGAGCCTTTCCTTTTTAGGGCTGACTCTGTGGACAGCTGTTGAGGCTGCATTGTGGCCAGACTTTTGCTTCTGCATTCTGGAAAACCAGGGAAACTAGCTTGTGAGATTGCTAACAACCAGAAAGACAGAAAAGGGAAAAAAAAAAAAGTCAAAGCGCTACGTGGGAGAGCCCGAGGGCCTGCTCCACAAATCAAATTCACCGACAAGGTGAGGCCTGCTAGCTTTATGGCAAAGGGCAGCCTCGCCTTTCCGCCTTTCCGCCTTAATGCTGGTCTGCAGAACTTGAGCTGGGTCCCGTGTCTCCCTGTCCTGGGGGAGGGGCTGGGCTCGGAGGCCCCACCGAGGGAGGTTAGAGAAGACAGAGCAGGGAGAAGGTGAGGCTTCCACGGCCCCAGCTGAAGAGCAGCAGTGGCAGGTGTGGCAGAGAAGGGCAGGGGTTCCTGCCAAGACCCCTCACTGTGAAGGCTGGGGATCCCCCACCTTACCTAGACTGCGGGTGGGCACTTCTCTCTCATGGCCCTGCTGATGTCCCCCAGCACACACCCGGGCTCAGCCACGCTGCCACCCTCCCAGCTCCGCTCCAGCCTGCAGAGCCAAACCCTCAGAGGCACCATTATGAGCAGAAGTGCAGAAGGCAGCATTACAGGCTACCAGAAAGTAGACAGGAAAGCGCAGATGTCCCTGCTTGGAGGCGAAGGCATTTCCTCCATAAAGCCCCACACAGAGGCAGAACTCCTAAATCCCGCCCCAGCGCTGCCTCTGCCTACTGTGCCCAATCAACACCAAGGCTCAAACACCAAAGCCCTGGAACCCTCACTGTCCCTTTGGCCCTCAAAGCAGCCTGTGATCTCGGGGTATTTACACCTGTCTGGGGACAGTGGGGCATCAGGGAGCCTGGGCTCAACCCAGAGCCCTGGCCCCTTGGGATCCCTGGTGCCCAGCTCACTAGAAAGATGGCCGAATGGCCCACCTTCCTGAGACCCCAGCCGCACCACCTATCATGCTGGGGACCCAGAAAAATGTTGCTCCCCATAGGAAGCAGTTACTGACAGTGAGGTATCTGAGGAGGGGGGCTCCCATTTAGATAGTAGAAAAATATTGCATATTGTTTCCAAGGCAACAGAGCTCTCTGAGCGAAGGGCGCATGAGCCGGAAGTCCAGGGACCCGAGAGAGGCCTGGGCCTCTCCCTGCAGGCTTAAACTGAGACCCACAGGGGCACTCATTAAATGATTTACCAAAGCCAGGGCCAAAATGGTCAGGGGGAAACCAGCCAACTGTAGCATTAACTCGGCAGACCCCCACAGCTGGAAGGGAGCGCTCCCGGGCCCCATCCCCCAGTAACAATGTCCAAATTAACTGCAAGCCGATTTAACGATGATTGCAGATTGCAGCCTGCCTGGAGGGGTTCGGCAGCCAGAAACGCACTCCTGAGGCCCAGGCTGAGAACAGGGAAGATGGGGGTTGGGGAGGCAGTCTCATCTCACCTCCCCCACATCTCTCCTGGTCCTCAGCAGCTTTCTTTCCCAGGCTCCAGACCACAGAGGCCAGGGCACCCACCGAGTGTGTGTGTCTTGTATGTGTTCAAGACAGAGCCTAGCTGGGGGAGAGGAGAGTGGGCAAACACTGTCCACCTGAGCACACAGAGCCCAGTGGTCCAGAGGCACAGATGCCATCTGCCAACAGGGTCAGGGGTCCCCATCACTCTCCTGTCCTCCCTTCCAGACTGCAGGCCCCACGGGCAGCATCTGTGCAGATGCGCTCTCGGCTTGGCTGGGCCAGGCGAATTCCCTCTTCTCTTCCATCCCTGATAGTCAAGGCATCTCCAGACAACAAAAGCTCACTGCTGGAAGAGCCCTCATGGGGAGAGGGAACTTGGAGAGAGTGGGGCGGTGGACAGAGGGGCTGGCCAGGTTGTGCCTCTGTGATTTCACCATAAACATTTTTTCTCCACACTAAGAGAAACTCATCCTCACTGGCAATCTGCTGACGGTCTTGAAACATGCAAGGACTGCTGAGAGAAGAGAGCAGAAATGAGGGAATGGAGAGAGAAGCGGCAGGAAAGCAGAGAAGCCACCGTGGGGCCTGCCGGGGCGCCAAATCCCAGGAATGGACGACAGCCATGAAAGTCCCCACGCTGCCACAGGGAAGGACCTGGATGGAGCAGGGCCGCTGCTCCACAAAGTGCTTTCGGGCCAGGCCCTCTTGGCCAGTGGGCATCAGGACACTGGGGTAGGGCTAAGCTGGCCAGATTTGCCCTCCTGGCTGGCACGGGACCCTCCCCCAACCGCTCCAGGAGACCCAGCTCCTCCTGCCGAGGGCCTGAGACCAGGACACACTAGGAAACTGAAATCTGATCCCCAGGTATGCAGGCTGGGGAGGGGGTGACACAGGACCATTAATCAAAGGCAAATGCCAAGGAGAAAATTACAGAGGTAAGAAGATGATTGTATTTAACTTGTTTTTCTCCCCTTACAGCCCCAGCTCGTGAGCCTCTACATGCCCACATCTGTGCGTGCATGTGTGTGCATAAGTGTGTGTGTGTGTGTGTGTGAGTGCAGGCACAGGCAGGGTGTGGGGAGAAGGGGCAGGCTAAGAGGGGCATGGCCAGCCAGTGGGCCCCCAAAGGGGAGGAGGGATCCAGTTGGCGCTGGGAGGGAGTGCTTTGCTGTCCCAGGGGGTGCTTCCGGTCCAGCCCACTTCCCAAGCTGGCAGTGTCCCAGCTCCTCATTATCTCAGAGTCAAAACACCAGGGGGGGAGGCCGGGCAGCTGGAAGCCCAGCTGGCCCCCACCCCCATCCCTCCCTGGCCCACTGAGGCACTTCCTTCCAGTCTCAGGTCCACAGACAAAATCCTCCTTGTGTTGCAGTTTTTGCTCAGAAGCAGGGGCAGTGCCCACCGAGAGGGTGCTCCTGCCGCCTCACCCTGCCCCCACCCCGCCCTCACTCTGGGCCTGGACACAGGTCAAGAACTGCCCCAACGCACAATCATCTGTTCACCGCACAATCATCTGTTCACCGAGTGCTCCTCCTGCGGATCACTTTTTACATCTTGTTTTGGGCCGGGTGTGGTGGCTGACACCTGTAATCCCAACAATTTGGGAGGCTGAGGTGGGAAGATCACCTGAGGTCAGGAATTTGAGACCAGTCTGGCCAACATGGTGAAACCCTGTCTCTACTAAAAATACAAAAATTAGCCGGGCATGGTGGCAGGTGCCTTTATTCCCAGCTACTTGGGAGGCTGAGGCAGGAGAATCACTTGAACCTGGAAGTGAAGGTTGCAATGAGCCAAGATCGTGCCACGGAACTCTAGCCTGGGTAAAAGTGAGACTCTGTCTCAAAAAAAAAAATAAAATAAAATAAAATAGATAAAATAAAATAAATCTTGTTTTGGAGTCCAGTTCAGACACCAAGGAGGGTTCTGGGGTCACTGCCAGCCAGAAGAAACGTTTTAATAAGCTTTCCTGGGCATTCCCAACAGTACGGGACAAAATCTACACGCCCTGCCCTGAGAAAGCAGCCTCCTGGCTGCCATCCCTCGGCTCACAGAGCTACAGCTGAGAAATGGGCCTCCTGCCTGCTCACTGCTGGGGGCAGGAGACGAGGCCTGGCTCCTTGCCAGAAACTGGGTAAGGAGGAAATGTGCGGGTTGGCCAAGTGGGGCAACAGGAGGCCCGCAGAAGTGAACTGTTTCCAAGGCTCCAAATCTAGCAGGTGATGGGCAGAGCCAACTTGCAACACCTAAAGTCCCTCTGCACCACGCCAGGGCCTTGGGAAGCTGTGAAAGTTTACTAACATGCAGTTCTGTCCTAAAGATGCCAGGATTCTAATTCTTTCCCCAGATCGCATAGTCCTAAGCTCCCCCTTGCCAATTAGAGAGGGAGGGGACCCTGCCCAACTGACAAAGTTTGAGGGAGGAGGTACTCAGCAGGCTCAAGGCCATTACAAACAGCACGCAGGAAGATGTTGATATTTCCATTTCATGCTGGGTGAGGGGGAAGAAAGGACGCTCAATTTCAGAGCCTGATGAGAAGCCAGAAGCTAGGATGTCAGTTATGCCCCGAGATGCAGGTCTCTGTCAGACTGCCCAAACCCATGCCATCAGCAGGCTGCGGCTGGAGAATGTGCCGCTCCTGCAAAATCTGGGGGACCTTCTGATGGAGTTGGAATAACACCCTCCCACTGTCTGACCTGGTCCTCCCTCCTCAAATATCTCCAGGAAGAGGTGGCTAGGAAAAGAGATGGGCAAGCGTGCTGCCTCCTGCCCCCATCCCTGCCCCTCCCCAGGCTGAGTGGAGGGCAGCTTCCCTTCCAAAGAAAAGGAGTCTTGAAGAACCCCTTGCAAACTTTTAAAGCTGCAGAACCATCTTCTTCAAATATGGAGCGCCCCCTCCACCTAAGCTTCAGATGAAAAGGGGGGAGCTGCTCTCATGGGGTGCACAGCAACCCCCAACCTCGCCTAGGTGGTTGTTGAACTCTTGTGGCTCTGAGCCACTGGTTGCTGCAGTGACCACCATAAAAGGGCAGGGGGTTCTCAGTCTCCTGGCATTCCTCACTCAGGGTCTCTGCCCAGGCTGACACCCAACTCTGACGGCCCTCTCCGGCGCCCCCTCCTCCAGGGTCCAGGTCATCCTCTGCAGGCCCCTTAATGCCCCAGGCAAGACTGAACCTGAGCCACAAAACCTGGGGAGGGGGCTAGGCGTTCAGGAAGACTCTTCAGAAGCCTGCATCTGGAAGTGGGGAAGCAGTGGACAAAGACTTTCTCAGTCCTGCCTCAATGCGGGGTGGGGAGGCGGGGAGGACATGGGCTTGGTAAGCCACAAGACCGCTGGGGGCGGCGCCCACGTAGACACCTTTGCCAGGCACAATAAAACCTGGCTGGGCCAGCTCTCCCTCCCTCCCTGTCCCTGCCCGCCACGCGTTCTGCCCCCTGCGGGCCCTTCCCGGACACAAGGCACGCAGCTCAGACAGTTTTCCACGGCGGAAATGCCTTCTCTCCCCCCCGGCCAGAGGGAAAGTGGAGGAAGCCGGGGTAGGGGAGGGGGATGACAGGGGTGGGGGAACGCGCACAGAGCCCGGGGACCCAGGATGCAAGGGCACTGGGGCAGTTGGGAGCCCTCCCCGTGGGGTCGGGGGACAGCCCAGCGAGAGGCTGGGAATGGAGAAAAGAGAGGGGAGCAGGGAGGCCCAGACGGCAGGGCGTGGGGTGGGAAGGGGGCACCCGGCCTCGGACCCCCGACGTCCAGAGGCCGCAGCGCCGTCGGTTCTGGCTGATTTCCATTTCATCACTTTCTGGTCTGTCAATTCCGGTGCAGGCCAGCAGCACATCCTCTGTCCCTCGCAGCCCCCAATTTCGGAGGAAATCAACGGCCCCACCCTCTTCGTTGGTACCAGACCCCCCCACCCCCAATTCCCCAGCCAATCAGGTCCCACCGCCCTACTTTGGAAAAACTACGTCTAACCCTCCTCCCATCCCCCACCTGGGGACTCGACTCGCGGCTTTCCCAGTTGATTGGAACCAGACGCGTACCCCCCCACCAACATTCCTCGAACTTCTTCGGACCAGCCCCCTCCCCCTATAAGGCGGCGAGGGGGCCCCCACTTTTGGAAGAGACCTCGAGCACTTCTCCACCTGAAGACCAGAACCAGACGCCTCCCACTCTTCGGACTTCAGCTTTTGGCTGCCGCTTTAGTACGGGACTTAAGCCCCCTCCTCATTCTGGGATAAGCAACCATTCGAGACTTCCCAACCCTGCTCCACCCCGGGCTCTGGGGCCCTGACGCGCCTCGGGCAGTCCCCAGGGCCGACGGGGCGCGCCTGGGTCGTGAGCCTGGGTCCCCCGCCCCACCGCCTGAGCCCCAGACCCTCTCACCCTAGCCGGCGTCAGCAGGATCTCGGTGGCCGAGGCCGGCGCAGGGGCCGACGCCGACGCCTTGTCAGCCTTGTCGCCCTTGATGCCAGCCACGGCGGGCTGGAAGCTAATCTTCACCATGGCTGCGCCGGCCCGCGCGTCCGCCCCGCAGCCTCTGCCGGTGCAGCCTCGGTCTCTGCCTCCGCCGCTCCGAGCTCTGCAGGCACCGGAAGTTTGGATCCCGCTCGCGTCCCTCTCTCTAACCCCACCCCCAGCCCTCCCCGCCCCGTCCCCGCGGGAGGGCCCCGGCGCCCGCCGCGCCTGCGCCCCCTTCCCGCCCGCGGGGCCCGCAGTGACCCCTGCCGGGCGCGCCGCTCCGCACCTGGGGCGGGTCGGAGTTCCTTCTGCCGCTCGCTCGCACAGTCACTCACTCGCTCGCTCACTCACTCACTCACTCACTCGCTCACTCATTCATTCAGCCGTCACGCTCGGATCCGTTCTCCGTAGCATAATCCCTTCGCATTCCCTGTCCAAGGCCAGCATCCCCGCAACGCAAGTCTTTGTTAACCCAGTGTTTGCCAGGCAAATGCAGCTTCCAGACAACTCACCCGTCTCTCCTGCCCCACTTCAGGTCTTCCCCTTTAGAAACGCTGGAGCCTCCGCTCTACCTGTCCCCACGCCCCCCTCCTCCGACCTGTCCTTGGCGCGGGGAGGAGGCTTTGAGACAGGCGCCAAACTGCTGCCTCCGTCTTGCCTTCTGAAGCCATCCACGCCTCCTTCATCCTCCATCTTGCTTCTGCCTTCATTCTTTATTCCTGCAAAACCTTCCTGGGGGGTCCTGGGGTGCACGCTGGAGCCGCCTGGAGTGGAGAAGGGAAGGCCGCCCCTGCTCCCTGGCTCCTTCGTGTTGCTGCGACCTCAGTTATTGGGTGACCTCCTGAACTGCCCTTGTCTCACTCATCCAGGAGGACCCTGGCGAGAGTGGAGGGAAGACCCCCAGGGCGGGTGTCAGAGGCTCGGGTTCCACTCAAGACTCTGCTCCTCCCAAGTATCACGGGTACTGGGGAAGCAGGGGCTTCTGTTGCTGGGATGGCTGCTCTTGGCACTAACGCCCTGAATCTTTCCTCTTTGCTCCTGGTCCAGACTGGGCCAGGGACAGCGCCCAGCAACACACACAGGTTGTGCTGAGTGGTCCGCTTTGGTTCTGCTGTTGGGCTGCCAGTGGAGGGCAGGGGAGTCCGTCCGCTTCTTGAGGACAGTCCGGGGTCCTCCACTGATCTCTCTTCTCACCTTTCAGGTCTTTTGCAGCTGCCTTGGGCCCTTAGCGCCCACGTCCCAGACCCGGACCTCTTGGCTCAGATCTTGGATGAACCTAGCAACCTTGAGGACAGACAGGTGGGGAAAGAAGAAAGTCTAACTGATGCTAAGGCCACCAGCCTGGGGAACTGGGGGGAGGGAATGGGGAGGTGGAAGAAGACAGATGGTTTGGAGGAGACGAGGAGGAATCTGGTTTGGCACAGAGCCAGAGAGGAAGGTGTTATGGACTACCGCTCATCACCTGCTCCAGATCCCATGGGAAACCTGGTGTCTGGAGAAGGCAAGCTCCACGTCTTGCTTAGGCCACACCCCCAACATGCATTCCTTCACTCAGTGTTTTCCAAGCACCCCTGTGTGCCAAGCATTGTGTTAAGCTCTGTGGCAGAAAACAGAGATGCCCAAGACACAACCCAGCCACCAAGGATGTGGTCATGTGAAACCTTCTATGAGTGGCATTCTTTCACGTGCATTCAATTATTTAATTTTCATCACAGCCTCTGTGACCTACACATTAGCCTCATGTTAATAGTGATAGAAGGTAGCATGACTAAACCCAGGGTCGCAGAGCTGGTTTGGCACAAATCTCTGGTCAGCAAGACAGGGCCACCTGGGTGAAGCATCCACATGCCTGAGATTGGCAGGCGAGCACCCCACTTCCCCTGGAAGGCCTTCCCAGACCGGCTGGGATAAGTCCCTTTCCTGTGCACCTTCAGCACTGTGCACATCCCCCTCGGGCCTCTCCTTACGCTTGACCATGGACTCAATGCCGGCCAAGTGCTGGGCGTACAACCTAGTGCAGTGATTCCTAAATTTTTTGGTTTCAGGACCCCAAGAGCTTTTGTTTAGGTGGCTTATGTCTATCAACATTTACCATATTAGAAACTAAAACTCAGAAAGTTTTAAGACACAAGAATACATATATTCCATTGGGCATCAAAGCGATGTCATCACACATGTAGTCTCTGGAAAACCCCACTGCACGCTAATGAGAGAATGAGAGTGAAAAGGGCAAATAATGACTTATATTGTTGCAAAAAATAGTTTTGACCTTGGAGACCCCCCTGAATGGGTCTTGGGGGGCACCATGCTCTGCAGATCACCTGTTCAGATGCTCAAGAATCCATATTCCATGGATTCTAAGAAACACATTTCTTCACATTTTAACATCTTGAGAATCAAGATATCTTTTACAATTATAATTGGCAGTGATTAAGTAATGTCTTTCACAAGTGATAGCATCTTATATTTGATGGAGTACAGTATAGCCAGTCAATAATCCAAGGGGAGCCAGGAGGCTGCGGGAGGTCCATGTCGCATACTGAGTTTTGTGGACTCAGGGAAGGACAGCAGGGTGAATGCGGTCGTGGTGCAGCCCAGGCTCCATGCAAGACAGGAGATTTGGGTGGGAACTGGAAAGACACAGGGTGTGGACAAGTGACAGGGAAATGAGAGTCCGCACTGGGAGTGAGGAGAGTGACTCTGGGCCAGGAGCCCTCAGCTCAGTCCAACAGCCATTCCTGCCAGCACCTGAATCCTCTTTGTTCTGTTCTTGCATCTTACCCAAGTGGCAGAGCTTCTCCTGTCCCCCTTTCTGGTTCCAGGTTCTGCTCAGGGACTGCTAAGTTCTGTTGGTGAAAGTGATACCATCATGCCCCTTGGGACCAGCATGCTACCTCCTCTTGGAGGGGCATGGTGGCAGCCATGCAAAGCGGTCCCCTTGGAGCTGCAGGGTGGGACAGCTGTGGCTTCTTTAACCAGTCATTCTCCAAGCAAGGACCTCGGCCAGCAGCCCCAGCAGCACCTGGGAACTTGTTAGGAAGGCAAACCCTTTCTATGTCTATTCCGAAACTCAGGGTGTGTTCTGTGCCCACCAAGCCCTTAGTGATTCTGATGCACACTCGGGTTTGGGAACTGCTGCTCTGTCACTCTGTCCACACTCTCAACGGCCACATCCTGCCCTCTCCAGACTGCTGCACACCTCTCAGCAGCTCAGCTGCTGAGGATCTGGAAGCCATGGCTTTAGGTGGCTTATGTCTATCAACATAAGAACGCCCTCCTGCCTGCCAGCACATCCGCCCCCATCCACAGCTGCCCTTCTGCCCACTGCTCCTCCTGCCACTCGCCGCGGAAGAGGCGTCTGTCTTTTCTCTCCAGCCACTCTCTAGATGAGGATTCCACCCCTCCCCTCCTATCAGACACCTGAGACATCCATCAGCCCCCGCCTCCTAACCTTTCAGCTCTTCCTGTCAGCTCTGAAACATGCTCGTATTAGCCTTAAAACAAAAACAAACCCCTTCTTTGACCCCACGTCCTCCTCCACTTGATACCCTGTTTATCTTTTCTTCTTCTTAGCCAAACCTCTTGAAAATTCAGTCTCCATTTCCTTATCACTCCCTACACTCATCCTACCTCAATCTGGCTTCTATTCCTCCACCTCCACCTGGCTGAAATCTCCAAGCTGCTTTTCAGTCCTCATCTTCCTTGCGTTGATTTTGAGCCTCTTGGCTGAGGCCTCTCCACTAACTCTTCCCTTCCCTCATCAACTCTGGTGTGATTGGCTCCAGTGGGAAGGGCTGTTGGAATCAATCCTGCAACAGTTCACTTTGAAAATAAAATCTCAGGCTGTGCACGGTGGCTCCTGCCTGTAATCCTAGCACTTTGGGAGGCCAAGGTGGGCGGATTGCTTGAGCCCAGGAGTTCAAGATCAACCTGGGCAACATAGCGAGATCCCCGTCTCTAGTTAAAATAAAATCAGAAATGAGAACTTTTACATGTATTTGCCTGTTTCTCAAAATTTAGAAGTTGAATGTTGTTTGCAAAGATATCTAGTTTATTACAATTTAAAGCACTGGTTATGTAAGACTTATGGTTGTAACAAATCCATAGAGGGTCAGTAGATTAGCTTTCTGGAAATGTAACGGGCTCAGACAAGGGTGTGCCCATTGTCCTCAGAGTTCTTCTCAAGGAGAAGTGTGCTCCATCAATCACATGCTCTGAGTAAGGGAGTGGGTGAGTTTGAGATCCTGTTCTTCTGACAAGAGCAGCAGCTATCTTCAGCTCCACCTCCCCTACCTCCACCTGCCCCCTTCAGAGGCCCCTCTTTTCCACTGAGGAGCTAGCTGAAAGCTAAGTGTTGAAGGTAATTAAAAAAAAATTTTAGGTAAAATGAAAAACTATTTTACAAAGATATATATTCATGTATCCAACAAACCAATCAAGATACAGAACATTTCCATAATTCCAGAAAATTTCTTCCCATTCTTTTCCAGTAAATCCCCACCACCACTGGCAACCACTGTTCTGGTTTCCATCACTATAGATTAAGTTTTATCTGTTCTTTAATTTATTTTATTTTCTTTTTCTTTTTCTTTCTTTCTTTCTTTTTTTGTTTTTTTTTTTTGAGACAGAGTCTTGTTCTGTCACCCAGGCTGGAGTGCAGTGGCACCATCTTGGCTCACTGCAACCTCTGCCTCCTGGGTTCAAGCAATTCTCCTGCCTCAGTCTCCCGAGTAGCTGAGACTACAGGTGTGTGCCACTACACCTGGCTCATTTTTTTAAAGGAGGTTTTTAGTAGAGACAGGGTTTCACCATGTTGGTCAGGCTGGTCTTGAACTCCTGACCCCAGGTGATCCACCCACCTTGGCCTCCCAAAGTGCTGGGATTACAGGTGTTAGCCACCATGCCTGGCCATGTTCTTGAATTTCATATACTGTACAACATGTATTCTTTTGTGTCTAGTTTCACTCAATATGTTTATGAGGTTCATCCACAATAGTTTGTTCTTTTTACTTGCTGAGTAATATTCCATTTTTTAAATACACTACAACTTGTTTATCCATTCTCCTGACATGGACATTTGGGTTGCCTTCAGTCTTCCACCATAAAATTGCTATGGACATTTCTTTACATGTATTTTTGTTTTAATTTCTCTTGAGTAAATAGCATCAGTGAGGATGAGGTAGAAATGGCCCACCCTACAAGACAGACATATTTTATCACTGACATTGTTTAGAAATGCGAATGCATTGTGATGATGTAAAGTAGATCAATTTTTAGTTAGTTTTATTATAATTTTTAAATTCTGTGCAGAAATTGCACTCCCTTATTGCCTGATCTGGACAGACCATTCACATGACTCTCTCCCCATTTCAGCACAGCCCTGCCAACATATCTGTGCTATTTTACACTCCCACCAGCAATGTATGAGAGTTTCAGTTGCTCCACAACTTTACCAATATTTGGTGCTGTCAGTTATTTTAATTTTAGCAATTGTATTTAGTAAAATTTTATGTTATTGTGGTTTTAATTTGTATTTTTCTGATGACTAATGATGCTGAACATCTTTTTATGTGGTATTGGCCATTTGTATATCTTCTTTTGTGAAGTGTCTGCTTAAGTCTTTTGGTCATTTAGACTGTCTTTTAATTATTGATTTGTAGGAATTCGTTTTATATTGTGGATACAAGTCTTTTGTCATGTATATTCATTGTGAATATTTCCTTTCAGACTGTGGTATTTCACTTTTAAAATTTTGTCTTTTCATGAGTAGAAATTTATAATTTTGATCAAGCTCAATGTATAAATTTTAATTTTATTGTTAGTGCTTTTAATGTCCTGTCTAAAAATTCTTTAAACACCCATGTTCAAATTTTGAAGATATTCTCATATTCTTTCTTTCAGAAGCTTTATAGTTTTAGGTTTCACATATAGGTCTGTGATCCACTTTTAATTGATTTTTTAATGTAAGGTATGAGGTAGGGATTGAGGTTTATTTCTTTTCCATATGGTTATACAGGTGTCCCAGCAGTATTTGTTTAAGAAATTTTGTTTTTCTCATTTAATTGTTTTGGCATCTTTGTCAAAGACCAATTGACAACGTTTAATGGATTTATTTCTAGACTCTTTGTTCTGTTACATTAGTTTATTTTTTTCTATCCTTATGCCAATTTCACACTATCTTGATCACTTTAGATTTCTAATAAGTATTAACATCAGACAGTATGAGTACTCTGACTTTTTCGAGACTGTTGAGCTTTTCTAGATCCTTTGAATACCCAAATAACCATTTGAATTGGTTTATCAAATTCTACAAAAGAAAATCTGTTGGTATTAATTGGGCTTATGTTAAATCTATAAACCAATTTTGGGGAAAATGATATCTCAACAATTTTGATTTCAAATCCATGAACATGGTATATTTCTCCATTTGTTTAATTCCTCTCACAAATGTTGTGTTTTTTTTAGTATAGAGAATATAGAGGTCTTGAACATCTTTTGTTCAATTTATGTCCAAGTATTTTATGTTTCTGATGCTATTGCATTTATTTGTTTCGTTTTATAATTCTTTATTGGTAATGTATAGACATACAATGGAATTTGGAAAATCGACCTTGTATTCTTTTTTATTTGAGACGGAGTCTCACTCTGTCGCCCAAGCTAGAGTGCAGTGGCGCGATCTCTGCTCACTTCAAGCTCTGCCTCCCAGGTTCACGCCATTCTCCTGCCTCAGCCTCCCGAGTAGCTGGGACTACAGGCACCCGCCACCATGCCTGGCTAATTTTTTGTAGTTTCAGTAGAGACGGGGTTTCACCATATTAGCCAGGATGGTCTCGATCTCCTGACCTCAAGATCCACCCGCCTTGGCCTCCCAAAGTGCTGGGATTACAGGCTTGAGCCACCGCACCCAGCTGACCTTGTATTCTTTACAACCTGTATATATTCATTTTTTAGTCATGGTATTTTAAATAGGTTCATTGGGTTTTCTATATACATAATCGCATCATCTGAGAACAAAGACAGTTTTACCTCTTTTCCTCAATCTTTATGCCTTTTCTTTCTCTTGGATTACAAGTAAGGGCTCCAGTACAATGTGGTATAGATGTGATAACGGTGAACATCCTCACCTTTTTTCTGATCCTAGAGAGCAAGTGTTTGCTGTTTCACTAGGAATGTAATTTAGTGGCAAGTTTTTCGTAGATGTCTTTTCTAATAGTTTCCTAGGGCTGATGTAACAAGGTACCCAGGTCAAGTGCCAGAACATTAACAGATCCACCGATGGCCCCTCATTCCTCTTCCCATCACCACTTCTTACCCATGAGTAACCACTATCCTAATTTCCTGTTCATTGAGGAGCTTTCTCTATTTTTTAAAACTTCACATTCATGAGGCTCATGCTATGTGCTGTCTTCTGTCTGGCATCCTTAACACTATGGTTGTGAGAGTCTGTGTTGAAAATATATTGGCAGTTGGTTCATTCTCATGATTGTAGGTATTCTTTCATGTACTACAATTTGTTTATCCATTCCACTGTGGATAGATAATTGGATTGTTTCCAGTTTGGGGCTATAACCAACAGTGCTGCTACAAACATTCTGGCACGTGTCCTCAGTGAATGTATGTGCACCTCACTGCTGAGTACATACCTATCTGGGAACTTAGTCTCATTTGTTTTCTTTTTTTATGGATAGGGTTTTGCCCTGTTGCCCAGGCTGGTCTCTAATCCCTGGGCTCAAGCGATCCGCCTGCCTCAGCCTCCAAAGTACTGGGACTACAGACATGAACTACCGCACCTGGCCTTCAGAATCTTATTTTCTTTTCTTCTTCTTTTTTTTTTTTTGGATCAAATCTCACTCTGTTGCCCAGGCTGGAGTGCAGTGGTACAATCTCAGCTCATTGCAACTTCCAGCTCCCAGGTTCAAGCTATTCTTGTCCCTCAGTCTCCGGAGTAGCTGGGATTACAGGTGTGCGCCACCACGCCTGGCTAATTTTTTTATATTTTCAGTAGAGACAGGGTTTCACCATGTTGGCCAGACTGGTCTCGAACTCCTGGCCTCAAGCAATCCACCTGCCTCGGCCTACCAAAGTGCTGGGATTACAGGGGTGAGCCACTGTGCCTGGTCTCCAGAATCTCATTTTTAATGTGTCACGTTCACTTCACAGACAAGGAGGTGAGATTTTCATAATGGTAGGTTGGGTTTCCTACAGGAGCCACCATGGATGATAGGTGTGGCTGACAGAAGGAGGAAGAGAGTCCTTCATTATCAGCTCAGAAGCTTCTGTTATACCTTTCGTTGATTATCCTGCTGCACATGTGGTCTCAGGGTGAGCCACAGAGCTAGATGTGATGTTGAAATTCTTTGGTGGAAAGAGCTTCTTTGGAGAGAGGTGGTTTAGTGATTGGTTCTGGAGAGATAATCCTCGGGACTGAATCTCTATCCCCACCAATTCCTACTCCCAGGGGCTTCTTCACATGAGATTCTCACTCTCTCCAGATACCTGGACTGCAGGAAGGGGAGGCTGACCCGCAAGGACTCTACTAAAATGGCTGTCTGCAAACAGCCCCAGCCACCCAGCTGCGGGGACACACGCCATCACAACGTGCAGCTGGAAGCACGATGATGGTAAATTACCCCTTTCACAAGAGCAACTACGAATGTAGCATTCCTAGGAACAAGTTTATAAACGATATAAAGGAAGGGACAAATTCTGCTGAGGGGAAGAAGCTAAGTAAGTGGAAAGACAAACCATACTTCTGGATAGGAAGATTATGAAAATGTCAATTCTTGCTCAAACTAAAGTAAATTCAATCAAAGTCCTAATATACTTTTGCGGACAAGTAGAAAAATCATGCTAAAATTTGGTTTGAAAAGCCAATACTTTGCAGTTGCCAAGAATTTTAAAATAAAAGTAGTGATGACTGAAGATTTCACTGTAATGGAAATAGCAGTGCTAGAAGAAAACATTGGTGAATATAAAGTAGGCACTTTCTAAAGGCAAGAAATCATGATGGAAAATTTGATATATTTACATATCTGAAAATGTCATGAATGAAATACAGAGGCGGGTAAAATGCAGTGGTTCACACCTGTAATCCCAGCAGTCTGGGAGGCCGAGCCAGAAGGATAGGAGCCCAGAAGTTCAAGACCAGCCTGGGCAATGTGGCAAAACCCCATTTCTACAAAAAGTACACAAATTAGCTGGGCATGGTAGTGTGCACCTGTAGTCCCAGCTACTTGGGAGGCTGAGGTGGGAGGATCACTTGAGCCTGGGAGAATGAGGCTGCAGTGAGTCATGATTGCGCCACTGCACTCCAGCCTGGGAGACAGCATAAGACTCTGCCGAAAAAAAAAAAAAAAAAAAGCAAAAGGAAAGAAAGGGGCAGATGTCAAACTAGAAAAATTATAGAGCTAAAGATTGAGAAATATAGTCTTTTAAACTAGGTAGCAATGAGCTCAGTTAAATCAGTTCCTATTACTAAAGAAGAAAGGGAAATGGGTAATGGGACTCAGCAATCCTTGTGAAAATCGGTAATTTAGCCGGGTGCGGTGGCTCACGCCTGTAATCCCAGCACATTGGGAGGCCAAGGCGGGCAGATTACCTGAGGTCAGGAGTTCAAGACCAGCTGGCTAACATGGAGAAACCCCGTTTCTACTAAAAATACAAAAAAATAGCTGGGCATGGTGGTGCACGCCTGTAATCGCAGCTACTCAAGAGGCCGAGGCAGAATTGCTTGAACCTGGGAGGTGGAGATGGCAGTGAGCTGAGATCACACCATTGCACCCCAGCCAGCTTGGGCAACAAGAGCAAAACTCCGTCTCAAAAAAAAAGAAAAAGAAAAAAGAAAAAAATCCATAATTAAAAAAATAAGAATGTATAATTAAAATAATAAAAATAAAGCAAATGACTTAAGTATTGACAGCCAAAAACCCAGGGAGGGAACAACAAAACAAACCTAAAGAAAACAGAAGATTTGAGACCAGCCTGGTCAACATAGTGAAACCCCGTCTCTACTAAATATACAGAAATTAGCCAGGCGTGGTGGCGGTCACCTGTAATCCCATCTACTCGGGAGGCTGAGGTGGGAGAATAGCTTGAACCCGGGAGGCAGAGGTTGCAGTGAGTCGAGATCACACCATTGTGCTTCAGCCTGGGCAACAAGAGCGAAACTTCGTCTCAAAAAAAAAATAAATACAAATACGAAAATTAGCCAGTCGTGGTAGTGGGCACCTGTAATCCCAGCTACTCGGGAGGCTGAGGTAGGAGAATTGCTTGTACCCAGGAGGCGGAGATTGCAGTGAGCCAAGATTGCGCCACTGTGCTCCAGCCTGGGCGACAGAGTAAGACTCTGTCTCAAAAAGAAAAAACAAATAAGCAAAAAAACAAAACAAAAAACAGAAGGAAGAAACTAAATGAATGAGAAAATAGAAAATCTAAAGAACTGATAAGTATAATGAAGAGGCAGTTCTTCTGAAAAAATCAATAGAAAGAGACAAATCTTGGGAAAATATAATGAATAAATAAGAGAAAAAACTATAGATAGAGTGGATATGACAAATTATAAGGTATTTTTCTATACAGTCCTATCTAATGAATATAAATGCCCTGATGTGCGTGATTTTATGAAAAAGGATAAATGGCCAAAATGGACTCAAGAAGAAGTAGAAAATGATAATACCCTGTAATCAAGGAAACTACTGGAAAAAGTTCTCAAGCAATTATCTCCAAAAAACAGCTCTGAGCAGCCCAACCATTTAACTGGATGGTTCTTTCAGACAAAAGGCACTGCCAATTCCACTGATGCTTCAATTAATTTTAGCATAGATTATGTATTCTGACACAAAAATCTGACAAGTAAAAGAAAAAAACATCACTTAGTTATGAATAGAGATTTTAAAAATCCAACAGTACATTAGAACAGCAAAGTGCTATCAAGTAGCACTTCTCCTAGGAATAAAAACATAAATTTCATGTTTGAAAATCTATTTGGAGCAAAATTGCTTTGTAAAATAATGCTTAAAAGTAAGAGCTATTCCAACTTGAAAGGCAGAGAAAAGCATAAAGAACAAAAAACAACTATTATGACAAAACCCATGATAACCTCTATTAATATTTTGTTATTTTTCTTCAAGAGTTTGTAGTCTACGTATATACGAGCATGCACGCCTGTGCGTGTGTGTGTGTGTGTGTGTGCTGTTTTTTACAGAATTAGGACCACACTGTGTGTGTGTGTGTGTGTGTGTGTGTTCCTGGTTGGGGGCGATTTTGACCTTCCTCAACAGGGACATTTAGAGAGATTTTCAGTTGTCACAGCTGGAGGGTTGTGTGTGTCACTGGGCTCTAGTGGGTAGAAGCCAGGGCTGCTGCTGAACATTCTGTAATGCACAGGACCGTCCTCACGACAAAGAACTATCCAGTCTAAAATATCAATAGCTCCAAGGTTGAGAAACCCTGATTAACATCCTGCTTTTTTTCTCTTGAAGGTAATTTCAACATTTTCTCCTGTGGAAGGCAGAATCCCTCCTCCTTCTCTCAAGGATATCCATATCCTAATCTCTGGAACCTGTTACCTTACACGATGAAAAGAACTTTGCAGATGTAATTAAGTTTATGACCTCATCTCTACAAAAATACAAAAATTAGCCTGGCACAGTGGCGGGTGCCAGTAATCCCAGCTACCCAGGAGGCTGAGGCAGGAGAATTGCGTGAACTGGGGAGGCAGAGGTTGCAGTGAGCCAGGATCGCGCCACTGCACTCCAGCCTGTGTGACAGAACCAGGCTCCATCTCAATAATATAAAATAAAAACAGAGGAAGGACTCAATGAAAGACTCGATGCAGTGTTGCTGGTTTCAAGATGTGGGAGGAGGGCTCTCTGACAAGGAAGGCAGGTGTCCTTGAAGAGCTGAGAGAGGGCCAGTTTAGGTGGCTTCTGACTGTAATCCGAGCGCCTTTGGGAGGCTGTGGTAGGAGGATTGCTTGAGACCAAGAGTTTGAGACCAGCCTGGGCAACATAGCGAGAAGCCCATCTCTACAAAAATAAAAAATAAAAAATTAGCTGGCTGTGGTGGCACGTGTCTGTAGTCCCAGCTAATCGGGAGGTTGAGGTAGGAGGAGCACTTGAGCTCAAGAGTTCCAGCCTGTGTAAACATCTTTGTGTACAAATCTTCATCCCCATATACTAGGCTTTTTTATAAAAGTTGCTAAATTCCTCTCCAGAATTTTTTTTCAATTTATCATCAGCCATACTTGCGAGAACTGGTGACACCATGCTCTCATCAACAGTTAGTGAAGTCATTTAAAACATGTCCTTTAATTTCATAAGAACATATACCTCAATATTGTCATGTTTTCTTGTTGTTGTTTTAATTCAGAAAAAGTGGAAGTGCCAGATACTTGCTGATTATGGTTTTTTTTGAAAGAACCAGCTTTTGGATGTATCGATTATATATTTTTTTGTTTTCTGATTACCTTATTTCTGCATTTAAAACAATGACAGTAATTTCTTTCTATTCATATTGTTCTGTTCTTCTTTTCCTAACTTTAAAACATTGCTAGTGAAGATGAACTCCTTTTCTCATATTCATTATGTTTCTGTCTACGAATTGGGGGAAACATTATCTATTTCACAGGTAATAATGGCTAAATAATAAGATTAGAATTAAATGAGATAAATGGTGTAGAGCTGGGAGGTGCTATAACCCAGAGAACTTTCAGCTGTTTGGATGGCGTCCAGTTTTTCACTGTTATAAACAACACTGCAATGGATATCTTCATTGCTCTTCACAAAGGTCTCCTCGGTCAAACCAACCAGCACTGCCACTACTGCTACCTCCTTCTGACAGCCTCCCCAGCAGGGTGTTGAATTTTTTTTTCAATTTAAAACATTTTTTAAAACAATAACATTGTTTTACCTGAATTTTTCAGAATAACGCTCAGAAAATGAAAATGCCATCAACAGGAATACAAATTTGAAAGTTGTTTTTACCCAATTAAGTTATTATACCAGATAACTTAATTGTTAATTAAATTTTCTATTTAAAATGAAAATGCTTAGGTTTTCTGAAGATAAATATATTATGTAGTGTGGAAATTTCAGATGAGATAGCAAGTCAGCTGTATTAGTTTGCTAAGGCTGCCATAATCAAGTACCCCAATGGAGCGACTCAAACAACAAACATTTATCGTCTCACAGCACTGGAGGATCTGAAGTGCAAGATCAAAGCACCAGTAGGGTTGGTTTCCTCTGGGGGCTGTGAGGAAGAATTGGCTGCCGGCCTCTCTCCCAGCTTCTGTTGGCTTACTGGCAATCTTTGGCATTCTTTGGTGTGTATTTGGTATTGCCCTGATTTCTGCCTTTATTTTCTCACCATGTTCTCCCTGTGTGTCCGTATCCAAATTTCCCCTTTTAATGAGGACATCAGTCATCTTGGAATAGGGCCCACCCTAACGACCTCACCTTAACTAATGATACCTGTAACCACTCTATTTCCAACACATTCTGAGGTACTGGGGATTAGGACTTTAACATACAAATTATTTTTCTTTTTTCTTTTTTTGCGATGAAGTCTCGCTTGGTTGCCCAGGCTGGAGTGCAGTGGCGCGATCTTGGCTCACTGCAACCTCTGCCTCTTGGGTTCAAGCGATTCTCATGCCTCAGCCTCCCGAGTAGCTGGGATTACAGGTGTGCACCACCATGCCTGGCCAATTTTTGTATTTTTAGTAGAGACGGGGTTTCACCATGTTGGCCAAGCTGGTTTCAAACTCCTGACCTCAAGTGATCTGCCTGCCTTGGCCTCTCAAAGTGCTGGGATTACAGGCATGAGCCACCGTGCTCAGCATCAACATATGAATGTGGAGGGGAACACAATTCAGCCCATAACATCTGCCTTGACCATAATTAGACTTTCCTAGGATACCTGCTGTTATCCAGCTCAATGTGCAATCACTGTATATTCTTCCAGGTTTTCTCTACCTACATACGCACACCTACAAAGCTGATTTTGTAAAAAGTGAGATTGTATAATTTTCTGATCTGCTGTTTTTCACCTCAAATTTTCTGATCACCTCCCCATGTCATCCAGGGCAGATTATATATATATTTTTTTCTTTTTTAAAAAAAATTATTATTATACTTTAAGTTTTAGGGTACATGTGCACAATGTTAGTTACGTATGTATACATGTGCCATGCTGGTGTGCTGCACCCATTAACTCGTCATTTAGCATTAGGTATATCTCCTAATGCTATCCCTCCCCCCTCCCCAATATTTTAATGGATGTATAGGGTTCCATCTTTTGCTGCACTGAATTTTATTTGATTGAAAATATTTATGTTTTTCCAAACGTTTGCTTTTGCAAGCAAAGCAGCCTTGAAGATATGTATATGCCCAGTGAGCTTCCTTTCTTCCTAGCCTGCTGTTTTTCTAAGATAAATTGCTACAAGTGGGTTAGCTGGTTTAAATGGCCTGCACCTCGCAAAATATTTGACAAATATTGACAATCTGCTCTTCTAAAAAGCTGTGGCTCTGTACATTCCCGCCATCACAGTACGTTCTCTTCCAAACCTGCCCCTCTCCCAGCCTTCACCATTCCAGCCAGGACAACTCTGTCCCAGCAGCCCAGGCCAAAACTCGAAGCCATCCTCGTCTCCCCTCTTTGTTTCACACCCTACACCGAATCTCTGCGTAAGTCCCCAGGCTATTCCTCCAAAGTCTGTCCAGATGGGACCGTTTCTCCCACCGTGGTCCACGCCATCCTTTCGTTGGGACCATCTCATCTGGTCTCTCACCTGGCGCCTCCACCGCCCCCGCCAAGGCTGTTCTCCCCGCAGCCGCCAGGGGGCGCACTTGAGAACATAAATCAATCCTGCCTAGCCCCTGGCCAAACACCCTCCCCGGCTTCCTCTGTCATTCAGAATTAACCCCAAGCCTGGCCAGGGGGCTCCACACCCTACTCTACCAGGCCCAGGCAGGCGCGCTGGCCTCCCCTCTGCCCTCTCCTCCCCTCTCCTGAACACACCTGCCCCGCTCCTGCATACAGGCTTTGGCCCCTGTAGCCCGGAACATCCTTTCCAGCACCTGTGCGTGGTTGACTGACGTCATCCAGGTCTGGGGGCCCCTCGGCACCCCTGCCTTCCCCGGCCTCCCCATCGAATGGTACCCCCCTCACTCTCTGCCCCTACCGCGTGATTTTTCTTTATAGCACGCATTGCTCGCTAGTGTGTGACGCATTATCTGTTTTGTCGCGCATCCCCGCGTTCCCGCCTTTGTCCCTAGAGTGTGGGCCCCAGGACAGCAGGAGCTTTGCTCAGCGTTTTCACTGCGCATCCGCCCGCGTCTGGGAGCGAGCCCGGCCGTGGGAGATGCGCGGTAGAAACTGGCTGGAGGAAGGGATATCCCAAGTTCTGGGGCCATCTTTTTAGTTAATATTTGCCTGTTTGGAGGGAGAAGAGAGCGTCATGAGTTTTTGGAAGGGGCGGGAGGTTGTTTTGTTTTGTTTCGAGACAGGGTCTCGCTCTGTGGCCCAGGCTGGAGTGCAGTGGTGCAACCTTGGTTCACTGCATCCTCGACCTCCTGGGCTCAACCAATCCTCCCACTCCAGCCTCCTGAATAGCTGGTACTACCGGAGCATGCCACCACGCCTGGCTAATTTTTGTTTGTTTGTTCGTTTTTGTTTTTTGAGACGAAATCTCCCTCCGTCGCCCAGGCTGGGGTGCAGTGGCACGATCTCAGCTCAATGCAACCTGCACCTCCCGAGTTCAAGCGATTCTCCTCCTCAGCCTCCAGGGTAGCTGGGATTACAGGCGCCCACCTCCACCACGTCCAGCTAATTTTTGCATTTTTAGTAGAGACAGGGTTTCACCATGTTGGACAGGCTGCTCTCGAACTCCTGACCTCAAGTGATCTGCCCGCTTCGGCCTCCCAAAGTGCTGGAATTACAGGCATGAGCCACCATCCCTGGCCTTTTTTGTAGAGATGGGGTTTCTCCATGTTGCCCAGGCTGGTCTCGAACTCCTGGTCTCAAGTGATCCTTCCACTTCGGCCTCCCAGAGTGCTAGGATTACAGGCATGAGCTCCTGCACCCGGCCATCATGTTGTTTTAATTTGCACCTCTCTGATTACTGGGAGGTCTGGAATATTTTCCTATGTGTTTATTGGTCAAATAGTTCTTTCTGAATAGTCTGCCTGTGTCCTTTCCCAGTTTTCTATTTGTCTGTTGATCTTCATAAAAAACAGAGAAGACCCCTCTGTATATTAAGAATATTACCTGTGTCCATCAGAAGTCACTGGTATTTTTCCATTTTGACATCTGCCTCTTTATTGCATTCATAGGCTCTTTTGATACATAAATCTATCAAACTTTTCTATTATGGTTTATTCCTTGCTTGTGCACGCAGAAAGTTCCTCTCCTCCTTATATATTCACCAATATTTCCTTCCAGCACTGATAGACACACATAAACAAACATCAAAATTGTTGGTCATCACTACTTTTTTTTTTTTTTTAATGATCTTGACTATTGCAATGTGTTGGCTTTTCAAGACAAATTTTAGAATGGTTTGCTACTTGTTTGCAAAAACCTGTTGGGATTTAAATTGGATTTGCTTTAATTTTGGGGAGAATCAGCATTTTCATAATCTTCCCATCCAAGAATGTGGTTTGTCTCTCCATTTACTTTAAGCTTTATGGTCCGTAGTAAAGCTTTGTGCCTTTCTTTAGGTAGATTATAAATTTCTTCCTAGGAATTCTGTATTTGTAGTTGCTGCGAAGGGAATGTTTTTGCAGCCAGCCTTCTTCCTGGGAACTCCGTCGCGGGCCGGACCTCTCTTCCCGCGGTTGGGAGAACCTGCAGAGGGCAAGAGGCACGTTCGCGGACCGCAGGCCTGGAGGTGGTGGCGCCTAGCTGAGGGCCCTTGAGGCCTCCGGGAGTCCCCGCCGGGCCTCGCTCGGGGCGAAGACCTCGAGAGAAACTGGGTTCCGGCGGCGCCCCCTTGTGGCAGTCTGCAGGGCCGCGCTTCTGCTACTGTTGAGTTCCACCCCGAACTCCCCTCCTCCGCCTTCCTTCCCGGCTACAAGTTTGAGTCACCGCCCAGAAGGAAGGCAAATGATTTTTAACCACTTTAGACTCAGAAAAAGACAAATACAGTTTGGAAGGTGAATATGAAAAAGTCACTTGAGGCCGGGCGCGGTGGCTCAGCACTCTGGGAGGTAATCCCGGCACTTTGGGAGGCTGAGGCGGGTGGATCACTTGAGGTCAGCAGTTCGAGACCAGCTTGGCCAACATGGTGAAACCTCGTCTCCACTAAAAATACAAAAATTAGCCGGGTATGGTGGTGCATGCCTGTAATCCCGGCTACTCAGGAGGCTGAGGTGAGAGGGTCACTCAAACCTGGGAGGCAGAGGTTGCAATGAGCTGAGATCTCACCACTGCGCTCCAGCCTGGGTGGCGGAGTAAGACCCTGTCTCAAAAAAAAAAAAAAAAGTCACCTGAAAGTCACACTTACTCTTAAAAGTGCAGCAGCGTCTTATTCATTCATTCAATGCCTATTGATTGAGCGAGGTGTCTCATGCACCAGGCTGTGGGGATTCAGGCTTGAACCAAGATAGACAAGGGCCCTACTATTCCCTTTCGTCTATGTTCTAAAGAAAGGAGACAGGCAATAAGCAAGTAAATAAGTGTGATTATTTCCAAGAGTAAGTGCTTTGAAGAAAATAAAACAGTGACGTAAGAGGAATGAAGGGTGGGGGGTGGCCAGCATTGGCTAGGGTAGTCAGGGTGGGCTTTTCTGGGGAGGCATCGTTGAAGTGATGAGCTGATGAACAGGAGTCAGCCGGGGCAAGACGGGTCTACTAGAGATCACCCACTCTTGTCAAATCCAGAGTCTATTTGTTGTAGAAGTGGAAACTCAATCAGGAAAAACTGTAGCACATGCATCTGGTTACCTTGTCTGTTCTTTCATATTCATGTTTCACAACGCAGTTGTGTTTCACCCACAAGATTAAAGTTCAGGTTCATCCACAGGGATAAGGGCATGTGGGTCCCCCTAGCAGTTTGTACTTGTTTAGGGAGTGTGGACCTCTTTGGCCTGGGTATGGGAGGCATTTCTTTTTAGAACTTGAGCTGTCTTTTGGGCTATGCTTAAGGACATTTTTTCATCTGTAATTATTGTTGTCAATAAAAAAGTTAAGTCTAGGAATTGGTGACAGTTTAATGGGCTAAATTGTACCCCTATCCTCAATTCATATGTTGAAGTCTTAATCTCCAATACCTCAGAATGGGACTGTATTTGGAGATAGGGTCTTTAAAGAGGTAATTAAATTAAAATGAGGTCATTAGAGTGGGTCCTAATCCAGTGCTGGCCACCCCCCCGCCCCCTTCATTCCTTTTACATCACTGTCCTTATAAGAAGAGGAGATTCGGACACAGACACACACAAAAGGGGGACCACGAGACCCCTTGGGAGAAGATGGCATCTACAAGCCAGGGAGAGAGGCCTCTGGAGAAACCAACCCTGCAGACACCTTGGTCTTGGACTTCCAGCCACCCAGTCCGCGGTACTTTGTTACGGCAACCTTAGCAAACTAACACACTTAGATAATGTGATCCTTAGAATGAAATTAAGAAAAATCAAAGTATAATGGTTGAAAGGAATGACCCACTCTAAGACATTATTTGTAAATAGGCCTTAGGCAAGCTGAGGCCTAACTAGTCATGCTGTACCTGGTGTGAGGAAAGAATGTGTTCAGAGGAGGTAGAACAGGGAGCTCAAAGGATAGGGACTTGAAAGCTTTCAAAAACTCATTCATTTAACCAACAGTGTAATAAGCACCAGCTGCTTGCTAAGGGGTGGAGGTGAATCAAGCCCAAGGAAGGGACACATGAAGTTCAGAGCGAACTAAACAACAAATCGAGTCTGCAGGTCTGGGGAAAGTCATTGCGTATTTCCATCATCTGCTGAAATAGTCCTTGAGACACCCCCTCCACTGTGCTGCCTGCTGCCCTGTCGGATGCCTACTAGACAACCTTTTGGTTTCTAATTTCGCTTGACTTAGGAGAAGGGTGTTCACCACCCACCTGAAGTTTCATTTAATGAGCACCTACTGTGTGCCAGGCACTGGAAATAACAGTGAGGGATTGACCGGGTCCCTGCTTTTAGGGAGGCTTTATATTCTGGGATATAGAGAGAAGTGGGTGGAGTTGCACTATGTTTGTAAATAGAGTCAGAAGAACATGGAGAAGAATTGGATGTGAGGGGAGGTAGGAAGGAAAGAGAGGACTCCAGGATGACTCCCAGGCTTTTGGTCTAAAGAACAGGGTAGATGGTTGTGAAATGGAAGCCCGTGGAGAGGGGAATGGGGGAGAATTATCTCAGTTGTGTTGGGTTTGAGATGTCCTTTAAGCATCCAGGAGACATTAAGTAGCAGTTTGATACGTGGATCCTGGGAGGAGGCTGGGCTGGAGATACAGATTTGGGATTCAGCTTACAGGGAATTGAAAGTCATGAGGCTGAATGAGAATACCTGGGAATAACCCATAGAAGGAGCAGCCAAAGGCCAGGATGAAGCCTTGGGGCTTGTGCACATTTAGAGGTTGAGCAGAAGAGGGGAAGAAACCAGCACGGTGACGAGGAGGCCTCCTTCTATCAGGAATGTGTGGTGCACAGAAGCCAAGGGAGGATCATGCTCTAACAGGGAAGGTGTAGTCAACTGTGTCACATGCTGCAGAGAAGCAGGGTAAGACGAAGACAGAGACTGGAAGTCTTGGGTGTCCTGCCTGGCAGCCACAGGGAGAGATCCGTGGGGATGGTGCCACTCTGCACTGCAAACTGATCACCTTGTGAGATTCCCTAGTATCAGTGAGTCCCTGGTCACTGGGATTCCTGCTCAAGAAGTGGGGAATGTTTCTGGGTGTCTGTCTAGACAGCCCCCCACCTGCCAGTGCCAGTAGACATATCCAGAGACCAAAGTACATTGTTAAGGTATTTTCTGTCTTTTAATAACTAAATTATCTTCTCAGACATGAATGGGAAGGTATAAAACACCATTAAAGATTGGGATGGGGGCCTATGAGCAAACCTTACCTGTAGTCTTTCCAGGATGAACCACATAGTCGTTAAGGTAAATACAGAAGGAATAAATAGATAAAGATATGCCTGGATGGTAGGATGGCTGGCTGGATACAGAGTTTCACAACCTTGGGACCATTGTTATTTTAGGCTGAAAAACTCAGTTGTATGGGCTGTCCTCTGCATTAGTAACATCCCTGGTCTCCAACTACTGGATGCCAGAAGCATCCTGCTCCTCACCACCAATTGTGATAACCAAAGAATATCTATCTCTAGGCATTGCTGGAAGTTCCTTGCAAAATTGCCCCTGGTTGATAGATGTTTGGATGGCCACATGGATGGCTGAATGAATGGCTGGCTGGCTGGCTGGCTGGATGGATGGATGGATGGGTGAGGATGACAAAGGCAATAGTGTGGGGAAAAGCAAGAGAGATCAGATTGTTACTGTGTCTGTGTAGAAAGAAGTAGACATAGGAGACTCCATTTTGTTATGTACTAAGAAAAATTCTTCTGCCTTGAGATTCTGTGACCTTACCCCCAACCCCGTGCTCTCTGAAACATGTGCTGTGTCAACTCAGAGTTGAATGGATTAAGGGCGGTGCAAGATGTGCTTTGTTAAACAGATGCTTGAAGGCAGCATGCTCATTAAGAGTCATCACCACTCCCTAATCTCAAGTACCCAGGGACACAAAAACTGCGGAAGGCCGCAGGGACCTCTGCCTAGGAAAGCCAGGTATTGTCCAAGGTTTCTCCCCATGTGATAGTCTGAAATATGGCCTCGTGGGAAGGGAAAGACCTGACCGTCCCCCAGCCCGACACCCGTAAAGGGTCTGTGCTGAGGAGGATTAGTATAAGAGGAAGGCATGCCTCTTGCAGTTGAGACAAGAGGAAGGCGTCTGTCTCCTGCCCGTCCCTGGGCAATGGAATGTCTCGGTATAAAACCCGATTGTATGTTCCATCTACTGAGATAGGGAAAAACCGCCTTAGGGCTGGAGGTGGCACCTGCGGGCAGCAATACTGCTTTGTAAAGCATTGAGATGTTTATGTGTATGCATATCTAAAAGCACAGCACTTAATCCTTTACCTTGTCTATGATGCAAAGACCTTTGTTCACGTGTTTGTCTGCTGACCCTCTCCCCACAATTGTCTTGTGACCCTGACACATCCCCTTCTCGGAGAAACACCCACGAATGATCAATAAATACTAAGGGAACTCAGAGGCTGGCGGGATCCTCCATATGCTGAACGCTGGTCCCCCGGGTCCCCTTATTTCTTTCTCTATACTTTGTCTGTGTCTTTTTCTTTCCTAAGTCTCTCGTTCCACCTTACGAGAAACACCCACAGGTGTGGAGGGGCAACCCACCCCTACACAATAGAAACTAGAGACCCTCCAAGGGAAGGAGGAAGAAACCTGGGAGGTAGAATACAGTCTGCTTAGCCACCAGGGACCCTCTGCTCCTGGCAGTTCTTCAGTGCTAAACCTTTATATATTAATTGACTTGGTTACTTAGGAGATTGGACAGGGACAGGTATCTGGAAAGGAGGGTTGAGGAGTCCAGAATAATTAGTGGGTGGGAACAGGGTAGGCACAGAAAATCTACTCATGCTTTCCTCTCAGCAGCTAGGACAGAACTGTTGTGAACAAAGTCTACCAGGAAATGACTTAAGATGATTCGGTTTCCCAGCATAAAACTGGGCGGACATGGTGAGGAAGGCGGTTCCCCTGAGGTATCTATAGTTATTCATATATCTATACCTATGTCATCTTGGAAGATAGAGATCTAGATCTATATTAAAAGCAGCAGCCGCTAACATGTATTGAGCATTTACTACTTTCAATACAGGCATAGTGCTAAGCACTTTATGTCCATTACTTAATTTCTCCCATCTCTATGAGGTAGTTATTACTACCATTACTATTGTCCCCATTTTATAGACCTGGAAACTGAGGCATTTAATTTTCGCAAAGTCACCAAGCTGCTAAGCGGTAGAACAAGGATTTGAACCCAAGCAGGCCACCTCCAGAATCTGTACTGTCTACCATCAGCATCTTTAATGATTTGTCTGTTCTGCTGTCTATATTCTCAACCTCATCTCCTTTAGTGACTTGGAGCCTTTAAAACAGCAATGCCTGTTACTGATTGCTAGGGGTTCAGCCTAGGTCCCGCTGCTTGCCACACAGAAAGCCAGTCGCTGAGACAGTGAGTATTGCCAAGGAAAATGGCTTTATTACAGGTGACGTCAGCTGGAGAGATGGGAGGCAAGCCTCAAATATGTCTTTCTCTCGCCAACTAAAGTTAGGGGTTTAGATTATAGCAGGGGAAGGAAAACAGGTGGGGCAAGGAAGAAGAGTTGCTCAGCAGGTGGTCAGATGAGGGGTCTAGCGTCTGTCTCATAACCACGTGCAGGAGAACAGGAGTTAGGGAGGGGTGAAGAAGAGGAGCTGGTCAACAGGCAGCAGGTGTGACTCACTGTACAAATGGAAGTTTCTCAAGCTTCAGTTCTATGGGCATCTGGCTTGTTGGAAAATTGAGCCTGTCTTTCCTCTGTTACTTCTGCCGTAATGGCCTCCTTCTCTTCATGAATGACTGGGTCAGGGGTCCCTTACTGGGCCCTGGGGAGAGCAGTTGCTGATGAACTCTTACTTTATGATATGATGTTCCATTCCATCCCATTGCTTATTGTTTTCTCATCTTCCTTTCTGCATGTAGAGACCCCAGTGACAGCAACTTTGTCTTCATTATCTTCATACACCCAGTGGTTGTTACAATGCCTAACTCAAGAAACAGTTGTTCAGTAACTGCTAATAGTAGGTTATTGTGCTTTATCATCTTTAGTGCTTACTAAATTCAGTTGAATAAAACAGTTATATACAGCAAGTTTTATACAGCAAGTATAAAAATACTTCCAAGTGTTTGACATATTATTTCTCTTAATTTGAACATATCCCTTATGTAAAGGTACCACTTTTATCCTGGTTTTACAGACAAGGAAACTGACATACAAAAGGTTAAGGTGGCTGGGCAAATTGGCTCACACCTATAATCCCAGTACTTTGGGAGGCCAAGGCAGGTGGATCACCTGAGGTCAGGAGTTTGAGACCAGCCTGGCCAACATGGCGAAACCCCATCTCTACTAAAAATACAAAAATTAGCGGGGCATGGTGGTGTGCACCTGTAGTCCCAGCTACTTGGGAGGCTGAGGCATGAGAATCACTTGAATCCAGGAGGTAGAGGTTGTGTTGAGCTGAGATCACGCCACTGCACTCTAGCCTGGGTGACAGAGTGATACGGTGTCTCAAACACACACACACACACACACACACACACACACACACGGTTAAGGTACTTGCTTGAGGTCACACATTTAGTAGATCAGTCTGTCTGGATGCATAGCCTGGAGCTCTTACTGTGCAGGCGAGGACTGTGGGAAAGGAGCTGTGGAGGACAATTAGGATGAAGGGAGGTAGAAAGTTGGGCAGAGATGGCTGGATGCAGTGGCTCATGCCTGTAATCCCAGCACTTTGGGAGGCCGAGGCGGGTGGATCACCTGAAGTCGGGAGTTCGAGACCAGCCTGACCAACATGGAGAAACCCCAGCTGTACTAAAAAAAAAAAAAAAAAATTATGTATATATTTAGCTGGGCGTGGTGGCGCATGCCTGTAATCCCAACTACTCGGGAGGCTGAGGCAGAAGAATCGCTTGAATCTGAGTGGCGGAGGTTGTGGTGAGCTGAGATCCTTCCATTGCACTCCAGCCTGGGCAACAAGAGTGAAACTCCCTCTCAAAAAAAAAAAAAAAGACAGAAAGAAAGAATGAAAGTTGGGCAGAGATAACTAAAATCCAAATATGGATAAATAAGTGTTTAAAGACAGCTTTAAAAGATAGTTAGATTTTTTTTCAATAAAGATCAGAAATAGCCCAGTGCAGTGGCTCACACCTGTAACCCCAGCACTTTGGGAGGCTAAGGCAGGAGGATCGCTTGAGCCCAGGAGTTCAACACCAGCCTGTACCACAAAGCGAGACCCCATCTCTACAAAAAAAATTTAAAAATTAGCTGAGCGTGGTGGTGCCCGCCTGTAGTCCCAGCTACTCAGGAGGCTGAGGCAGGAGGATGGCTTGAGCCCAGGAAGTTGAGGCTGCAGTGAGCTGTGATCGCACCACAGCACTCCGGCCTGGGTGACAGAATGAGACCCTGTCTCAAAGAATAAAATAATGATAATTTGTGTAGTATGAGTCTGTCAAATTTAGCTGGCTGTCCTGTGTTTAATGTGGCAGCCCTGCTTGGTGGTTCTCTTGGCCTTGGCCAAATACCCATTTGGAACATCAGGGTTGCAGGCATACTCTTAAAAGCATTAACATTCTTCTCCAATAATTTTTACTAAAGTACAATTTTTCTTAAGTTTCTAAGGTTTTTTTTTTTTTTTTTTCCAGCCAACAGAGCTCTCAGCCTATTATCGTGGGTTTTTTCTCTTACAGGAAATAGGCTAGCTTGAGTAACAGCTTATGATCCTTCTGCATTTTTCTGACAGAATTTGGGCTTGTACTTTATAAGTCTCCAGCATGCTTGATCTTGCCATCTGCTTCGGAAATAGTCTCCTCTATTATTAAAGGGCAAATTCTCTCTAAATTGGCTATTTGATGCACACTGATTTCTTTTTCTTGATGCAATTCAGGAAGGACTTGGAGTTCCTGCTGGAGCTGTTACCTCTCCTTTTGCTGGAGCTGTTACCTCCCCTTTCTGTGTTTGTCTGACTTCAGTGAGGCTGTCTCAGTTTGTAGATTTTAAATATGAGGGCATCGATCATTTCATCTCCTTCAGCTAATTTAGTGTACATTTGATTTCTTTTAAGGTGTTTTAGCTGGGCTCAGTGGCTCATTGCTGTAATCCCAACACTTTGGGAGGCTGAGGCGAGTGGATTACTTGAGCCCAGGAGTTGGAGACCAGCATGGGCAAGCTAAAAAGACCCTGTCTCTACAAAAAACACAAAATTAGCCGGGTGTGGTGGTGTGCACCTGTAGTCCCAGCTACTTGGGAGGCTGAGGTGGGAGGATTGCTCGAGCCCAGGAGGTCCAGGCTTCAGTGAGTCATGTCTGTGGCACTGCACTGCAGCCTGGGCAACCCTGTCTCAAAAAAATAAATAAATAAATAAACAAAAATAAATAAATAAATAAATAAAGTGTTTTATAAGAATTCTTTGAGTTGCATTCACTTCTTCAAACTCCTTTTGAATAATCTAGGAGCCGCTGGTTTTCGAATGCAGTTGTTCTACCCAGTTCTGAGCTCCCACCATCCATGCTGCCTTCTCCCAGGAAGGCCGCCCAATCACTCCTCTTTAAGCAAGTGGTCACCTAGAGGCTTGATCTGATCTCCTTCAGAGTTTTCTATATTTCATTCTGCTTAATATGCTCACTCACTCTTCCTTCTCTGGTTTCTTGCGAAAGCAGCCTCACACACCCCTGAATACCACCATGGTCATCCAGGTCATGCTTCATGCTGTCTAAAGGTACTCTGTTTCCTTTGATGTATTTTGAAGGCTGTTTTGGTTGCAGATACTTGATATCGGATATATTTTGGTGCATCTTCTAAAGACTGAATGTTTCTTGCAATGCCAGCTGTCAACTCAACTTGTTCTGAATGTTTAGATTTCTCTTTACGTCCTCTTCTAAAAAGCCTGTATTTTAAGCCCAAATAAAGAGTTGGCACTTTCCAACTCTTGATTAATGGCCTCCAGTTTTTATATTTCCATGTGGCTGAGTTTCCAAAAATGTGATGTTTTCCCCCTAGAAGGATAGAAATGGCAGTGGCCAGTCTGTCTCTACTTGCATAAAGTAGGCTCTCAACTAAACTCTGACTATGACCAAAACCACCCTCTTGCCCAACAGTCCTTGGGGAGCTGGGCCTGGTCCTGGGCATTGCTCCCACTGCCTGGTGTGGGATCTCTAGGACCAGTGTGACACAGAGCATCATGGCCATAGCAGACCCTACATGGGCCTGATGCCACTGTGAAGTCCCTCAGGTTGTCAGGACCCTGCCAGTTACAACAAACTGAGAAAAACACAAAGACTGAACCAAACCAGCCTTGGCAACCAGGGCAGACTCCAGTGGAGGTGGGGCAGGGGACAAGTTAGTAGACCTGGCTAAAGTTCTTTCTTCTCGTAAACTTTTCATTCTGAGGCCCTGAAGGCTTCATCTTACCCATAAAAAGTTACACAAAACTCCTGATGCTCAGTCCCTCCTTGGTCTGGGTCTGGCCACCCTTGAATGTGTGTAGGGAGGGGTTCAGGAGGGGTTACTGGGGGTCCTGCAATGAAGTTTGGCTTACTTCACTAACTTCATCTTTAAACAAGGAGGAGGAAGTAAGTGGGATTTTTTTGTCCTAATAGTATAGCTGCCCAAGGGGTTCACCTTGCCTGCTGCCTAGACAGAGCCAATTTATCAAGACAGGGGGATTGCAGTAGAGAAAGGGTAATTCACATAGAGCTGGCTGTGCAGGAGACCAGAGTTTTATCATTACTCAAATCAGTTTCCCCCAGCATTCGGGGAGCAGAGTTTTTAAGGACAACTTGGTGGGTGGGGGGAAGCCAGTGAGCCAGGAGTGCTGATTGGTCAGAGACGAAATCATAGGGAGTCTGAGCTGTCTTCTTGCGCGGAGTCAGTTCCTAGGTGGGGGCTGCAAGATCAGGTGAATCAGTTTATCAGTCTGGGCGGTGCCAGCTGGTCCATCAAGTGCAGGGTCTGCAAAATATCTCAAGCACTGATCTTAGGAGAAGTTTAGGGAGGGTCAGAATCTTGCGGCCTCCAGCTGCATGACTCCCAAACCATAATTTCTAATCTTGTGGCTAATATTAGTCCTACAAGGCAATTTAGTCCCCAGGCAAGAAGGAGGTCTACTTTGGGAAAGGGCTGTTATCATCTTTGTTTTAAGCTATAAACAATGAATTAAGTTTCTCCCAAAGTTAGTTCAGCCTACACCCAGGAATGAACAAGGATAGCTTGGAGGTTAGAAGCAAGATGGAGTCTATGAAGTCAGATCTCTTTCACTGTCTCAGTCATAATTTTGCAAAGGTGGTTTCAATAGTTCAAGAAATAAGCCGGCCAACATGAACAAGGAAGACACGACATTCAACTCTTCTTATAGGAGTGAAGTGTTTGATGAGTCAGAAGCCCTTAGAAGGTATTAGATGCTGGATAGAATGTGTGACAGGAGGTTTGGGCCACCTGAGCACTTCTGCAATGTAGAATCTGGTCCCTGGGCTATGGGGGAGACCAGCCTTGTCTAGCTTAATGAGCAGCCAGGTGTTGTTGATGATGAGGCTGCAGGTCAGCTGGAGGTTGGCTGATTTGGGCTGGGCATGGCTGGGAAGTTCTGCTGACCTCAGCTGAGCTCACTCCGGTGTCTCAGGTTCAGCTGAAAGTTGGCTAAGCTTGACAGCCCTCTGCCTGACTTGCTTATATGTCTCAGGGGCTGCTGGGGGTTGACCAATTCTGAGATTGGGCTGTGGGGGACATTGGTGATCTTGGCTGGGCGCGCTCCTGTGCCTCAGGGTTGGCTGGGTGTCTGTTGATGTAGGCTGGGCTTAGTGGGGTGCTCGGCCCTGCCTCACGTGTGTCTTTCCTTGGAGACGTCAGTGATTGTTTTGATGACCGTTTCCTTTCTCTTCCTGAAGTCATCCTTGTCAGGAAGGCTGTAGGTTTCCAAAAGCAGGATATAGAATAGGAGCAGGTGTAGTCACCCGTTGCTTATTTTGTTTCTACGGCTCGCTTTACCTCACCAGCCACTGAATAATAGAAAATGTATGGAAAAAATCTCAAGTCTGGTAGGGCCCCATTAAGTGTGGACAGTGCATGCTTGGCAGAGCTGATGGAGCTAAGTTTCGACCTCTGTAGGGTTTTCATGAAAGAATAAGCCAGAATCCATGTCATATGGATGCACCAAGTCATTTCTCCTATGGCCTTGTTCAAAGGCCATGAGCTTTTAATTCTTGGTCTGGAAGAACAGCTGCAACCAAGAGCTCCAAAATCTCAGTCAACTTGGCATTTTGCTTTTCATCTCTCATTTCCACCTCTGAGAGCCACTGGCTCTTCTGCTCCTTGGGGACTTCCGTGACTGACTCCCTTGGGCTGGGCAGTGGCAGCAAAGTGCAGGGGGGTATCCAGAGGAAGCTGCTGTCTTCACTGGATTTTGTCTGCTTATTCCATTAATGACAGAGAAAGGCATGTTTCATTGATAGACTGCTGCATAGTAAACCACCCCAAAACTTCATGGCTTAAAACAACTCATTATTCCCCATGAGTCTGTGGGTCCACTGGATCATTCAGTTTGCTGAGGTCTCAGCTGGTATCATTTAAACAGCTGCAACCATCCAGAAGCTCAGCTACTGCTAGCTTCACTTATGTGTTGCGGCCTTGGCTAGGATGCATCAGTTCTAGTCCATGTGGATTCTCTGATTCCATGTGATCTCCCAATTCTCAATAGTCTAGTCCAAGGTATTCTACATGGCAACTGGCTTCCAAAAGAGTGAAAGAGAATCTTCCAGCCTCTTAAGGGCCAGGCTGGAACTGGCCCAGAATCATTTCTGCTACATTGTGTTAGTCAAAGCAAGTCATAAGGACCATGCTGATTTAAAGAGTAGGAAAATACAGCCAGGCATGGTGGCTCACGCCTGTAATCCCAACACTTTGGGAGGCCAAGAGGAATGGATCACTTGAGGTCAGGAGTTCGAGACCACCCTGGCCAATGTAGTGAAACCCCGTCTCTACTGAAAATATAGAAATTAGCCAAGTGTGGTGGTGCATGCCTGTAGTCCCAGCTACTCAGGAGGCTGAGGCAGGAGAATCGCTTGAACCCAGGAGGTAGAGGTTGCAGTGAACTGAGATCACACCACTGCACTCCAGCCTGGGTGACAGAGTGAGACTCTGTCTCAAAAAAAAATAATAAAAATAAATTAAATAAATAAAGAGTAGGAAAATAACTCTTGTTGGGAGGTGTAGTACGTGGTTGGATGATGGTGACATTGTTGATGGCCATCTTTGGAGACAATGTGACAATGATTGCAGATTCATCTATTTCTCCATTTAGTTCTGTCAATTTTTGTTTCATGTATTTTCAAACTGTCATTAGATACAGACACATTTAGGGTTGTTATCTTCTTGATAAATTAACTCGATTATCATTAAGAACTATGTCTCTTTATCTTTGGTAATGCCTCTTGCCTCAAAGTCTATTGATATTAATATGGTTACGCCAGCTTTCTTGTGATTAGTGTTTGCATGTTCTTCTTAATCCTTTTACTTTTTATCTTTGTATCTGTATCTTTATATTTAAAGTACATTTATTGTAAACAGTATGTAGTTGGGGCTTGTTTTTTATTCAGTTCAACCATGTTTTTTGTTTTCTCCTCTCGTTCTTGCTGTCATCTTAACGGTTGTTGTCTTCGAAATGGAGTGGTTACCCTGTTTACATTTAACGTACGTATTGATATGGTTGAGGTTTCAGTTCATCATTTTGCTATTTGTTTTCGATTTATCCTATCTGTTATTTGTTTGTGGCTTCTGTTTTTCTGTCTTGTTGAGAATTAATCAGGTATGTTGTGGTATTTTATCTTATCTCCTCTGTTGGTTTTTCAGATATACATCTTTGTTTCCATTTATTTGATTTTTTTTAAGTGGTTGCTTCAGGCAGTCAATAAAACATGTATCCTTAATTTATCACAGTGTACATTGAATTAATATTAAACCACTTCTGTATAATACAAGAACATTACATTAGTATAATTATTCCTCTGTTGTCTTTGATCTATCCGTGTCATAGATTTTGCTTCACATTTGTTATAATAAACTCCATATTATTTTTTTGCCTTTTAAAGAAATGAAGACAAGAGATAAAAATTGTCTTTTATATTTACCCATAAATTTGTATTTCTGGCTCTCTTTATACCTTCCTGTTTTCATCTGTATCATTTCTCTTCAGCTAATGAGCTCCCTGTAGCATCTCTTGTCTGGTGAGTCTATAGGCTATGAAATCTCTCAGCTGCAATTTCTTCAGAAGTGTCTTTATTTCACCTTCAATTGAAAATTTTTTTTAAACTTTGGTATGATGGAAATTATTCTTTTTTTTTTTTTTTTTGCAGCATCTCATTCCCATGGCCCAGGCTAGAGTGCAGTGGTGTGATCATGGCTCACTGCAGCCTCGACCTCCCAGGCTCAGGTGGTGATTTTACCACCTCAGCCTCCCAAGTAGCTGGGACTATAGACACGCGCCACTATGCCTAGCTAATTTTTTTGTATTTTTAGTGAGATGGGGTTTTGCCATGTTGCCCAGGCGGGTCTCAAACTCCTAGGCTCAAACGATCCACTTGCTTTGGCCTCCCAACATGCTGGGATTACAGGAATGGGCTACTGTGTCCAGCCTGGAAATTATTATTTATTTCCATATTATAATGATATTTTACCACTACTTTGTACTAAGAAAAATGTATTAGCAATTATTAATTTATTTATCAATAGATCATATTTATTCAATAAAAAAACACCAACTTTTTTTTTTAACAATAAAGTGTTTCTGAACTTTAAGATAGCTGGGGCCAGGCATGGTGGCTCATGCCTATAATCCCAGCACTTTGGGAGGCCGAGGCAGGCGGATCACTTGAGGCCAGGAGTTTGAGACCAGCCTGGGCAACATAAAGTGAAACGCTGTCTCTACTAAAAATACAAAAATTAGCCGGGAATGGCATGCACCTGTAGTCCCAGCTACCTGGGAGGCTGAGGCAGGAGAATCGCTTGAATCTGGGAGGCAGAGGTTGCAGCAAGCCGAGACGGCACCACTGCACTCCAGCCTGGGCAACAAAGCCAGACTCCATCTCAAAAAAAAAAAAAAAATATATAGCTGGATAGAAATAAAACATTGTCAAGTATCATTTTTTGGTTAAATGATACTTTTTTCATCATTTTGGTTAATTGCTACTTTTTCATTATTTTGGTTAATTGCTACTTTTTTCAATTCAATGATTTTTAGTAAATTTATGGTATTGAGCAACTATCTTTATAATCCAGTGTTAGAACATTTTAATCACCCCAAAGTGTTCCCTCATGTCCATTTGCAATTAGTTTTTGCCCCATCCTCAGCCCTAAACGACCACAGATCTGCTTTCTGTTCTCATAAACTTGGGACAGTTCATATAAATGGGATCATATAATAGGAAGTCTTTCGTGCCTGGATTCTTTCAGTTGGCATAATGTTTTTCAGGTTCATCCATGTTGTAGTGTGGACCAGTAGTCTCTTCCTTTTCATTGTTGAATAGTATTCCACTGTATGAATCTATCAGACTTTGTTTATACATTCATTAGCTGTTGGACATTGGATGGTTTCAAGGTTATAGTTATTATGAATAAATAACACTGCTCTGAACATTCAGGTACTGGCTCTGTGTGGCATAAGTTTTCACTTTTCTTGGGAATATTCCTTAGAAGGGAATGGCTAGGTCATACAGTAAGTTTTTTTGGGGGGTTGTTTTGCTTTGTTTTGTTTTTTGGGACAGAGTCTCACTTTGTCACCATGATGGAATGCAGTGGCAAGATCTCGGCTCACTGCAGCCTCCACCTCCCGGGTTCAAGCGATTCTTCTGCCTCAGCCTCCCGAGTAGCTGGGACTACAGGTGCGTGCCACCACGCCCAGCTGATTTTTTTGTATTTTTAGTAAAGATGGGGTTTCACCATGTTGGCCAAGCTGGTCTCGAACTCTTGACCTGTGATCCACCTGCCTCGGCCTCCCAAAGTGCTGGGATTACAGGCATGAGCCGCTGCGCCCGGTGCTATTATTATCATAGTAAATCTATATATTATAGACATAACACTACAGCTATACTTGTTGCTTTATACAAACTTACATCTTTTGGAAGTTAAAAGAAGAAATAAAAGCAAAACATGTTTATCTGTTATATAAATGTATATATGTATGATTTCTGGTACTATTTACTTGGATTTACCCTGTGGATTCAGCTTAAAACATCTGGTATCCTCTCCTTTCACCCTAAAGGACTTTCTCCAGTATTTCTTTTGAGTCAGACCAGCTAGCAATCAAGTCTCTCAGTCTTCATTTATCTGAAAATATCTTTATTCAGCCTGCATTTTTGAAGTGCAGTTTTGCTGGATATAGAATAGTTGACTGACAGTTTTTTCCTTAGCACTCAAAATATGCCATTCCACTGCCTTCTGGCTTCTATAGTTGCAGATGAGAGAAGCCAGCCAGTAATTGTATTGTTGTTCCCCGATGGATGGGTGTTTTTCTCTTACTCCTTTCAAGATTTCCTCTGTTAAAAGAAAAACTTCGGCCGAATTAAACTGAAAGGAGTTTAATTGAACAATGAATGATTCATGAATTGGGCAGCCCCCAGAATCACAGCAGATTCAGAGGGACTCCAGGAGTGTCTCGTGGTCAGAACAAATTTATAGACCAAAAAGAAAGTCAAGTGGCATACAGAAATTGGAAGTGGGGTACAGAAACAACTGGACTGGTTACAGCTCAGCATTTGCCTTATTTCAACACAGTCTGAACACAGCCGTGTATGAGTGGTTGAAGTAGGGCCACTAGGATTGGCCAAGACTCAGCTATTGTTACAGGTGCATACTCCTAAGTTAAGTTTTCAATCTTGTCTACCTATTAAGTTAGGTTGCAGTTCATCCACAAGGACTCAAACATGGAAGTATGGAGTCCTTCTCAGGCCACAGTTAGTTTGCTTTAACAACTCTTGGTATGGCCGGGCGCGGTGGCCCACGCCTGTAATCCCAGCACTTTCGGAGGCTGAGGCAGGTGGATCACGAGGTCAGGAGTTCAAGACCAGCCTGGCCAACATGGTGAAACCCTGTCTCTACTAAAAATACAAGAATTAGCCGGGCATGGTGGCACATGTCTGTAATTCCAGCTACTTGTGAGGCTGAGGCAGGAGAATCGCTTAAACCTGGGAGAGGGAGGTTGCAGTGAGCCAAGATCGTGCCATTGCACTCCAGCCTGGGCAACAAGAGCAAAACTCTGTCTCAAAAAACAACAAGAACAACAACAACAACGACAACAACAACAACTCTTGGTAGATTCAACATATTTGAGGACCTACCATGTGGATCTCTTTTCATTGATCATACTTGGGGTTCGTTGAGTTTCTTGGATGTGTGGGATGATGTTATTTCACAAACAATCATAGTTGATGGTAAGCCTTTCCCTCCATCTGGTGCAGGGATGGATCTTTCAGATTCCTTCTAGAACAAGATGAGTTTGACTGGGCTGCAGCTTTAATCAGGGGCATTCTCTATGGGGAGCCCAGTCCCCAGTCTCCTGAGCCACTGCCTTTTGATCTTATAGACAGGGAGCTGATTGTCTTCAATTTCAGCTATTTTTGGTTCACCTTTGGATTCAATGCTGGCAGAGCCCCAGGATCCAATCACTGCAAGAATGTTTCGGATTACACAGTTTCTTTCTAGTTATCATCCTTTGCCCTATTGCTGTTTTCTTAGCAAAACCAGAGCAGGATATTTCTGGGCCAAGTGATCTGTTCTTGTGTTTGAGGCTCGTCCAGACTCCAGTCTGCCCCATAGCCCTGTTTTTCAAGATCTGACTGATTTCCCCTAAAAGTCTCTCCATCCTCGGCAGAACTGCTCTCACCCAGATGAGGCATCACCTCCCCGTATGGAAGCTGCCTCAGCTTCCCATTCACCTACAACAACCTCAGAATGCTCCGGAATTTACTTCTTCCGGGTTCCTTGTTGCTACCACTTTTTGCTAGCTTCATAAGAAGCACGCTGTTTCTTATTTTATTTGTTTTCTTCTTGTTACCACAAGACTGAAGTCTCTTGTGACCTAAATCCTAGCTGGGAGCAGAGGCCAAATCGGGAGTGCTTTCTTGTGTGTCCTGAACTTCAGGGTGACTGTTCTTGAAATCACCATTGCAAAATTATAACTGAGACACTGAAAGAGATCTGACCTGACCACCTCCATCTTGCTTCTAACCTCCAAGCTGTCCTTGTTCATTCCTGGGTGTAGGTGGAACTAACTTTAGGAGGAACTTAGTTTATAGTTTATAGTTTAAAACCAAGATGATAACAGCCCTTTCCCAACAAACCCCTTTCTTGCCTGGGGACTAGACTGCCTTTGTAGGATTAACAAATTAGCCAAAAGAATAGAAATTATGGTTTAGGCGTTACGCAGCTGGAGGCTACAAGATTCTGACCCTCCCCAAATCGCTCCTGGGGATAACATCACTATTGCAAAACCTAAGATCAGTGCTTGAGATATTTTGCAGACCTTGCACCTGATGGATCAGCTGGCACCACACAGCTGATGGATAAGCTGATGCATAAGCTGGCTCATCTGATCTTGTGGCCACCACCCAGGAACTGACTCAGGGCAAGAGGACAGCTTCGACTCCCTATGATTTCATCTCTGACCCAACCAATCAGCAATCCCGACTCACTAACTCCCCACCCACCAAATTATCCTTTAAAATTCTGATCCCAGAATGCTCGGGGATACCGATTTGAGTAATAATACAACTCTGGCTTTGTGTGAATTTCTCTGTTGCAATTCCCCTGTCTTGGTAAATCGGCTCTGACTAGGCAGTGGACAGGCTGAACCTGCTGGACTCCTACCCAGTGTGCTTCACTGTCCTGGCAGTCCTGACCTCACTGTGTGAGGGTGGAAGGACCGAGACAGAGCCACACTCAGCACCGCCTGGGCTGGCAGCAGGGTTCAGCACGCACTAGCTGTAACAGTGGCTACAAAACACGGTGGCCCAAGCAGGGAAGGCACCAGGATGTTTCTAGCACAGTAAATGCCAGTGAGTGGCTGTGCTTTCATCCATCAAACAGGGGTGATGAGTCAAGGCAAGCAGTGTCCTGAAGGTCATGCTACACACGTGACACCCAGTGGTTTTTCCAAGCAAGCATATGTTAAGCCAGGCACTCTCCGAGGTCCTCACAAACCCTGGCTTATTTAGTGCTCACAGAAGACCTAGGAGGTAGCTCTTACTCTCTCCGGCCTGCACAGAGCTGAGGAAAGCAGGCTGGGGAGAGGGGAAGCACATGTCCTGCCATTGCACTTGGCTTCAATGCCTGCATGAACTTGACATTTCGTCTCTCACATTTTCAAAATGTAGTAATATTTAAACTGACAGGATCTTTCACTGAGACAGTTTTTAACACTTTGTCCTTCACAACTGCAGGTCTGGGTCAAAGGCCCACCTCTTATACAAGGAATAAAGGATTTGCCGTCTTCCTGGCCTCAGCGACGTTCCCATGTATGTCAACGAGAAACCACCCGCGGTGTCCATAGGGACAGCCACTGGCCCAGGCTTCCTCCCTCGCACCTAGTGTGGCCAACGGGGATCTCGGGGACCCTTTCCTCAGGAACTGTGACTGGATGCAGGTGACAGAAGCCATGTGGCAGTGGCATGGGGTTCTCCTCACTTCACAAACGCTCCCAAGTGGGGAGTCCACGCCTGGGCCGGGCCGTGTCCAGGTCGGCACCAAGCCTCTAGGACGCTTTCACCCCTGCTCAGCACCCCCAGAGCCCAGCAGTTGTCCTTCTGGTCCTGTCTCCACGCCTGGCTGGTGGTGGTCTGGGGTGGACTGAGCAGGGCGACACCATGTGTATTGCTTCTTCCCTTGACTCTCTCGGGGGGCCGGCCCACCAATCCCTGTATTGGTGTCCCTTAGAGTCGCCCAGTGAACTGGAAGGAGTGCGTCCTCGTCACCACCTCCCTGGGCACCAGGCTCAGCCAGCAGCTGCCTCTTGCAGAAGCGCCTCCCGTGCTTGCCAGGGCTCAAGGAGGGTCCCCTTCTGCACTGCACCCCAAGCCAGGAAGAGCTGAGTCCTGCACTCAGTGGGGGAGGCAGAGGCTGCCGCCGCCATCGGAGCAGAACAGCTTTCTGGCAGACGGACCCCAAACATCACCTGGGGACTCTTGAGTGTCCACTTTCCAGGCCTAGGCCCTGCGTCAGGGACAGTCCCTTGGGGCAGCAAGGACAGGCCCTCTGAGTGGGAGACGGCCTCGAGTCCTGCACAGGCCTTCGACACAGCAGGGACAGGCTCTGGGGCAGCAGGGAGAGGCTCTAAGGGCAGGGCCGCAGGGACAGGACCTCGGGGCAGTAGGGACTGGACGTCGGGGCAGCAGGGACAGGCTCTCAGGCCGCAGGGACAGGCAGGCCCCCTTGGGAGGTCTGAGGAGGGCTGGGCCACGGTCTTGGCCGTGGGCGGGCGCCTGCGCTCAGGACTCCCCAGAGACCCCCGGTTGCTTTCCCAGGCTCCAAGGCCCCAGCCCTGGGGCGCCGCCGCCTGGCTCCCGGAGAGTCTGAGGCTCCGGGCCGCTGGGAGTCTCCCTTGGGTAGGGACAGCCCGGGGCGGTCGCGGGCCGGAAGGAAAGGGCGGCCTCCTCCCCAGTCGCCGGGGCCCTCTGCAGGGACGCGGCCCAGTGAAAGCCGCAGACCTGGGAGCCCGGGCCCGCCGCGGCGCTGGGCTGAGCCCTGGGTGGGGCCAGGGGTGAAAGGCGCGCTAAGCCGGCTTCCGACCTGGCCACGCCCTAGCTCCGGGTGCCGGACGCGTGGACAGGCCGCGGGGACGCAGGCGAAGCCCACAGCCCAGGCTCCACCCGGGTGGCCATCGGCGTGGCCTCGGTGAGCTCCCTGGGATCTGGCATCCCAGCGACGCCGCCATACGCCCGGGCGCGCCCGGGAGACGCCCACCTCGGCCCGGGCACACCTCGGGGCTGCGCGCCCCGTACCTCCAGGAGCGCGCGCCTGGCCCTTCTCCGCCCCGCGGCTGAGGTCTCCCGCCCCCCACGGCGCCTCCCGGTGTGGTCCTCACGGCAGCCTAGTTTGGAGTCTCGGGCCCCACCCTAGACCGCCAGACCCCCGATGGGTGGCGTGGACCCTGCAGTTTGAGAAGCCTGCTCCGAGCCTGGCCCTGGGCCCAGCAGGGCGGAACGTTCTGGTTCTAACCTGTCAGGGGACGGTGGCAAATCCTCTTTCCTCGTCGGCGGTCCTGTGACTGTTGATCAGAGCAGATGGGATTCCGGGACCCTTGGCACTGCTCCTCAGGCCCCAACAATGTGCTCTGGAGGTTCTGGAGGAAGCCAGGCATTTGGAAGAGGGCGCAGAGGGCTGGACTAATGAAAAGAAATGTCAGCTGGGCGCGGTGGCTCACGTCGGTAATCCTAGCGCTTTGGGAGGCCGAGGGGGGCGGATCATCTGAGGTAGGGAGTCGAGACCAGCCTGGCCAACGTGGAGAAACCCCATCTCTACTAAAAATACAAAATTAGGCGGGTGTGGTGATGTACGCCTGTAATCCCAGCTACTCGGGAGGCTGAGGCAGGAGTGAACCCAGGAGGCGGATGTTGTGGTGAGCTGAGATCGCGCCATTGCACTCCAGCCTGGGCAACAAGAGCAAAACTCTGTCTCACAAAAAGAAAAGAAAAGAGAAGGGGAGGGGAGGGGAGAGAGAAAGGAAGAAAAAGAGGGGAAGAGAAAGAAAAGAGATGTCGCAGCCACCTCTCTGCTACCTACTGCTGTTTGGTCTTGGCTTAATCTCTCTGTTTCTTCCTCTGCAAAATCAGAATAGAGTAACCTGTGCTTCTGAGTGGCCTGAGGACTGAGTGAATTATCCCTCGGGAAGCCCTTGGTAATCACTCACCAAGCATTAATGAGGATTGTTGGCTGTTAATGAAGAACTCGAATGAATGGGGAATCTGCTGTCATGGGTGCTTTAGGAAGATGTAGTTGGGTTTCTCAGATGAGTAAGGACAAGGTTAGCAATGATTTGCCTATCAGTTACTAGAACACTTAAATGAAATCTGTACGTATTCTGCATGGCTTCCTCATAAAATTGCATTTCTGTTTCCTAAGAAGGGAAACGAACTTTCTTGTAATTTTAGAAGGCTTGCTCTAATAGTTTCAAGGATGTTTGACTTGCAACCTTGAAACTAAAGCGTTTTAAGGCAGAACATGATTTGCTTTCGATTAGATGGGGGAGGAGGCCAGGCAAGGGTGATTCCCACATTGCTAGCTTAAGAAACCAGGAGGCAGTGGCATCCTGAGCTTTGGGGTCCTGATTGGTGGGCCTCCATCTAGTTCTGATTTGGACACAGTGCAGGTGAGATTGTTGTTGACCTCTGTGTGCTGCAGCCACTGGGCAGTTGGTGTATTAGTCTGTTCTCATGCTGCTAATAAAGACATACCTGAGACTGGGTAATTTATAAACGAAAAGAGATTTAGTGGACTCACAGTCCCACATGGCTGGGGAGGCCTGACAATCATGGCAAAAGGCAAAAGGCACGTCTTACATGGCGGCAGACGAGAGAGAACTTGTGTAGGGGAACTCCCCTTTATAAAACCATCAGATCTCGTGAGAACAGCATGGGAAAGACCCACCCCCATGATTCAGTTACCTCACACAAGGTCCCTCCCACAACATGTGGGAATTATGGAAGCTACAATTCAAGATGAGATTTGGGTAAGGACGCAGCCAAACCATGACAGTGGGAAAGTGAATTCTGGAGAAGGTGCTGCATGTGTTGCTGCATCCCCAGACGCCCCTGAAACCCCCGTGCCCTTGTACTTGGTAGCATGTGCAGGATGTATATCATCGTCCCCACCCCAGCCATTTTTTTCCCTCCTTTTCATTATGAAATATTTCAAGCATACAGAAAATTGAAAGAATTTTACAGGAAAAAAAAAACGTAATGGAAAAGAGACAAATATTCATGCAGAAAAATGGTAAATAATGTATGTAGATACTCCATTCTCAGGAAGGTGGAGCATAACTCCCTACTTGGTAGGTGTGGGCTGCTTATAGTGACTTCCTCAGAGTACAGAACTGAAAGAGGGAAAATAAAAAGCAATTGTGGAGAAACCTGACAAACACAACCTCAGCCGGGCAATCAAGGTCAACATCAACAGGGAGCAGTCATGTCCATAGTGTGTACCCTTGATATGACGTGATGAAAACAGCACTTTAGGCTGGGCGTGGTGGCTCACGCCTGTACAGCACTTTGGGAAACCGAGGCGGGTGGATTGCTTGAGCTCAGGAGTTTGAGACCAGTCTGGGCAACATGGCGAAACCCTGTCTCTACCAAAAGTACAAATCAGTCTGGCGTGGTGGCACATGTCTGTGGTCCTAGCTACTCGAGAGGCTGAGGTGGGAGGATTGCTTGAGCCTGGGAGGTGGAGGTCGCAGTGAGCTGAGATCGCACCACTGCATTCCAGCTTGGGTGACAGAGTGAGGCCCCATCTCAAAAAAAAAAAAAAAAAAAAGAAAAAAAGAAAAAAAAAGAAAGAAAAAGAAAAAAAAGCACTTAATCTGTATGGTCTTCCTCCCAAACCCCATAATCTCATCCTAATCATGAGAAAAAAGGCAGACAAATCCCAGTCGAGGGAGATTCCACAAATACCTGATGAGTACTTTTTGAAACTGTCAGCAAAAACCAAAGTCTGAGAAACTCTCAACTAAATAGAACATAGGATCCTGGATGGGATCTGGGAACAGGAAAGAGACATCATGGAAAACAAGGAACTCAGAACAAAGTATGGACTTTACCTAATAATAGTGTATCCATATTGGTTCCTTAATTTTAACAAATATAACACAGTGATGTGAGATGTTAATAACAGGGAAGATGGGGTGCAGAGTATATGGGATCTCTCTGTGTCATCTTTGCAACGTTTTCTGTAAATCTAGAACTCTTCCAAAAAATAGTTTCTTAGCAACCAAGACAACCATATACCTACCACCTAAACTCTACCTTTCACATGTTACTCTCGTGCATCTGTCCCGCCCTCTGTCACTCTTTTCTTTTCTTTTTTTTTTTTTTTGAGATGGAGTTTTGCTCTTGTTACCCAGGCTGGAGTGCAATGGCACCATCTTGGCTCACCACAACCTCCGCCTCCTGGGTTCAAGCGTTTCTCTTGCCTCAGCATCCTGAGTAGCTGGGATTACAGGCTTGCGCCACCACGCCCGGCTAATTTTTTGTATTTTTAGTAGAGACAGGGTTTCTCCATGTTGGTCAGGCTGGTCTTGAACTCCCGACCTCAGGTGATACGCCCGCCTCTCCCTCCCAAAGTGCTGGGATTACAGGCTTGAACCACCGCGCCCGGCCTCTGTCATTCTTTTCATAACCCCCTTAGACTGTCCCTGCCTTTTTGCTCAAAAAGGCGTCCAGGACGCTCAGGGCATTTGGGTCCACGACATCCCAGGTTCTCTGTTGTTGCCCAGATTTGCCCTAGAACGCTCCATTCCCTCCAGCTCAGAGCCTGCTGAAAACAAGGAGCTCTACTGCCACCCAGTGGACATTTTTAAAAAATGAAAGCAAGTTGACTGCAGGGAAAGCTCATGGGGACCCCGCAAGGCAGAGAGGCCCCTTCAGGCGTCTTTGAGCTGCCTTAGCACCATTGGGCGGGCTCTGCCTCCACATAGACCCTAGCCCTCTCTCCACTGTCCCCATCCAAATTCTTTTCTCAACCTGGACGTTTCCTAAAATTCTGGCTCCAATTCCCAATTGTGCAATCATTTTGTTGGGCTAGACTATACCTTTCAAGTCTTTTTTTTTAAAGGGGGCAGAACATGAGAAAATCTGGGGTTTTCCAGTTTTGCTAGCATGTTTGATGACCATGAAGAACTATTTGGGAGCAGATAGTGTGTCCTATCCAGCTGCTTTTGAAAGGATAAGAGTCAGGGGGCACTGGCTGACTGGGGGACAGCAAGCCTGTGTCGGGGGTCTCAGAACAGCTTCTTTAGGCAGTAGGAGCTGTGGCCAAGAGCGGCTCTGCTGAGCTGGGCTTCTCCCTACCTGGTGTCAGGCTTTGATGCATACTCGGGGGCCAGCCTCTCTTAAATATTGAGGCAAAAGAGACAGGAAGGATGCTTCCAGAAGGGCAGGCAGCCCTGTTTGCTGTCTCACTGGCCTCCTCTTTCAGGAGAGAGCCCTCTCATCTGGCTGATCACGGGCATGGCTGTGAGTTAGAAGAAACAAAATGAGCATGTCTTAGTTTGGGTTACCCCAGAAGCACACCCTCAGATAAGGGTTCCAGTGTTGGTTATTTATTTGGGACTTGATCCCAGGAGATACTACAGAATGGGTTGTGAGCCGGGGATGGAAATAATCTGACAAAAGGTTCCTAGCAAGCTGGTTAATGCAGTGGGCATCGGAGCTCAGCCCTGCTGCGGGCTCTGGAAGGCAGGAGTGCAGCTGTCCCAGCTGAGGGCCAAGGACACTGGCAGCTGAGGGCTGCTTCTGGGGACAGTCATTCCTGCATTTGGGGCCAGAGGAGAGTGCCGAGGCAGAGTCACAGGTATTCACAATAAGCAGAAGCGGGTGTCAAGGACGATGTGGGGCACTGACAGGGCCCTCTTAATGTGTTTGGATGACACAGGTTGGCACCCAACCCTACCTCACGCCCCGGATCTTCAAAGAAGTGAGTTCCCAGAAACCAGCAGGTCCTCAATGGCTTAGGGAGAGCCCAGGACCACACAGAGATTCAGCTAAGCGTGAAAAGGTGCCCCTTGGGTTAGGAGGGGACTTGGTGCAGAGGGACCCTCACCTCCTTTTTCTCCACACAGGTGAGGACTTTAAGATGATGGGATATATGCAAAGGTCCCCATGAATGTGTGTGAGCAGTGTTTCTGGGGAGGGGTATTTGCTCCCTGGGATTGGTTTGGGCTAGAGGGGTCTTGAGGTCTTCATGCTGCAGTTCACGGGGAAGAAAGAGGGAGCCATCAGGGGTGCAGTCTTGCCTGGAAACTTCCTCTGGGCAGAAGCCTCCCCAGCTGGCCTGCGGCTCTTCCTGCCTTTGCACGCCAGTTGCATCTCAAGGAAACAAGACTCAGCTACCAAAACTTAGTGCTAGACCATGCTGTTTCCACGGAACACCAATATTTAGGTGATAATAAATTATTACCAAGGGAAAGGGGCTCTTGTGAGCTAAAGCTCATCTGTAAAACCTGTCAATCTTGTGCAGAATGTTGAAAAAATGTCACTCTTTTCCAGAAATCTCTGGGGTCTGTCTTACTACTGAAGTG